>NC_000002.12:7585757-7888787 GCF_000001405.40 Homo sapiens | reverse complement strand
GAGAGCCACTTGACCTGTAGGGACTTTGAGTGAAAATAAATAAACCTTTACTGTGTTAAGCCATGCAGATATGGTAGTTGTTACAGCAGCTAGCTGGTATTAATTACCCTCTTAAAGGGATGCCAAGACATTGGTATATTTTATCTTGCTTAAGAACAATAGACAGCTGTCAGTCTATTTCCTCTGCTTCCCACAAATAGGAAGCAATCAACACCTGGTAAAATTATTGGGTTCCTGACTAGCTTATGGAGTCCTTGTGGGCAGGGATGTTGTAAAACTATATTTTGTAGCCTTCTTTTCTTCTATTAGGTTGGTGCAAAAGTGATTGCAGTTTTACCTTTGGCAAAAACCGCAATTATTTTGCACCAACCTAATAGGCTAGTACCTGACACATTGAGGGTAGGCAGTAAATCAATCTACAAGGACTAATGAATGATTTGATGAGCCATAATTTTGAAGTATTCTCATTCAATGCAGACTGAAATTTTTTTAATTATTTGAAAGGTAAATAAGACAACTTGTTGTTTTGCTAAAAAATGATAAGCAACTAAAAGGAGGACTATAATCTCATTTGTACTAAAAATGTAAGATTATTTGAGTTTTATTATGTTTAACATTTTTCTTATTGACTACCACAATAATGAGGAATCATTTGTGCCAATCAAAATCAGTATGGCCTCCACACACAGGGAGCTCTGATCACTGGCTGTACTTCTGATAAATCTGAGATGCTCTGTGCTCAGCAATGCTCAAGGTTCTGTCAACACGAATATCTCCTTACCCCTTGGAACAAAGGAAACCAGTGATGTTCCTGACATCTACAAGAGTGCCTTTGAAATGGGTTAACTTTAAAAAATTTTAAATACGTGTCTTGTCTTTTCTAATTCAACTGGTGTTAGGATTTAAAGTTAATTATCTGATTTCCTAAACTAGCTTCTCTGTGCATTTTTCTCCCTCTGATTTTGAACCTTCCTGAAGATTGGTTGGCCTACAGTATCTAAGCGGTCTGTAACGTAAGTCGGAAAGATGTGGTGCGAAATGGAACTGGAGTGGCCTAATCCCTCCTCTTAGTGACCTAAGCTATTTAGAGGAGATGAAGAAATGCCTGAAACGCTTTTAATTAACCAAATAGCTATTGGAAAGCCATGTAGCCTACTGCCTGCCAGAAGCTGTCACAGCTCAACTATTTCAGGGTTTCTTTCACACAAACAAGACTGATTAAAAGCGACCAACGTTATGTAATTGCCATTGTCTTGTTCATAACTATAAAGGTTTTCTCAGAGAAGCCACTGAGTCTGCTCATTTCCACAGTAATTGGTTGCTCCTCCCTGGCAGTGGAGATTCAGCCCCTAACTGGTGTCTGGAAGGAACAGTCAGGGAAGCTTCTGCTGAATAGTGTGTGCTGTGTGCTGTGTTCTATGTGCCACGTGCTGTGTTCTGTGTGCTCGTGCTACACTGGCCTGCAGGGAGGTGATGGTAGGGAGGAGATGGGCCTGGGATAAGGAGGAGGCTGAAGGAGAAATGGCCAAGTGGGTACATTAATTATCTTAGAGCCTTCTGGAGCAATCGTGGGCTCTAAGAAGAAATTATTAAGTAGCAGGCATTTGACTGTCATTTGAGTCTCATTTGTACTTTTAAAAATGGTTACGAATAGTAATAATGAAAAATAGAAATTTTAGGAATATAATAGTGCTAAAGACTGTCCATTCAATCTTGTCCTTTTAGATATTTGTAACCCTAATGACCTGCTGCTGAAGGATAATCAAACCACAGTGACTAGGAAATCATTTCATCATTCCATAAAGATCTGCTGAGCCCCTCTAAGTGCTGAGGACTATGGAAAGAGGCCACAGTCAGGGCAGATAGTCTTTGCCCTTAATTGCTCAAGAATGAAGTGGATGCAATCCTGGAACTCACAGTTGGGCAGGGGCAGTTTTCAGATATGACAGGCCTGCTTTCCTGAGATATGACTCAGCCCAGAATAAATATTTGTGCTTCATCGAAGGGTTTTACCATTAGAAGTTCTATTCATTGTTTTCACTGATGCGCAAATGACCAAAAGTGAATATAAGGGTTTGACTTGTCTTTTACTAAATCCAGATTTGCCTTTCCAACCAAATAATAGAGGCTTGAAGCTAGTATAATGTTTAGGTGAATATAAAACATGGAACTACCACAGGCAATGATGTCTAGTCCTGAGTGTTTGTATTTATCAAAGCTTTGAGCCCCAAAGGGAAAAGGAATCAAAAGTCTCTCACCAGCAAAAATCTGGTGCTGTCTCCTGAGCACTGCTGGCTACACTATACCTTCCTAGGTGTGAATCGCTCTTTCTCTCCATGGGGCCAGGTCTCTCCGTGTCTTGAAGGCTTCTCTCCCTAAAGTTAGACAATGTAGAAAGGCACAGCCTCTTGTTGCTCCAAACATTGGTCCACATGTATTTTGGGTTTTAAAGATTGAAGCACAGTATTTAGGGCCGCTGAGTCTGGATTTGAATCATATCATATTTCCATCACCCTGGCTGTGTGGCTTTAGGACCTGTATACTCTTTTAGACATTCCATTTTAGCTTTCTCATCTTTAAAAGTAAAAATAAAGCCATGCAAAGATGGCACTCGGCATGCCATCTCATGCGGATCACACACTCCGTAAAGAACCTCTCCCTTCTTCCTGCCACCCTATGCCCAAACTGCCTCTTTTAGAAGAGGGATGAGGATTTACACTCTGCTACATGCTTTATGTGGATATTTCCTTTACTACAAAGTTATAAAATAGGTGCTTTTAATATTCAGAATATGGATGAGAAATCTGAAGGCAAGGAGAGAATGAGAAATATACTCAATTTTACCCAGAAGCAAGCACTAATGCCAAGATTTGAACTGAGGCATTTACAACCTAGAACCCTTACTCTGTTATTTTTTGAGAGTCTGACATTTGTACTTCTCTATTTTCCCTGGACACAATTATTGGACATTGAAGAACAGGACACACACACACACACACACACACACACACACACACACACACACACAGAGAGAGAGAGGATAAATTCTCTATTCTCAGTGGGAGAACTGTAATTTATATCTTAGGAGTCCAACATACAAATTGCAAGGGTTGAGAGGAGCTTAGTTCAACCCACACACACAATCATCTCCACTATAAAAAGTCATATTTCTGAACATGACTTTTCCTGTCTAGTCTTCTGTTTTGCTTAGCCCCATCACCAACATGGTAGCGATGATAAGAACTGGCAGAACATGATCGTCTCTCTGTGTAATGCACAAGCCACTTTTCTAATTCAAACTTCCCACCCTCTCTGCAAGGTAGCAAGGTGTGTCCAGATCACACACCTGGAGGATGACCTTGTAGGGCCTTAACCCCAGGCCTTCTCTGAATATTGTGTTCTTTTCATAACATCCTGCTATTCTGCTGTTAGATATAACCAAGTGTACTGCTGGAAAACTAGTGACGTGGTTGGGGGCAGTCTGAATGCACTGTGATTTCATGGTAGCATCCCTTTCTCATGGCACCAAAACATGATTCACAACAAAAGGAGAAAAGATACTGGATGAGGACTTGTTTAGAGCAAGAGTGGTGAACCATGCCAAGGGCCAAGGCTCTTCTGGTGAATAAAGTTTTATAATAACACAGCCACGGCCATTCAGCTAGACTTTTCCTATGTCTTCTTCCGTGCTGCAATGCAGGCCTGAGTAATTGTGCTGAAGACTGTGTGTTCCTCAAAGCCAGAAAGCAAGGGGGCTCTCAGAGCACTCAGTGTCTAAGGGGATGATGTCAAAGGACATTGAAACTGGAGGGAAGGGCTCTGGATGTCCTAACTTGGGACACTGGAGCTTGAAAAAGGAAGACGATGGTAATTGACATATTGAATGCATAAAAATGCATGAGCCCATAGCAATATTCAAAATATTAATAAGACAGACAGGGCAGAAAAATAAAAAGTGTGGAGGGGAAGAAGTTCTTTAGCAAAGAAAGCCAGCTAATAGGTGAATAATAGAATTAGAAAACAACAATTCTTATTGGTATTGTTGCTATGAAAAATATAAAATAAAGGTAACTTAAAGACTCTAATTACCGTATTAATCTGTAATTATTATAGATAAAAGTATTATAAAGCACAGAATAAGAAACCAAGATTAGGAATCAAGGAAAAAACAACAAAATCAAGCCCTTAGGCTTCCTGGATGGTATTCACTGGCCTGCGACAGAGTCGAGCCTCTTCCTGTAAGTATGTGGCAAGGCCCCAGGCTGGGTAATGGAGGAGATTCCCCCCCGAGTTCCCTCCCCACCCCCAGGCTCCTGGCTTCCAGATGTCACTTCCCAGGCCCCCTTGCTCTTTGCTAGGCCAGGACAAGCCAGAGCTGAATGGCCCCTAGAGGAGACCATCCTATTCATCCCCCTCTCTTTCTGCAAGATGTGACAGTGTTTCATTTGTTTATCTCATTTTGTAACTTTTATTTGAAAGGGTGCGAATTTTGCAACTTCCCTAGTGCTGATGTTTGACAATCCATATGCATGGAGTTTCTCCTCCCTCATAGTTCACCTCCATCTAAGGGTGTTCACTGGTCTCCTCGTTAAGACTTCATGCAGATTCACCTAGGTTTTTGTATTAGTCCATTTTCACTCTGCTGATAAAGGCATACCCAAGACTGGGCAATTGGAAAAAAAAAAAAAAAAAAGGTTTATTGGACTTACTGCGCCATGTGGCTGGGGAGGCCTCACAATAATGGCGGAAGGTGAAAGGTACATCTCAGATGGTGGCAGACAAGAGAAGAGAGCTTGCGCAGGGAAACTCCCCTTTTTAAAACTGTCAGATCTCATGAGATTTATTCACTCTCATGAGAGCAGCACAGGAAAGACCTGCCCCCTGATTCGATTACCGCCCACTGGGTCCCTCCCACAACACATGGGAATTCAAGATGAGATTTGGGTGGGGACATGGCCAAAACATATCAGTTGTCATTATCTACTTCTCAAGTCTCCATAACAACCAAGGGGCTGCAATGTGTGATGGACTGTACAGTCAGTTGACTTAAGTTTGAATCCAGATTCTGCCATTGATTTGCTGTGATGGAGGATGAGTTACTTAGCCTTTTGAGCCTCAGCTTACTCATCTGTAAAATAAGACTATTCAACACTGTATTTATTTGCTAGAGTTGTTATTACAAAGTACCCCAGACCATGTGGCTTAAATAACAGAAATTATTGTCTCACCATTCTGGAGGCCAGAAGTCTGAGATCAAGGTGTGACCAGGACTGATTCCTTCTGAGGCTGCAAGGGAGAATCTGCTCTAAGCCCCTCTCCCTGGCTTGTCTTCTCCTGTGTCTTCGACATCTTCTCCCTGTATTTTTCACATAATTTTCCTTGTGTATGTCTGTCTCCAAATTTCCCCTTTTCAAAGAAACATCAGTCACAGTATATTAGGGCCCATCCTGATGCCCTCCTTTGAATTTGGCCATCCCTGTAGAGACCCTATCTCCAAATATGGTCACACTCTGACGTATTGGAGGTTAGGACTCCAACATACAAATTGCAAGAGTCAAGGGGAGCTTAGTTCAACCCACAACACACAATCATCTCCACTTTAAAATCCATTGGAGATGAAATGATGTGTAGAATTTAGATGACAGCCTGCTTCATGGTAAGGCCTGAGTAAGTGTTATTTATTATTAATACATTGACTCTCTCCTTAGTGCTCCTTGAGGAGAGATTTTACTGCCCCCAATCTTTTCTGCAGGTCATATCTGAGCCTCTAATTATCTTTAAAACTGTCCGGTGAACTCTCTCCTAAAATCCCTTGACTTTTTATTTGCAAAGTCTAGAAATGGGAGATGGAAGACAAGAGATTATTTGAGAAGGGAACATCTACAAGGAGGGTCTGGTGGCCACTGGACCCCGGGGGTCCTGGTGGCAGCCTTTGGACTTTCTCCTGAGTGGTCACTCCATACACTCAAGTCCTCCCTGCTCCTTGCAGTAGGGGTCTCCTCCCTTCTCCCTGGGCCTCCATCCCACATCTTTCTTGGAGCAGACCGTGACCTCTTCAGCTTCCACTAAGCAGGTGTAACTTCTCTGCCTGTGAACCAAGTTCCCAGTTTTTCCAGAAGGAGTTTAGATCTGACTCTGGTGAAAGTGGACCTTGCCTGTCTATCTTGGCTTAAGCAGTGCAATTAGGTGAACCCTTCAGGCTAGGGATGTCCTAGCAATTTCCTCCAGCCTCTTTCTATTTCTCATTTATTCCTGCAGCAGACACTTTCTGGACCCCTACTGGCCAGTCCCTCCTAGCACTGGTTGTGGGATATCCCAGGTGGGCCAGGCATGGCCCCTGACCTCAGGAAGCTGACAGGCTAGTGTTGAAGACACACAAATGTCTGAGGCTGCCCCCCTTACTTCTGGATACCCCTCCTGTCCTATGGGTTCAAGATTTAGCCTTCTTCTCTGGGAAGCCTTTCCTGACCATGGGAGTCTGAAGGGTTCATGCCCTCTCTTGATTTCCTCTTGCACTTGTCTGTCCTGCTCAGCTATCAGCCCTCACCTGCCTTCCCATCTCCAACACAATGGAACTCCCTGCAATCCTGCCCCACCAGACTCAGCCTCGTTTCTGACTGCACATATATAAAGAACTGCAGCTCTGTTCTTGAAGTCACAGAAACCAGCAAGGCTCCTATCACTGCCTCCGTTTGGGCTGGGCTTCATACCCTGATGCAGCCCTGCTTACCTGTGACCACTGCTGGTGGTGGTGTCAGAGTCCCTGCACAGACCCGTACCAAATGTCCCTGATCTGCTCTTTTACAGAGCTTTTGTACCAAGGCACAAGCCATGGAAAGAAAGAGCTTCAAGAATAAATGTGAGCATCCTCGGTGCCTTGTACTTGAGAACTGCCTCTCTGTCTCAGCCCAGGAAGTAGCCTGGTGTCCCATTGCCCTAAGAGCACTAGGAACCTGCATTGGTCTTGCAATCTGGTAGGACTACCACAGCGAAAGTCAAGTGGGTGGCCTCACAATTTTAGGAAGTCTTTTAGACCTCATCTCTGTGCACCTGCCTTGCCTCTGCCCTGCCACTCAGCGAGCAGATAGAAACCCCCTTTGTTCCTCTCTGGATTGTGACATCCACCCACTAAAGTAACCGGGTCCTTTGGGCTGGATGTAGTGGTGATATTTTACTCATGCAAACAATACTGACAAGAAATGAACCTGTGGGAGACCGCAGTTACTGGAGCTCTGTGATTTCAGAAGAAAATTAGAACTCACCAGGAAGTCAGAAATGCTGTCCCAGCCTCCCACTTGTGCCTGCAATAATTCAGGCCCTTCTGCTTTCCGAGATGCTGATGAGTCTCAGTACAAAGAGACCCCCACGTAGATCTCCCTACTTCACAGCTTCCTGAGAGTATGGCTAACAGAACCTTGGAAAAAGACTGCGTTCAAGGAAGTGATTTGTTTAATCATTAAGTTTCTGGCTTGACTCTAGGATATGAATTCCCAGTCACATTCTTTCCATGCAACCAGCCTAACCTAAGCTGGCCTATGGACACTATTTTATCGAGTTGATTGTTGTTGTTTAGTCTTTGCATGAGACTAGAAGGAAAACCAGAGAAAGGTGAGGCGCCTGTTAAGACTTTCAGAGGAAAAGGAATCCTTTAGAGCCTGCATTCCATATTTAACCACAGTGCCACACACATACTTCTTTCTCTGCTATTCAAAAGAGGAAATATCAGAGAATAATACACCAAAAAATGCATTTATATTCTGCTTGGGAATGGTGTTTTCAAGTTCTGCACTTGAGAAGGAGTGTATTGTTATGCCATTTACCCTCTCATAGAAATTTTATTGTTTTATTGAAATAATTAATCTACTATATTAGGAAGACCAAACATTAAACTCAAACAAAAGCCTAAAGCTGTTTTGTTGATATTTAATACAATAGTACTTGAAATCAATTATATGCTGTTCTAATGGCTTTCTTCCAACCTCTTCAACGCCCCCATTACTGTTCTTAAATACACACACATGAACACACACACTCAGGAATGCGCACACACCAGGAAGAGAAAGAAGCTGTTCCTGCTTTCCAATTCACCAAGTCCCCACACCAAAAATTCTTAATTCTTAAACTCAGTATGGATAAAATAACCAGGAACTTGTTAAAATGTAGATTTAGTGCTCAAACCTCCTAGAGATTTTGATTTAACAATACAGTTGACATGGTCCATGAGCTGTCCTTGAGAAACAGCTCTATACCTACAAATTCAATCTAAGCTCACCCTGGCCAAAGCAAAGCATTCTGCAGGAGCTTCCATTGCACCAGTGGCTAGCACCTTTCATTAGCTGAGCTTTCAGTGTCTTGATCAATGCCTGTTAGCTCTTCAGGCACTACCTGAGATGAATTACTGTGCTGATCCGACAACCTCTAATGCAAGACATAGCACAGTACTTACCAATCAGAGACTCTCAGTCTGAATCCTGCACTGCAAGGGAGGGCTGGCCTGGTTCCTATTTTAAGCCTTGGATAGGATTGTCACTTGCCTGATGAGATCTCTCAGTTTGTAAACTTTCACATGTTCTTCTCCTGTGGTACTTATCACTCAACCTTGTATTGCAGTTTATTCAGTTCATGCTCGCAGGGCCTTAATTAGGTTTAGTTTTCACCTTATGTAAAACTTAGCACAATGACTGGCATCACCATTAAAATCAATAATGGAATCAATAAATTCATTCAAATAAAAATCAACCATACTTTCAACCTGTCTGGCTACTAAAAAGATGGACCACTAATTCATGCTCCCACTCAACCAAAGCTAAATCTCCATTTACATTACTTCCTCATTATTGAGGTATTTACGAATCCTTCAAGTCCAATTGATTAGTCAATGAATTTATTTGCCTAAACAGACAGCAGATTTCTGCTCTGTCCTCCTAAGCTGCATGGCTTTTATCTCCCAAGGCTTGAACTCTTTCAGCTGGAGGCTCATTCATTCATTTAATTAGGTGGCAAATATTTATTGAAAAATTATTCTGTGATAGGCATTAGTCTTAGCACAAGGGATACAGAGAAGAAACTAAGTAGTTTCTGTCCTAAAGAAATGTAATCTAGGAAAGGCAGAAAAGCAGGCAATCAGATGATTACCTGCGGCATGTACAGAGTGCAGCTGTGCACAAGGAGCATTGCTCAACTCTTTCTAGAGGGAACAGGAAAGAATTGAGAAGATCCTTAAAGAAAACAGGCAGAGTGGGAGAAGAGCAGCCCAGATAAAGGCCATCTAGAAACCTAGTAGTGAAAAGGTGCACTATATAATAATATAGAAATCCTAAGTGACTTCAGCTGGGTTTCCCAGGGCACAGATCTTTGAAATGGAGATTTGCATGCAAATACATTTCTTGAGGAATTTCCCCCGGGATCACCGAGTAAGGTTGCACAGAGGGAGCATGTGAACCATGATTAGTCGCAATGCAAGCCAATCTCAACAGGAAGCTCTGGGGGTGGGGCAGCCTGCAACACTGTCCTGCTTAGAGCAAGGACCAGGCTTTGACACACGGAGCCTTCATAAGTTTCAATTCCTATCTTTCCCCGCCTCCTGCCCCAAAAGGTATTGCTTTAAGCTAGGCAGGTTTCTTCCTTTGGCTGGGGACAATTCTTGGGGAAGGATTTCCCTGTACGCTGTCCGCCACCAACAATCCCAGCAGCCGGGGAATGAATGTGTCGGTCCTAAAAGTGCATCTGGGCCATAGGACAGCATCCACTCCAGTAAGCCCAGGAAGTATGAAGTGTGAGAGTGAAGATACCTTGTAGAGGGGAGGGGAAATAAAGCTGGGAAAGTGGTCAGGAGACAGATTGTAAAGGACACTTGTATATCAGAGGCTTGGATTTATCCCAAAAACAATGGAAGCTGTCAGGCTTCTGAGCCCAAGCCAAGCCATCGCATCCTCTGTGACTTGCACGTATATACGCCCAGATGGCTTGAAGTAACTGAAGAATCACAAAAGAAGTGAATATGCCCTGCCCCACCTTAACTGATGACATTCCACCACAAAAGAAGTGTAAATGGCCGGTCCTTGCCTTAACTGATGACATTACCTTGTGAAAGTCCTTTTCCTGGCTCATCCTGGCTCAAAAAGCTCCCCCACTGAGCACCTTGCAACCCCCACTCCTGCCCGCCAGAGAACAAACCCCCTTTGACTGTAATTTTCCTTTACCTACCCAAATCCTATAAAATGGCCCCACCCTTGTCTCCCTTCACTGACTCTTTTCGGACTCAGCCCGCCTGCACCCAGGTGAAATAAACAGCCATGTTACTCACACAAAGCCTGTTTGGTGGTCTCTTCATACGGACGCGCATGAGATTTGGTGCCGTGACTCGGATCGGGGGACCTCCCTTGGGAGATCAATCCCCTGTCCTCCTGTTCTTTGCTCCATGAGAAAGATCCACCTACGACCTCAGGTCCTCAGAGTGACCAGCCCAAGAAACATCTCACCAATTTCAAATCCGGCAAGCGGCCTCTTTTTACTCTCTTCTCCAACCTCCCTCACTATCCCTCAACCTCTTTCTCCTTTCAATCTTGGTGCCACACTTCAATTTCTCCCTTCTCTTAATTTCAATTCCTTTCATTTTCTGGTAGAGACAAAGGAGACACGTTTTATCCGTGGACCCAAAACTCCGGCGCCGGTCATGGACTGGGAAGGCAGCCTTCCCTTGGTGTTTAATCATTGCAGGGACGCCTCTGATTATACACTCATGTTTCAAGGGTGTCAGACCACGCAGGGACGCCTGCCTTGGTCCTTCACCCTTAGCGGCAAGTCCTGCTTTTCTGGGGAAGGGCAAGTACCCCAACCCCTTCTCTCCTTGTCTCTACCCCTTCTCTGCTTTTCTGGGAGAGGGGCAAGTACCCCTCAACCCCTTCTCCTTCACCCTTAGTGGCAAGTCCTGCTTTTCTGGGGCAGGGGCAAGTACCCCTCAACCGCTTCTCCTTCACCCTTAGTGGCAAGTCCTGCTTTTCTGGGGGAGGGGCAAGTACCCCTCAACCCCTTCTCCTTCACCCTTAGTGGCAAGTCCTGCTTTTCTGGGGGAGGGGCAAGTACCCCTCAACCCCTTCTCCTTCACCCTTAGTGGCAAGTCCTGCTTTTCTGGGGCAGGGGCAAGTACCCCTCAACCCCTTCTCCTTCACCCTTAGTGGCAAGTCCTGCTTTTCTGGGGGAGGGGCAAGTACCCCTCAACCCCTTCTCCTTCACCCTTAGTGGCAAGTCCTGCTTTTCTGGGGCAGGGGCAAGTACCCCTCAACCCCTTCTCCTTCACCCTTAGTGGCAAGTCCTGCTTTTCTGGGGCAGGGGCAAGTACCCCTCAGCCCCTTCTCCTTCACCCTTAGTAGCAAGTCCCGCTTTCCTAGGGGGCAAGAACCCCCTAATCGCTTATTACCACATCCCAACCTCTTATCTCTGTGCCCCAATCCCTTATTTCCACACCCCAACCTCTTATCTCTGTGCCCCAATCCCTTATTTCTGCACCCTGACCTCTTATGTCTGTGCCCCAATCCCTTATTTCCATGCCCCAACCCCTTCTCTGCTTTTCTGGAGGGCAAGAACCGCACCCCCCCACAACCCCTTCTCTGTGTCTCTACTCTTTTCTCTGGGCTTGCCTCCTTCACTATGGGTAAGTTTCCACCTTCCATTCCTCCTTCTTCTCCCTTAGCCTGTGTTCTCAAAAATTAAAAACCTCTTCAACTCACACCTGACCTAAAACCTAAATGCCTTATTTTCTTCTGCAATGCCGCTTGACCCCAATACAAACTCGACAGTAGTTCCAAATAGCCAGAAAATGGCACTTTGAATTTTTCCAACCTGCAAAATCTAAATAATTCTTGTCATAAAATAGGCAAATGGTCTGAGGTGCCTGACTCCAGGCATTCTTTTACACACTCAGTCCCTTCCTAGTCCCTGTGCCCAGTGCAACTTGTCCCAAATCTTCCTTCTTTCCCTCCCGCCTGTCCCCTCAGTACCAACCCCAAGCGTCGCTGAGTCTTTCTAATCTTCCTTTTCTACAGACCCATCTGACCTCTCCCTTCCTCCCCAGGCTGCTCCTCGCCAGGCCGAGCTAGGTCCCAATTCTTTCTCAGCCTCCGTTCCTCCACCTTGTAATCCTTTTATCACCTCCCCCCTCACACCTGGTCTGGCTTACAGTTTCGTTCTGTGACTAGCCCTCCCCCACCTGCCCAGCAGTTTACTCTTAAAAAGGTGGCTGGAGCCAAAGGCATAGTCAAGGTGAATGCTCCTTTTTCTTTATCCCAAATCAGATAGCGTTTAGGCTCTTTTTCATCAAATATAAAAATCCAGCCCAGTTCATGACCTGTTTGGCAGCAACCCTGAGACGCTTTACAGCCCTAGACCCTAAAAGGTGAAAAGGCCGTCTTATTCTCAAAATACATTTTATTACCCGATCTGCTCCCGACATTAAATAAAACTCCAAAAATTAAATTCCAGCCCTCAAACCCCACAACAGGATTTAATTAACCTCGCCTTCAAGGTGTACAATAATAGAAAAAAGTTGCGATTCCTTGCCTCCACTGTGAGACAAACCCCAGCCACATCTCCAGCACACAAGAACTTCCAAATGCCTGAACCGCAGCGGCCAGGCATTCCTCCAGAACCTCCTCCCACAGGAGCTTGCTACACGTGCCAGAAATCTGGCCACTGGGCCAAGGAATGCCCGCAGCCCGGGATTCCTCCTAAGCCGAGTCCCATCTGTGTGGGACCCCACTGAAAATTGGACTATTCAACTCACCTGGCAGCCACTCCCAGAGCCCCTGGAACTCTGGCCCAAGGCTCTCTGACTGACTCCTTCCCAGATCTTCTCGGCTTAGCGGCTGAAGACTGATACTGCCTGATCGTGTCGGAAGCCCCCTAGACCATCATGGACGCCGAGCTTTGGGTAACTCTCACAGTGGAAGGTAAGCCCGTCACCTTCTTAATCAATACGGAGGCTACCCACTCCACATTACCTTCTTTTCAAGGGCCTGTTTCCCTTGCCTCCATAACTGTTGTGGGTATTGACGGCCAGGCTTCTAAACCTCTTAAAACTCCCCAACTCTGGTGCCAACTTAGACAATACTCTTTTAAGCACTCCTTTTTAGTTATCCCCACCTGCCCAGTTCCCTTATTAGGCTGAGACACTTTAACTAAATTATTTGCTTCCCTGACTATTCCTGGACTACAGCTGTATCTCATTGCCGCCCTTCTTCCCAATCCTCCTCTTGTATCCCCCGACCTTAACACACAAGTATAAGATACCTCTACTCCCTCCTTGGCAACCGATCATGCACCCCTTACCATCTCATTAAAACCTAATCACCCTTACCCCACTCAACGCCAATATCCCATCCCGCAGCAAGCTTTAAAAAGATTAAAGCCTGTTATCACTCCCCTGCTACAGCATGGCCTTTTAAACCCTGTAAACTCTCCTTAAAATTCCCCCATTTTACCTGTCCTAAAACCAGACAAGCCTTACAAGTTAGTTCAGGATCTGCACCTTATCAACCAAATTGTCTTGCCTATCCACCCTGTGGTGCCCAACCTGTACACTCTTTTGTCCTCAATACCTTCCTCCACAACTCACTATTCCGTGCTTGATCTTAAAGATGTTTTTTTCACTATTCCCCTGCACCCCTCGTCCCAGCCTCTCTTTGCTTTCACCTGACACCCATTAGGCTCAGCAAATTACCAAGGCTGTACTGCTGCAAAGCTTCACAGACAGCCCCCATTACTTCAATCAAGCCCAAATTACTTCCTCATCTGTTACCTATCTTGGCATAATTCTCATAAAAACACACGTGCTCTCCCTGCCAATCGTGTCCGACTGATCTCTCAAACCCCAGCACCTTCTACAAAACTACAACTCCTTTCCTTCCTAGGCATGGTTAGCGTGGTCAGAATTCTTACACAAGAGCCAGGACCATACCCTGTAGGCTTTCTGTCCAAACTTGACTAGCCCTTATGTCTGCGTGCAGTGGCTGCTGCTGCTTTAATACTTTTAGAGGCCCTCAAAATCACAAACTATGCTCAACTCACTCTCTACAGTTCTCATAACTTCCAAAATCTATTTTCTTCCTCATACCTGATGCATATACTTTCTGCTTCCTGGCTCCTTCAGCTATACTCACTCTTTGTTGAGTCTCCCACAATTACCATTGTTCCTGGCCCAGACTTCAATCTGGCCTCCCACATTATTCCTGATACCACACCTGACCCCCATGACTGTATCTCTCTGATCCACCTGACATTCACCCCATTTCCCCAAATTTCCTTCTTTCTTGTTCCTCAGCCTGATCACGCTTGATTTATTGATGGCGGTTCCACCAGGCTTAATCTCCACACACCAGCAAAGGCAGGTTATGCTATAGTACAAGCCACTAGCCCACCTCTTAGAACCTCTCATTTCCTTTCCATCGTGGAAATCTATCCTCAAGGAAATAACTTCTCAGTTTTCCATCTGCTATTCTACTACTCCTCAGGGATTATTCAGGCCCCCTTCCTTCCCTACACATCAAGCTCCAGGATTTGCCCCACCCAGGACTGGCAAATTAGCTTTACTCAACATGCCCTGAGTCAGATAACTAAAATACCTCTTAGTCTAGGTAGATACTTTCACTGGATAGGTAGAGGCCTTTCCTAGAGGGTCTCAGAAGGCCACCGCAGTGATTTCTTCCGTTCTGTTAGACATAATTCCTCAGTTAAGCCTTCCCACCTCAATACAGTCTGATAACAGATGAGCCTTTATTAGTCAAATCAGCCAAGCAGTTTTTCAGGCTCTTAGTATTCAGTGAAAGCTTTATATCCCTTACGGTCCTCCGTCTTCAAGAAAAGTGGAATGGACTAAAGGTCTTTTAAAAACACACCTCACCAAGCTCAGCCACCAACTTAAAAAGGACTGGACAATACTTTTACCACTTTCCCTTCTCAGAATTCAGGCCTGTTCTCGGAATGCCACAGGGTACAGCCCATTTAAGCTCCTGTATAGACGCTTCTCATACCAGACACCAGACCAACTTAGACTGTGCCCCAAAAAACTTGTCATCCCTACCATCTTCTGTCTAGTCATACTCCTATTCACCGTTCTCAACTACTCATACATGCCCTGTTCTTGTTTACACTGCCAGTTTACACTGTTTTTTCCTAAACCATCACAGCTGATATCTCCTCATGCTATCCCCAAACTGCCACTCTTAACTCTTGAAGTAAATAAATAATCTTTGCTGGCAGGACTATGCTGAATCTCCTTAGGCACTCTCTAATTAGATGTCCTAGGTCCTCCCAATTCTTAGACCTTTTATACCTGTTTTTCTCCTTCTCTTATTCCATTTAGTTTTTCAATTCATACAAAACTGTATCCAGGCCATCACCAATCATTCTATACGACAAATGTTTCTTCTAACATCCCCACAATATCACCCCTTACCACAAGACCTCCCTTCAGCTTAATCTCTCCCACTCTAGGGTCCCACGCCGCCCCTAATCCCGCTTGAAGCAGCTCTGAGAAACATCGCCCATTCTCTCCCCATACCACCCCCCAAAAATTTTTGCCACCCCAACACTTCAACACTATTTCATTTTTCTTATTAATATAAGAAGGCAGGAATGTCAGGCCTCTGAGCCCAAGCCAAGCCATCGCATCCCCTGTGACTTGCACGTATACGCCCAGATGGCCTGAAGTAACTGAAGAATCACAAAAGAAGTGAATATGCCCTGCCCCACCTTAACTGATGACATTCCACCACAAAAGAAGTGTAAATGGCCGGTCCTTGCCTTAACTGATGACATTACCTTGTGAAAGTCCTTTTCCTGGCTCATCCTGGCTCAAAAAGCTCCCCCACTGAGCACCTTGCGACCCCCACTCCTGCCCGCCAGAGAACAAACCCCCTTTGACTGTAATTTTCCTTTACCTACCCAAATCCTATAAAACGGTCCCACCCTTATCTCCCTTCACTGACTCTCTTTTCGGACTCAGCCCGCCTGCACCCAGGTGAAATAAACAGCCATGTTACTCACACAAAGCCTGTTTGGTGGTCTCTTCACAGGGACGCACATGAAAGAAGCCATTTACAGATTTTAAGAAAACAAACAAACAAAAACCATGACCAGTTTTGCATTTTAGAAGGATCTGTAAGTATAGTATGATGAGGATGGTTGGAAATCACTTAAGAAACTTCTGAAAACTTTCAGGAAAAGGGGTAGAAGGGAGGTAAGGATGTGAGAGTTTTTAGAAGGTAAAAGAATTAAAGATGAGTGGCTGATTATTTGTGATTAATGTAGGAGAGGAATAGAGTTATAAAACTGGTGAACAAAGAAAACTTTGGCTCCTACAGTAAAGAGATTTGAAAGCACACACAGAACTTCTTAGTTCCCAAAGTGTAGTTTGCTTAGGAGAGCCGGCAGTGGAAAAGATGCCTCCAGAGTTGCGAGGGAATAATGAGTGTGATGGTTTGAAAAAGAGAGATGTTGTTTTCATGTTTCAGTAATTCATGTATGACAAAAAAAAAAAAAAAAAACCACTGGAGGAGACTGGTGGGCACTTGCTGAACAAATTGCATATTTTTCAAGATAGCAGACTCAAACTCAATTAGAATTATTACTAATTAAGGACATGTGAATAAATTTGAATATCTAAGTGTGTGTGAAGCTCTGTATTTATGATCCTCATGGTCTCCGACTAATAGATTCCTCAACCCTACAGCAGTTGTGTGTGGGGTTATCTAGTGGAGGGAGAAGCAGCAGAGGAACTGAGGAGAGAAGACATCCAATTAATTAAGAGAGTATTAGTTCTTGCTCCTAATTAACATCAACTAAAAATAGGAATTTGACAGGTGTTTGGCCAGAAAGAGCATATTAAACAATATTCAATCTTTAGGGAAAGAGCAGAAAAAAACCCACAGAAGCATCCAGAGGCCATTTCCTAAAAGCTTCTCTTTTGCAATATAATGCCTTCCGCATATTTTAGGAACCCCCTGCCCGCTTTTCCCCAGAACCAGTACAGAGCTATCCTACTCTACACAGTTGAGTTATATGGACTCACACCTATCCATACATCTTCATAAAATTTGTTAAATTATCTTATATATATATATATATATATATTAGAGTTATATTAGAGTTATAACTGGACAGAAAATAAGTTAGACAAAATGCTTGAGCTGTCAATTTGATTATTCCTAAAAAGCAAAGTTTTTCATCAACTACAACCCATAAGGACATGGATTTTCCCTCTCATCTGTTCACTGATGTATCTTCTGTGTTCAGAACAGCGCTGGGGCCATATTTTCTCTGAAGGCTGTAGGGAAAGATACTTTCTGGCCTCTTCCAGCTTTTGGTGGGGGTCAGCAATGCTTGGTGACTATTGGCTTGTAGACACAATGCTCCAATCATTGCTTCCTTGTTCATGGGCATTCTCCCTGGGCCTGTCTCTGTGTCTCCTCTCTTCTAAAAATACCAGCCACGTTAGGTGTAGGGCTCACTGTAGTCCAGCATGGTCCCATTTTAACTTAATTACACCTGCTTCCAAGTAAGATCTCGTTCATGGGTGAGAACTTGAATATATGCTTTCAGAGGGTGCAACTCAGCCAACAAAATGTTCTCCCAAGATTGTTTATTCATATGTATCATACTCTTGGAGTACATCTTCAAGGAAACCAAATGTCTGTTGATATTGCTAAATACTTTCTTAACTCTCTCCTGGGTTTCTCACTGCCCATTTTCCCAAAGTCAAATATAATACATAAAATATCTCCACTCTCCTGAGACATGACACCTACTGGGATTTTTCTGAAGATAGTTTAGGTGAAGAGGGGGCAAAACAAAAGACACATAGGAATGGTTGATTTACAGGGATGAGAACAGGTTGAAAAGAGGTACCTTAATGAAAGATAAAAGGATTTTGTAAGAGGAGATGCGGGATAAATTTCACTGATTTTTTTCTCCAGCCAGCTGTGTTTCTGATGGTAACATGAATTGTCACTTTATTTGCATTTTACTGCATTCTTTATTTGCAGAAAAAACATTTCATACATTAATGTGTGTATACACACACACACACACACACACACACACATATATGTATATATAATGCCTTCATTTGGAAATTTTCTAATGTCAGCTTTTATTCAACAGATTCTTATAAAATATGATTTGTTATGCACCGTATTAGGTATTGGAGGAACAAAGGACACGTCACTGACATGACAAGGGGTGCATTTGAGGAAGGTTAAATGGGGCATTGTAAGGGGAATGGAATGGAAGAAGAGACAGACAGACTG
Source organism: Homo sapiens (assembly GCF_000001405.40). Lineage (NCBI taxonomy): Eukaryota > Metazoa > Chordata > Mammalia > Primates > Hominidae > Homo > Homo sapiens. The sequence goes on along the minus strand of NC_000002.12, from coordinate 7,870,485 downwards.
GATGAGGGGACTGGTTTAGATACTTTTATAGTAGCTCAGGTGAGAGGCAATGAGAGTTTGAATTACAGCATAAACACAGGGCTGGGAGGCAGGAGCTAAGTCAAGAACTTGGACAAAAGTGGATACAGAATCTTGTGACACATCAGTCATCAGATGTGGGTAAATAAATGTAATTCATATGACCCTTGGAATTTATTTCACCCATAGAGATGTAGATCATCCTGACCCGATATTCCCAATGGGAAAAACTAGTTAGTCCAGCACCCTGTCTGTAACACCTGTGGATCATCTGTCTTCCCTGTGGCTACCTCTTCTTATGTCCTGTGTTAGCTTGTGATGTTTAGGTTTCTTCTTTGCTGAGCTAGACATCTTAATTCATCTCTTGATTGATGCCACTATAAATGCATTCACATTAAGATTTTTGCAACTTTGTGGACGAGTTTTGGGTCACACTACAAGGTAGTCTTATCAGAGCACACATGGTTGATCATGATTTTGTAGGAATCCTCTGACATCTCTCTCTTAACCACCCTTCTCAAGCTCTCAGCATCTCGCATTTGCAAAATTCTCCTGGCATGTGACCATTTCTTGATCATTTATATACAGTTGGATAAGAAAAGAAGAATCACTATGGGTGATACGAAGTCATTCTCATGCTTTATTTAGGTATAGATATAGGCCTTGTTATTGACCTCATGGGTTATACAGTCTACTTAAGATACTTATGTATGTGCTTGCCTTTGAGTTTGAAGTTATCAAAGCTGGTGCTTAAGAAAGAAAGATGAATGTGACATGCAAAAGAGAGGACAAATGGGAATTTGAGGGAAAAATCTTGGTCTCACATCTGTCTGTCACCCCCTCCAATCTCAGTGATAGGGTGCAGATAGGTGAGTGTCCCTCACCAAGGAGCTGCACAACCACCTGACTCAAGGCTCAGAGAAGCTGAAGGGGAAGGTCAGGTGGGAGCTGGGAGCATTGGGCCTGGCCACTGCCCACAATCCCCCAGGGGAATCCACAGAGGAGCACCTGGATGCACAACAACCCTCCAGGTGGCAACACAGCTGCTGCTTCTCTTCTGGCTTCCAAATTACATGCAGAGTTCCTTTGTAGAATAATTGAAAATTCAGAGAAGTGGATTCTGGGAAAGAATTTCCAGCTTAGCTAAGTCATCTGGGGCAGTGGGGCACAATCCACAGATCTACCATCATTATGGAAAGATGGTCCTGCTCTGTTGTGTTTTCAGGAAAAACGAAAGGGCTCCCAGGCCTGCTTGATGCTTCCAGATGCCTGGTGACAGGAATCAAGAACCAGGGAAAGGCCTCAGGATGCTGAGTTCAGAAATTGTGAGGATCGAGGGGTGAGAAATCGAGAGCAGGTAATTACCTTGGAGAGATCAGCAGCAACACCTCCCACTTAGTAACCTCACCCGAACAGAGACAGCTCGGATGATAAGGTACCCTACCTCTGATAAGACCACTTCTGATAAGGTAGTCTTATCAGAGCACACATGGTTGATCATGATTTTGTAAGAATGCTCCCACATCTTTCTCTTAACCACCCTTCTCGAGCTCTCAGCATCTCACATTTGCCAAATTCTCCTGGCATGTCACCGTTTTTTGATCATTTATATACAGTTTGATAAGAAAAGCAGAATCACTGTGGGTGATAAGAAGTCTTTCTCATGCTTTATTTAGATATAGATATAGGTCTTGTTATTGACCTCATGGGTTATACAGTCTATTTAAGATAGTTATGTATGTGCTTGCCTTTGAGTTTGAAGTCATCAGATCTGGTGCTTAAGAAAGAAAGATGAATGTGACATGGGAAAGAGAGGACAAATGGGAAGTTGAGGGAAAAATCTTGGTCTCACATCTGTCTGTCACCCTCTCCAATCTCAGTGATAGGGTGCAGATAGGTGAGTGTCCCTCACTATGGTGCTGCACGCCCCCATGACCCAGAGCTCAGAGAAGCTGAAGGGGAAGATCAGGTGGGAAGTTCCTGTACATATTTTAGAAAGAATTATGTAAGGAAGGCTGAATTCAAAGTAGGTGAGTCTTTGGATTCAGTCCTATACATTAAGGCCTATTGGTTCATGTCTGCTTTTTGACTTATGGCTTAGGGCTGCTATGAGTATGAACCCAACTACAGGAGACTTTAATTAAAATAGGCACAGTTTGCTTTACATACATAATTTCAAGTCTTTACATACATAATTTCAAGTCCCCACAATAGCACTGTGTAATCTCTATTATTATTATTATTTTCTCTATTATCAGACTTTCCTAATCTCTATTTTACAGATGAGGAAGCTGGTTCTCGTCAAGATTAACTGACTTGCCCCAAATTACACAACCTGTAAATGCATAAGGAGGAACCACATCAATTATCTGCCTCTGAGGCACACATTTAAAACATTTCCTCTGCTGCTTTCATTTCCTAATGTCCTGGGGCCAACCTGAGGCTCATCTGAGGGAGGTGTCTGAGCTTCATGCAAGAGAGTGAGAAATACTAAGTTGACTGCAATTGACTGTGTGTGTGTGTGTGTGTGTGTGTGTGTACGGGCACTTACCCACACACAAGACACATATATGTACTTGTATTTGTGTTTATGCACACACACAAACACACACACACATACATGACAAGTACAATGTTTTTCTTTCCTCAGCCTTGATGTGTTCTAATGGCTAATGCAGAGTCTTTGCTCACATGTCTACATACTGAGTACCATGCTGAATGCCAGGTTAGTAATGAAGAACGGGGATGGTCACTACCACATGGAGTTGGTAATCAAATGGAGGAGGAAAAAAACAAATCAAATGCTTACACTAATAAACATGTAATTATATTTTAGCTTATTGTAATCTCAGTGCACCAGAGATCTATGAGAATTTGTGACACAGGAATCTCTGGACTGGGGAAGCTGAGCAAGTTTTCTTTGAAGAGTGAAGGTGAGTTTATCTGGAAGAAGAGTCAGGAGAAGAATGGGGTAGAATATTGAAGACAGAAGAAACCAAACACGTAAAAACCCTGGAGCAGGCAGAATGAATGGAGGTATACTTAATTAATTAATTAATTAAACACTTGCAAACATCAATTGCAAACAACACTTGCAAATTTCTTTTTGGGAGGGGGCACCTACCATTTTCCGTAGTTTGCTGGACAGCCCCTCAGAGATTTTGCAGATGTTGGGATGAATGACACATAGGCACCAATTGATGTGTGATAAAGTTTACTATTCACTTGGCAAGCAGCAAAGAGTTTCTCCAAAGAGAAGGTCAAGAGCAAAACAAGGAAGTGCAAGCATTTGGGATTTTCACTGTGGACAAGGGTTAGAGCCAGGGTGGGAGTACCCTCCCAGGCAGGTGTTCATGTTGTTTGAAATGCCCATCTGCCTGATGATGAAGGGCAGAAGCACCAGTGCTTACGGGGTTGTCCAGATGTGTGCAAAGAGGAAAGGAGGGGCAGGACTTGAAATCTGTCATTGGTCAGCAAAATTAGTCTTTCTCTTTATTACGTAGGGGGAAGTTACTGCAGAGTGACTTTTCATAATTTCAGTGAAATGCATGAAAACACTAGTAAATTTTTGCATGGGGTGAATGCTTCTAGAAGCTAAAGTCAAATAGTCAAAACAGAAAATAAACAATGTTTTTCCTGCTGTCAATGCCATTACCTGAAATGTAAGGAATATACCATGGCTGCTTTAGGGAGTGTGTGCATTTTTGTGCCTGTGTGTGGGGGCATATGTGTCTTTTGCTGTGTGGGAATTATAGAAAGATTAAATAGATTATTAGAGAAGGATGCTGATGAAAGCATTCTTTTTTCACTTTTATTTACATCAGTACTTCTGGCACCTTACAAGGTATGGGATTATAGAAGTAAAGGCAAAAGAAGTAAAGAAAACAGAGATAAATGAAAAAGAGTTAAATAAGCAGTTTTTGAGTCCCTACAACAGGGGTGTCCAATCTTTTGGCTTCCCAGGGCCACACTGGGAGAACGATTGTCTTGGGCCACACATAAAATACACTAACACTAACAATAGCTGATGAGCTAAAAAAATAGCAAAAAAATCTCATAATGTTTTAAGAAACCTTACTAATTTGTGTTGGGCCACATTCAAAGCTGTCCTGAGCTGCATGCAGCTCGCGGCCCATGGGTTGGACAAGCTTGCCCTACTATATAGCACCATCTGCCAGGTGCATTATGTAGGTTAACTCTTCAAACCTTATAAATATGTATTATGTTAGTATTCATCCTATTTTGCAAATCAATGACCTGAAGTTCAAAATGTTATGAAAGATCATTCAATTAATAAGTGGGTGAATTGAGATTTGATAATTGGATAATTATGACTAGATTATTACTATAGTTTACCTGTTGTTTCAAGTTCAGTATGTTGATTTTATTTAATTTTTTTTTCCAAATAAATCATTAAAAGTTTGAGAAATTCCCTTCAGGTTACTCTTGCTATTGGCTAATTCAAAAAAACTTTCCTGAACAAAATTTTATATTTCCCAACTTGTCCATTAACTCAGTTATTTTGAAACTAAATCTTAAAACTCAATAAACACTTTTAAAATTTATTCCACAAAACCATATAACACAATTTTTCTCCCTCTTGGAAATAATCATAAAATGCTAATTTGGTCATTTTTACTCTAACTTTTTTTTCAAAGCTGTAGTTGGGAAATGTATTGGCACTACATCTAATTGTATAATATTCCATTCAGAACAATGGTACACAAAAATCACCTAGCCCTGAAGTCTCAACATATTTTCTCTTTTTTTTACAGTTTTATTGTGTTTATAATTCCATTCTGATTACTCTTTCTCCTCTTTTCACCTATATTTTTAAATTCCCTGTCAGAAGAGATGAAGTTGAAACCTCAGGAAACACATAACATTTTTCTGTTTTAGAAATCTCTTAAAAAGAATCCTCTTTCAAAACTTCTTTGTTTGAAGATATTTGCTAATTGGGGACTCATAACTGGGGAAGTCTTTTGCTTCATTGAGACAAATCCTAAGACAAAATTTTTTGAGAGTTAGAAAATGTAGCCACATTCATCCATCCATTTGTCTGTCCTTCCATCCATCCATTCATCACTCTGTCTATCCCTCCATCACTGTGCAACACCTACTGAGCCATGCCAGTGTGGAGCATGTGAATCCACCTGTGCTCACATTTACATACTCTCCATTTATAACGAATGAACAGACCCTGCTCCTGGTTATGAGATTTCATCCTGTTCTGTAAATTTTGACTCTGCTCTTGAAATGGTGCCCTGTCTTCTACATCACTATTATTACCTCTTCTACTGGATCATTCCTAGTAGTACAGAACATTTTCAATACTTTTCTTTTCTTTTCTTTTTTTTTTTTTTTGAGACATGGTCTTGCTCTGTCACTCAGGCTGGAGTGCAGTGGCATGATCACAGCTCACTGCAGCCTCGACCTCCTGGGCTCTAGTGATCCTCCCACCTCAGCCTCCTGAGTAGTTGGAACTACAGTTGCACACCACCATGCCTGGATAATTTTTTTATTCTTTGGCCAGATGGGGTCTTGCTGTGTTGTCCACATATCCCTCTGACTACCGCTTTATTTCTCTTTTCTCCTAGACAGCATAATTCCTTGAGAATAATTATTCTATTTTTCTCAAACTCCACATTAGTACATCTTACTGGCTCCACCTCCAAAATACAGCTCGAAGGAGGCCACTTTTCACAACCTCTGTCATCCTCTGCTCCCAATCTTGCTTCCTGTTATCATCAATTTTCCACATGGCACGATAATCGCTGTGGGAATATATATCAGCTAATCAAATCAGAGCCCATCAATGCCCTCCCCAACTTCTAATTACACATGGATTGTGACCCCGCATGGAATCTGTAGCCCAGCAGCCTGCATTCTTCTTTCTATGCTTCTGTCTACACTTGCTTCTCTATTGCTTTGCCTTTCATTTTCATCTCAGGTCATTTCTACTGGGCTTTGGTTCCCATCACTCCACTGAACAGGAGCTCCTTGTTAAGGAGACGATGATCAATTCTCAATCCTCATCTCTTTCACCTGAAAAAGGAATTTATTTTATTATTCCTAAAGTGCTTTCTTCACTGGCCTTCCTGACCCTGTACTCACTCCTTTTCTTTTTACCCTCACTGATCATTCCTTTTCAGCTTCCTTCCCTAGCTGCTGCTTCTCTCTCAGATGTCTGAAGCTCTTCATAACACACGACTCACCCTATCCTTCTCTCCTCTGATACTCTCCTCTAACACTATTTTAAGGCCTAATTGAATTTTCTTTAATAGACTTTATTCTTTAGGCAGTTTGGCTCACAGTAAAATTGAATGAAAAGTACAGAGAGTTCTCAAATGCCCCCGGCCCCCACACAGGCACAGCCCCTACCCCACCTCAGATCAACATTCCCCATCAGCGTGGTCTTTGTTACAATTAATAGACCTACATTGACACATCATTATCACTCAGGGTCCACAGTTTATGTGAGTGTTCATAATACTAACTCTTTAGGAGACCTCATCCCAGTCCCTGGTCTTTATGGCTGAAGATTCCCAAATTCCATCTTCAGCCCCAAACTGTTTCCTGGTCTCTGATTTCCTGATGTCTCCATTTGAGTATCTAGTTGATATCTCAAATTCAGCATGTCCAGAATAACTTTTAATTTCTTGATTTCTTCCACATCTTAGAAAATGTCACCAACATTCACTGAAGAGCTCAGGTCAAAATCTGGGCATCATTTCTGATGCCTCTATTTTTCTCAAGCTCCACATTAGTGGATCTTACTGATTCTACCTCCAAAATACAGCTTGAAGGAGGCCACTTTTCCACATCGTCTTCTGCTCCCAATCTTGCTTCCCCCTGCCATCAATTTTCCACGTAGCAGGATAATCAATGGGAAAATATATATCAGCAAATTAGGCCACAGCTCATCAATACACTCCCCAGCTTCTAATCACACATAGATTGTGACCTCACATGGAATCTATAGCCCAGCAGCCTGCATTCTTCTTTCTGATATAATCCCCCCACTCGCTCCATGTCAGGCTTTGTTCTCTAGCGGATTGTCCTTCTTACTCTTCCTGGAACGAAGGCCTGCATCGAGCCATTTGCACTGATGCTTCCAAAGGTAGATACAGAGCTCACTCTATGCCTTCCAGTGACCCTGCTCTAGATTTCCTCCTGCCATCCTTCTTCTCCCGTCACTCTCCCTTTCCTATCCTGCTTATTTTTCTTTTCTTTATGCGACATTTATTAACAATTATTTGACATTTGATTTTTTTCTTCTTCTTTTTTTTTTTAGACAGAGTCTCCCTCTGTTGCCCAGGCTGGAGTGCTGGGGCATGGTCTCAGCTCACCACAACCTCTGCCTCCTGGGTTCAAGCGATTCTCCTGCCTCAGCCTCTTGAATAGCCAGGATTACAGGTGTGCACCACCATGCCTGGCTAATCTTTTTGTATTTTTAGTAGAGAGGGGGTTTCACCATTGTTGGCCAGGCTGGTCTCGAACTCCTGACCTCATGATCCGCCTGCCTCAGCCTCCCAAAGTGCTGGAATTACAGGCGTGAGCCACTGCATCATTTGATTTCCTGTGTTATACATTGACAAACAGGATAGTTCACTGTCTCCTCTCTAGAACATAAACTCCATGAGGGTAGGAACTTGGTCCTGTTCACTGTCCCAAGAATTAACACATGTCTATTGAATGAGTGATCAATATCGTTTGATATTGAAACGAAAGGTGCTGACCATTTTATCAGTGGGGAAAGTACGTGACAGCAAGTAGCTGAAAACTCAATGAAAACTGGTTTAAGCCTTTAATGGTATGCTTTTAATATAAAATAAAAAGTCTGGAGGTAAAAGGCCAAGCTGAGTGCAGTTGCTCAGGTGTCACCAGGGACCGTGATCCTCGCCCTCCAGCACCACCGTCCCTGACTGTGGCTTTTGTCCTCTGCATGCAGTGCAGTGTTGCTTTTCCGGGAAGGGCACCACATTCTGGACTAAAGGGAAAAGAGCCTTCCCCTAGGAAGACTTTGCTTTTTTATTTGGCAAAGGGTTTCTGTCTTTCCTAGCCAGGACTCGAGCTGGGCATGTTTGTAGCTGAAGCTCAGTTCTGCTCTGACAAAACTGAGCTCTGTTAGGAGGGAGGGAAGGGAAAATGTGGAGTTGCAGGCAGTGGTCCACAAGGAGCCCTGTCTGCTACAAGCTCCGTGGGTGCCTGGCCCTGTGCTATGAGACACTACAGAGATATCCTCTCTTAAGGAATGTGTGCTGTAGAGAAGATGGAGGATGAAAATAATCATCATAAGGAAACCAACACTCTTGTGAGAACTCAGGAGGAGCTATTGGATGCTTGGGCTGTCAATCAGAAAACACTTTGCAAGGCTTATGATTGCATCTTGAGGGAGGCTTGCTAATTGAAAAATTCTGAGAGGGTCTTCCAAGCACAGGGAAGACTATTCGCAAAGGCATGTAGTTGTGAACGTCCAGAGCATGCTTGAAAAAGGAAACTCATTTAGAATATCTGAAGCATAGGTTAGCAGTGCCTGAGGGTGGGCAGGGAAGTATAAATTGGGTTACAGAGAACTTTTGAAAGCTTATCGTAGAGGAGTAATAGCATCAATACATTCATTTCTGAAAGTTCAATCACTTTCCATGAGGAGAAGGCACTAAAGAAATAGAGACTTGAAGCAGGGAGATAAATTTGTAGATGACTGTCTTGGTATTAAATCAACCCTCTCCCAAACTCATATGTTAGGCTCTTGTGTTACAGGTAGGTGTGACTAGATGTGGGCATAGTTTAGAGCAGTGGTCATAATTTCCAATGGCCTACAGAAGCTGGAAGGTGATATCTTATAGGAATCAAATCAGATCAGATGCACAGGGAGTAGTGGGACTGTAGCAAAATGAAGGGTGCACCTCTTCTCCCCAACAAAAACATGCAAATTTAATTTAAAACAACATATGAAATGCTGTGCCTAGGAGAATGATCATCAGGACAAATTTTGTCCAATGTTACTGGCTCCAAGCACAAATAGTAGAGTAACCTTTCACTTAAACAGATACAGTGACGCTCATCATGCAGGAATACGGAGGTTTGTACCCCACAGGTTGAACTGGAAACAGAGAAAATGAGATATTCTTGACTCATTTACAAGCTCCCATGACAGGCTTTGAATTGAACCAACCAGAGGAAGAAATACTCTCAATTAGGGAATTTAATGAAGGAGGCCTGAGTTTGTGTCACTGAGCATGATTTTTGGCAGCACCCACAAATAACAGGAAAGAGAAATGGATTTTTAAACCACAATAACAATACAAGACTTAAACAAATAAAAATAGTTGTTGGTGACTTACAATATGCCAGAATTCTCCCACATGTAATTTCATTCTCATAATATCCCTATAAAAGAAACATCATTTCACCCATTTTATAGATAACAAAACTGAGGCTTGGAGGGGATGTATAATGCACTTGAGGTTACAAAGCTAGTATATGCAGGATATCAGATTTCAGTTACCCCAAGTCCAACACTAGTCCCAATGTGTTACAGTTTCCTATTTATGTCCCATGAGAATAAAACAGTGTTAATCTAAACCCCCTGGCGTTATGCCTAAATTAGTAAGCACTCTGGTTTGAACTTGCTTTCCTTTTGCAAACATTAATGTGCGCCTCTCAGCTGGCAAAAACCACTGCCCCCTTCCCTGTGGAGTCAAGTTAAGGGCTGAATTGAGATGTGCAGTGTAGCCTCACACTGTTTCATCATGTGCTGAAGAAAAGATAGATCTAGATCAGATTGAGGTTCATTCATTTCATGTTTATTGAGAACCTACTCCTTACAGGCATAATGTCAGCAGAAGAAAATCAATAGCTGTTTTCTGACTGATGATTGACATTTCCACTAAAATTCAGATATTATTACCAACTGGACACCTCTCCTCTGTGCCCTGGGTGCTGTTTATTTTCCTAATCTGGCGTTGACCACATTTTACTTGAATACAGGTGTGTACCTGCCTCTACAGAGGAGGCTCCAAGTATCCACATTTCCTAATCCCCATTCTGGCTCAGAGTAGAGGTTCCATTTTAAAAATAAATGAATAAAAACAAAACAAATAAGCATTCCACTGGGCACCTACCCCCTTCTCTAGACATTGTCTAAGCCACTATCTAATGGCAGAATGAAGAAATTTATTTTCATAGTGAAGAAATGACCACCCGTGGCTTTTTTCTTTCTCCTACAAGGGTGGAGGAGAAAGGGAGAAATAAATAATATACTTTCACAGCCTTCTCATTATTATTTCTGGGAAAACATAATAAAGCTACAGCTGGCAGGCACTTATTTTTTTCTTAGCATTTAATAATAGAATTAATTGCTAAGTGGAAAGCTTGCAACCCCCTTTCTGTTGTGCGTTGCCCTCTGCTATCATTATGAATAGATGGAAAAATCAAAGCTAATTATCATTCAGAATGTTTGAAGAAATAGACTGAACCACACACACAAAACTCATTTTACCCTCTACCCTGGCCCCAGGTTATAAAGTTGAAATATGCACACATGCACATACATACACACATTCTAGGGTACCAGCAATTCCCACGGATAATTAACTATGCTAATAATTTAGGTTTTTGTGCTGTGACCATTGATGTAGTTTGGCCCTTTCACATAGAGAAGGACCAGAGCCAGTTGGAAGTCAAGGACTTGGGTTACCTCAAGAAGCCTACTACCAAGCAAGCATGCAGTTTATCTTCCCCAAACAAGAAATGAGTGACCTGTGAGCTACCAATGCCACCTGGCAATGTGTAGTGTCAAAACGCAGAAGTGGAGGCCAGAAAAGTGGAAATACAACCCATTTCCCAAATGTGGAAACGCAACCATCTCCTTTTAGAAAGGAAAGGGCCATAGGTAGGGAATAAATACAGGTAAAGAGGAATTTAGAAAGGTAAGACCTTTCATGTTACAGGATGATATGCAAACATGACCTAGAAAAGCAAAGGATAGGCTGGGCGCGGTGGCTCATGCCTGTAATCCCAGCACTTTGGGAGGCTGAGGTGGGCGGATCACGAGGTCAGGAGATCGAGACCATCCTGGCTAACACGGTGAAACCCCGTCTCTACTAAAAATACAAAAAATTAGCTGGGTGTGGTGGCGGGCGCCTGTAGCCCCAGATACTAGGGAGGCTGAGGCAGGAGAATGGCGTGAACCCAGGAGGCGGAGCTTGCAGTGAGCCGAGATTGTGCCACTGCACTCCAGCCTGGGTGACAGAGCGAGACTCCATCTCAAAAAAAAAAAAAAGAAAAGAAAAGGATAATGATAAGGAGATGACCTTCCTCCCTTAGCTACGGATCCCTGAAGGGCTTCCAAAAGAGATCTGGAATGAGCGATGGCTACTTCCCAAAACAATAGTTGTTGAGGAAATAGACTGTAAGAAGGGAGGTGGTAAGGGTAATTTCCTAAAGGGTTTTTGATGTTGTGAAAGGATATTAATATATAATCTTCAAACAGTTAAAGTCACTATTCTCAAGTAAATATAGAATAAGCACATGTCAAAGATTCTCTTTGACCCATTAATGAATGGGTAAACAGTGAGATGCTACACTTAATTCAAAGAGCATTAAGAAGCTCAAAATGAACGTAGACACAGCTGGAGTACAGAGCTGGCTAATGTCCAACACAGCCACCAGTCTGAAAAGTTAAAGTATATGTTCCTTCACATAAGAATTATTTATATATTTAACAAGCAAACATTTGCAAGTTAACATGCAACTTCACGAAGTTGAGGCCTCTAATTGAAAGGAAACAGTGAAACTCAGTACATCCTTCTAGGTCATGTTTAGGTGGCCTCTGCCAGCATATGACATGGAGAGGCCACAGTCTCCACCTCTTAGACTTATTTCCATGTTTTGGATCATTTTTCTGACCATCCATGGGGGTATCCTGTGAGCACTGAAGTGGAAGAAGAATGGGGCACAGGAATGGAGTGGGGGTGTGCTTTAAGGATGAGCTGCTCACTGCTGGGTGGAAAATGGTATGGTGGAGACATGGAAAAGTTTCGCTGCATGTGATATTAAGCTTTGTTTTAAAACTCTTGTCTTTGAAATCTTTAAGGAATTTACATTACTTGCTAATGCATTATAGAGTTGGGTCAAGACGCAAGACAGGCAAAAAGGGACTGGCAGGGGTCTGCTGGCAGGAGGCATGCAAGCTTCTTGTCCCTGCATTACATCATCAGTCCTCAGAAGAGGCCTCTGAAGTGGATCCCATTGTCACCACTTTAGAGATGGAGTAACTGAAATACAAAGAGATTAAGCAAGTCGTGCAAGCTCATCCACAAACAAGTATCAACCTGGAGTTGAGTCAGTTCTGCTAACCTCTAGCTGGTGCTGCATTTTTTCCATGAACTTTCCAGATGACAAGAGTCAGAAAAATGTAGGCAAACTCTGTCATTCTTCAGCTTTGAAGTAAAGCAGTCTAAGGGTATATTGTGGAATACATTCCCAGAGAGCATGGTCATTTGAAATATCACTCCATAATTTTCCCTTTTTCTATGTTTAGTTCCCCCACCCCCAACCTTCACACATCTGCAGCCATTTCATTGGGAGAGCTAAGCTGAAAGACTTGACTTTCTGCCCCAGATAACCAAGGCCACCTAGAACCAGGAACCTTTGCTCATCTCGAATTTCATACTAGACTTTTAGAATTCTGTAGCCAGGCAATAGTTATTTCAAGAGGAAAAGGGGTCCTAGCTAAACTCTCAATGCTTGCATTTTGCTTATCAGGACTCAAGGCTGTTAAAACTTATCATGGAATAACTCACAGGGATGGAGGTGAGAGAGAAAGTTGAGGAAGGCAGAGATGAGATCCTTTGGTCCATCTTTCCATTTGGGAGCCAGACCTCTTCTGAGAGGCAGACACTATCTATAAATATGGGATGGAGATGCATTTGGGACCATTGAGGTGGGCCCTGGACCCCTGTGCACAGCCTGCGAAGCTGCAAGCCTCAGCTTCCTGTGGTGCCAGCCGGTGGTAGAAGGGGCAGGGCTGAGCCATGGCTGAGAGTGAAGTCCAGTCAGCTGGTGGGAAGTCATCCTCCCAGAGTCTCACAAGATAACTGTTCAGAAAGCTGCTAGGAGTAAGTGGGACTCCCAATGGGTCACAGGCTGCTAAGAGGACAGGTCAACAAGAGGAGTCTAAACAAGAAGGTTCCCAAGCACAGGAAACTTGTAACAAGAACAGTGGAAGATTTTCAATCACCATCAATGGGCACCTACCTGTGCAATATCTGTGCTAACCGGAGCAGGTGGGACCAGCCACACTCACTAGTCCCACAGCCACGTTTCCATCACATGGTCTTTTCTTACCAATATGTAAGAATTATCTCCCTATAATGGGTATGAACTTTTGATGATTGCTTATATGAAGCAAATATCTTTAAAAATTCCTTTTATGGTTTCTTTTGGTTAACATAAAATTTTAATTTTAATGTAGGCTAATTTATCATCCTTATCTTTTAGATTAGTGCCTTTTGTGTTCTAGTTAAGGAAACCTTCTCTACCCCAAGGACATGAAGATATTATCCTATGGACTGTATTATCTTCTAGAAGACAGTTTTGGTTTTACCTTTCATTCTCTATTTTAATATGGTATGAGATAGAATCAAGTTTCATCTATTTTTATAACTGGTCTCAACTTTGTTTATTGAAAATACCTTTTTTTTTTTTTGCCCTCTTCTCTATAGTTTCACCTCTAACATAAATCAGTGTCCACATAAGTAGACATTAATTTTGGTTGATTTTTCTGTCCCGCTGGTGTCTTGTCTATCCATGTGCCCATATCACCATCTCTTCTTTACTGTAAGTGTTTAATAAATTGTGATAGCTATTAGAGTAAGGTTTTCTGTGTGGTTCTTTCTTCAAGAATGCCTTATTCTTGTTCCACTGCATTGCCATATGTATTTTAGAATCAACTTTTCAAGTTTCACAAAAGAATATTGTTTGGATTTTGGTTGGAATTGCGCTGAATTTTCAGATATTTTGGGAAGAACCATAATATTTAATTAAAATTTTGAGTCTTCCAATCTGTGAACATGGTATATCTTCTCATTAGAATTTCTTTACCATATCTTTTTATTTATGTTTTAGTATGCAGATATTGTATGTGTATATATTTGTTATTTTTCCTATGTATTTAATTTTTATTCTATTATAAATTATAACTTTTCTCTAAAAATTTTAATTTTAGCTCCCGATTGCTGATACACAAAAGTAAAATTGATTTTGTTTCCACTTTATACCTAATATTTCACTAAATTTATTTATAATATTCTATCTGTAGATTCTTTTGAATTTCCTATGTAGGCAGGCAATCAAATTATCTCTGAAAAATGGTGTTTTAATTTTTTTCTAAATAATATAACTTTAATTTCTTGCCTCTCCTTTTGACTTAGATTAGAACCTACAGCAAAAAGTTCAATAGAACTTCCCTCAGGTCAGAAAAGACGGGTTTCAGTCAATAACTAATGAAGGCAATATTCACTGTTAGTGTTTTCCCATAACCCTTTATCAAGATTTCTCCTGGGTTGCTCAGATATTTTTTTCCCCTGGCTTCCTTCTCTTTCTTCTTTCTTTCTTTCTCCTTCCTTCTTTTCTTTCTTTCTTTCTTTCTTTCTTTCTTTCTTTCTTTCTTTCTTTCTTTCTTTCTTTCTTTCTTTCTTTCTTTCCTTCCTTCCTTCCTTCCTTCCTTCCTTCCTTCCTTCTGAATGTTGAATTTTATCCATTTTTTTACATCTCTTGAGATGATCATGATTTTCCTCCTAGATTATCTTAATACCATCAACTTTAATTGATTTAACATATTAAATCTTGCATGTTGAATACAAGTAACTTAGTAGTAATATAGTATCATTTTATACATTTCTGGATTTGTTTCATATTATTTATTTAGGATTTTTACATCTATATTCAACAGTGCAATTGACCTACAATTTTTTCTTTCTTCCTGTGTCCTTGTTTCAGAACTAAGGCTATGGTGGTTCCTAAGACAAGTTGATGTGACCTCTCACTTCGTCTTTTCTCCAGAAGAGTTTATTTTAACTTTTTTATCACTTTTTTTTGTGTAGACACATTTATCTATATATTCATAATGTTTGTGCTTCTTCATGCCTATCTGAATCATTACCTCTCCACTTGGATTTTCTTTTCCCTAAGACACCTTTCGCACTTACTTTGTTTTAGGTTTGCTAGTGACAAATTCTCTCAGATGCAGTTTAAATGAAAATCTCTTCATTCTACAAGGATAATTCTTACATGATATAACGTTTCATGTTTGTAGTTATTTCTACTTTTTTTTTTTTTTTTTTTTTTGAGACTGAGTCTCGTTCTGTCGCTCAGGCTGGAGTGCAGTGGCGCGATCTCAGCTCACTGCAAGCTCTGCCTCCCAGGTTCACGCCATTCTCCTGCCTCAGCCTCCCGAAGCTGGGACTACAGGCGCCCGCCACCACGCCCAGCTAATATTCTGTATTTTTAGTAGAGACGGGGTTTCACCGTGTTAGCCAGGATGGTCTCGATCTCCTGACCTCGTGATCCGCCCGCCTCAGCCTCCCAAAGTGCTGGGATTACAGGCGTGAGCCACTGCGCCCGGCCTTGCAGCTCTTTCTTGCAGTACTTTGAAGATATCACTCTAGTCACTTCTGGTTTTCTTTTTTTAACTGAAAAGTCAACTGTCAGTCCATTTTTTAAGTAATTGGAAAGTAATCTCTCTTTTTAAATCCATTTTTAAGAATTCCTCTTTGGCTTTGATTTTTAGCAGTTTTGCTGTGAAAGCCTTCAAGGTGCATTCTTTTCATTTATTCTTCTTGAGGTTCTTACGGATTCTTGAATCTCCTGCTTCACGTCTTTTTTCACTTTTGAAATTTTTTCATCCATTATCTCCTCAAATATTGAGTTTGTCACTTGCTCTCTCTTGTCTTCTGGGATTCCTACTTCATGAATTTATTTTAATTTCATTTTGTCTAATTTGTTGCTTATTATCTTTTCTGTGTTGACTAATTCTCTGTTCAGTATGTCTAATCAGCTGTTAATCACATACATTGAGTTTGTAATTTTGGTTATAATATTTTTGATTTTTAAACTTTCTATTTGTTTCTTTTTAATAAATCTGCTATGTCATCTTTATAGTATTTCAGTTTCTCTACCAAAACTCTCAGTCCTTTTTTGTGTGTATGTATTTGTTTGTTTGTTTTAGCATTTTGTAACATAGTAATCATAATTATTTTAAAATATGTGTCTGATTAATACTTGGAAGCTCTGTAGTTTTATAATTGGCCTGTATTCTCTTTAGTTCTTGTACATGTTGTCTTGTTTCTTCACTTGTTTTTTTTAAATTGAAATATTGTTTGTATAAATTTTTTGAGACTAGGATGATATTCTTTTCCTATAAAGAGGATCTCTGTGCGATGCCTCCTTACTCTTGTGAAAAGCTCATTGAGTTCTAATGCAAGTAATCTGCATGTTAGTTATGGACCCGATGGTCTTGTATGAATTGGTCAAACATACTGTTCAATTTCTTGCCCTCAGAGCCAACTTTTTCCATATTGACCAAACTCCTAAAGGATAAGTGGCTCGAGAAGTTGAGCTTTTAGCCCTTTGCATATCTGTTTTCTCCATAATCTGGACCCGGTACGTTTTTTACTTTCTTACAAATTTCTAATGCCACCAAGACAATTAAAAAACATATATATTTCCAGCCTTTCTACTTTCTTTACAGTAAATGGGTCACTTTGAATTACCAAATCTGCCATTACTCGAAAAAAAGGTCAAAAATTGTTTTATCAGTGAAATTTGTTGTATTCGAGATACATGAATTATCTAAGATGTTTTGGAGACATTTCTCCTCCTTATATGAACACAGTTAAGTAGCTGGGGAGCCCTCTGGTCTTCATCATTAGGAATAGCAACTCAGCTTACTTCCTAAGTGTCTATGTTCAGGTATTAGTTAAAAAAGCTCTTGGTCACTTGGTTCATCTTTATAGTCAGGTCATTCCTGTGGCTAGAATATTACTGCTTTTGCCTCATATAAGCTTTTAATGCAGAGTATTAGTGGGGCACAAAATAGACAGAGCTGGAATTCCATTGAGCCCTGAATGCAGGTAGCAACGCTGCTCTGTGTTTGCATATGACAAAAGCCAATCTATATGCTGGTGTACTTCCATGAAAATTGATAGAGAGGTTATGGCTGCAGAGAAAACTCACCTGTCTGGCCATATCTACTGAAAGTTACCTCATATTTGTGTACAACTAAATTGGCAAGCTTGAAACAGGATTTAGAAATATCTTTATGTAGTGCATAATCAATAGTCAAAGATTAACTGGGACTAGTAAGATGAAGTCTAAAACATGGAGGAGCCTTCTCCATAAGGCATATCTGGGTAAGAGCAATGTAGGAACTATGGTGGGAATCCGGAGAATTGTGTGAGAGAGGAATCCTACCAGGGTCAGAACAGACATGTTCTTTACTCTCTTAGTGTGGGCTAAGGATTTTCATCAACATTTAAGGAAATGTATGGGACCTATAAAACTGGCATAAAATGCCAAAGGAAGAGGCAAAGCTGACATGAAAGGAGAAACATATTACAATGGAAATGGGCAAAATAAGGAATGAAGTAGGCAGAATTCTAGAATGGCCTCTAGGTTCCTGTTCCCTTCTGTAATACCCTGACCTCCTGCCCCAGATGTGTGAGTGGGAGGGGGTAGGTTGTGACTACGGTGAGATGTCACACACAGGATTCTATTGTGTTAGATAGCAAAGAGGAAGGAATTTTGCACATAATAATTAAAGTTCCAAATCAGTTGTTTTTGAGTTAATAGAGAGTATTGTGGGTGGGCCTGACTTAATTAGGTGAAGATCCTTAAAAGGAGGTCTCGCCCCTTTCTAGAGTTTCTCCTGCTGGCTTTATAAAAAGCACACCACCAAGACTTCTACAGCTGTAAGGAAACAAATCCTGGCAACAGCCATGGGAAATGGCGAGGCGCTCCAGCCTCAGATGAGCCCCAGCCCCGTGCAGATGCCTTAACTGCAGCCTTGGGAGAACCTGGGTGGAGGACCTGGCTGAGCCACGCTTCTGGGACCCCTGACCCACAGAAACTGACATGATGAATGTTTCTTCTTTTATGCTGCTAAATTAGTGGTAATTTCTATTTCTATTGGCAATAACAAAAAACTAATAGAAGGAATTACAAATGCAATAACAGAAATTAAAAATATTAAGAAACAAGATCATTCAGAAATTATTTTTGAAAACTAAACAATATCATAGTCAACTAAAAGATGAATAGAAATGAACAATTCAAAAATGGGTAAATGAAAATATTAATAACAAAAGGGCAAACAAAAGTCTTAATCATTAGACATTTTAAAAATATAAAAATTGCCTCTGGAATCACTCCTGGATCAAAGAAGGATTTAAAAAAATTAATACAGACTATTTAAAAAATAATAGCCTTGAGGCTATTATGTATAAACATTGGAGAAGCATAAATATTCTACTCCAAGTTACTGTTATAATCCTAAGTATTTTTATTATTAAGCTTTAATGATGAATAAAACATTTAACTCAGATGTTTGGTAAGAGAACAATATTATATTAATGAAAAAAAGTTGAAGAATATATTTAAGACAAAAGCAGGCATTAACAAATTAGAAAAAAAGAAATGTGAAATACGTAAATATCAAGAGTTGTGTCTTCAAGGAAAATAATAAAGCATATAAACCCTGACAGATCTAACTAAGCAAAACAAATAGAAAGAAAGCATAATACATTCAAATAGGCATACAACCAGAGGATCTACAAACTGAAACATGGAAAAAAATTCAAAAACTAAATGACCTGAATATTCTTTTAAATCTCCCTTAATAAGCTATGCCCATTTAATATCTATATCTTTATATGTTTCTTAATAATCTCAGTAATCTATCTCTTAACAAGTTTTTTTTCATTCTTTTGTGCTTTCCAAATTTCATGTTTAGTCTGCATTATGTTTAAAATAAGAAAATTGTAGCTGTCATTTTGGGCCCATCTTCCTCTCCCAAATCCTAAAGAACCAGGAGGACTGGAATTCATTTTTTCTCTTCCTATGAAAACTCAGGTGAGCCTCTCACCTTCCTGGGCCTCCATGTAAAAAGTGAATAATCTCAAGGACCCACATGATGGAAGGCAGTCCTTTTGCTCACTGCCTCCTAATCTCAAGGACCCACGGGATGGAAGGCAGTCCTTTTGCTCACTGCCTCCTAATCTCAAGGACCCACGGGATGGAAGGCAGTCCTTTTGCTCACTGCCTCCTAATCTCAAGGACCCACGGGATGGAAGGCAGTCCTTTTACTCACTGCCTCCTAATCTCAAGGACCCACGGGATGGAAGGCAGTCCTTTTGCTCACTGCCTCCTAATCTCAAGGACCCACGGGATGGAAGGCAGTCCTTTTGCTCACTGCCTCGCAGTCTCAAGGACCCATGGGAAGGAAGGCAGTCCTTTTACTCACTGCCTCCTAATCTCAAGGACCCACATGATGGAAGGCAGTCCTTTTGCTCACTGCCTCCTGGTGCAGTCAGGATAATCAGGGCTCGCTGTCAGGTGTCTTGGGGACCATGTTCCTGATGGGTTTCTTGGTTAGCTGGGAACTAAGCAGAAGCCCCTTGGCGCCAGCCCTGCTAATAAAAAATCTCCTGGAAAGTAGAAATGGAAAAATATTTCCAATTATGAATTTGAGAGATGAAATCATGCATCTGGAGAAAATGAGCCCACACCTGGAAAGAAGACTGTCTGGAACTAATGGAGGGGAGGCTGCAGAGGAAGACAGCATCCCTTAGGATGGCCCCAGGGCTCTTTATCCTGTGACCTTTTACCTGTTGGGAGACACAGCAGCAAGTGTAGGAAGCCACGTATTCTCATCTGTGCTTGATGGTGTATTTCACAAAGCCCCTGTCTCTGTGAGGATGTGCAACTCTCCAGAAGGATGCTTTGAAGAAGAAACAGGAAGGAGCACAGTCCCACCATACCTCTTGCCTGGGGCAGTGGTGGAAAATGCACAGGCTCCCAAGCCCCTCAGAATAGGGTTAGGTTCAAGAGCGATGTTCAAAATATCTATCAGCCACTGAAGCCCAGGAACCAAATAAACAGAATAGATCACAGCCTTTGTCCTGATGTGGGGTCCCAGAGGCCTGTGCGGTACCAGGAATGTACCCATTAGTTGGTGGATTTAGGTGCTGTTTGAAATTTCCAAGGCAGGTAGAGGAGAAAGACGAGGGGCTGTGGGGCTAGGGAGAAGAGATTCAGGGAGCTTGGAGAAGTGGTGATTTGCCAAGCTGTGTAAAGCATGCATTTCAAGATCTTAGCAGCCAGTGTGTCCGACGGGAATTCTATTATGGTTAGTGGCCTCCTTCGTCTCCCCAGACCCACATTTATAACCATCACAATGTGGATCACAGTCTACTGTAATGGTCTGATCATGTGCCTAATGCCCCAACCAAGTAAAAACACTTTAAAGACAGGAGTTGTGTCCTTTTAATAAGTGCACCCAATGTCAAGAGTGATGCCTGCCTGGTTTCTGTTTCATGCCTGGAGAATTTGCATTGGTGAGTTGAGGACAGCCGCCAAGGTGTCAGGGCAGGGATGGTGGGCACAGTGGGCAGCCTGTGGCCGGTGTCTTGCCATGGTGAGGAGGTGTGAGTCTCCACCGGGAAGCAGGGCCGTAGGAGGCCAGCTAAGGCATGGATCCCACCCTCAACCCTCAGAGTGGCTCCCATGCTCCACCCAGGGTGGCAAGAGGGAACGGCCAATGCCAGCAGTCAGTTCAGTACTCTGCCTCCATTGCTGTTTTCCCAGCTTTCTGTGCAGATCCTGGAGCAGCCAGAGGCAGCATAAAGCTGGGGAGAGAGGAGGAGGAGGAGGAAAGATGGAAGAGCCCACACTCCTTCCTCCGAGGCTCCGGGAGAGGAACATCTCCCTGGACTGGAAGGTTCCAATTAGACAGTACTAGTCTTTTAAAATAGCTGACGATGACTCTTAATTATCTAAAATAATTATATGTAATTGAGATCTGGCACAGGCTGGAGAAAGAAATCAAGCTTTTTATATTTGTCTCCTCATTGAGTTTAGCTCACTTAATCCACTGGATACACATCTACCCTTACAACAAATACTTACTGAGAAACTATTACAGATAAGACATGGTCCTGAGGAGCAAGGGCCTGCGGATACAAATTGTTCAATGATCTCTAACCTCTGGCATCTCAGTCCAACAGTGGGAATGGTGGCTCAGCAACTCAATACAGCATAACACCAAGAGGGCTGTCATAAAAGGACAAACACATTAAAAATTACTATGGAGAAGGATGAAGGTAATTGTCTAGGTGGCTGGCAGCTGTGGCCTATGCCCTTGTGTGCCCATGCTGTGGTCTCTACTAACACTCCATGATGGGAAATGCCCCAGGAGACGGATCCTGCCTGTGGGTAGTGGGTGCTTTTGAAGAAAGTGAGATGGAAACAGACTAGCTAGGAAGCCACTGGATGTGGGGCAGGATGGTGTGTAGGGACAAAAAGAAAAGACAAGAACCCGTTTTGATAGAATTGCTCACTGGGAACATCTTTTTTTATGAATATCAAACTAATTCTCCAAGTCAGCCTGGAGTGCAGAGTGGCCAGTGGGAATGCATGCCGCTGAAATTGCTTAATTAAAGGCATGATATCCTGTGTTCATTTAATGCTTTACTTCATGGTCACTGTTTCTTATCTCACAGCAAGGTCCAGGCCTCAGCATCATGCAGAGAACACTGCATCATCCAGAGGCCAGCATCAGAGCCTCCTGGGTAACTGCAGGAAGGGGTCCTCGTCTTGGTGGCCCCAAGTGGAACACCTTTCAAATGAATGCCCCCACCTATAGGGTGGGTGTATGGAGGGTGAAGGAGAAGCGATCACACTTATGGTTTCAGGACCCAGGGAAGATAAAAAAGCAGAGGTGACTGAGCGTCTGGGGAAGAAGGTGATAAACAGCTTCTCAGAGCTTGCAGCACAGACAGCTCCATTCATAACTTGTTAAATGGAAGCTCAGGAATGCTTTCAACAAGCGGGGACATCTTATCTGCAGCATGGATGAGAAATTTCACTCACAACAAAGCTCAGCATAGAAAGGGCTCTTATCTCAGAGTCCAGAATGAGGATATTAGTAACACTGCCTGCTTCTTTCTCAAACCCTATTAGCGTCAGGTAATAGGTTTCACCAGTGGCTTTTAGCATTTGCTCAGCTGCAGAGAGCTACTGAAAAAGAAAGTTTCTTTGGAAACAAGAAGACTTATACTGAGAAACATTACCCGATCATTGAGGTTGCTATTGATTCAGGTATTTCTGAATAGTTGCCTGGAAAGCATTTCTGTAGAGTGAGTCAGGCTTTTGCCCTTCACTTTTGTTTTGAAGATGAGAGTAGTTGCTTCTGGGCAAGGTTTCAGGAAGCCAACATACACACACACACACACACACACACACACACACACACAAAACTGTGTATGTGTGTGTTTCTGTGAATGTACGTCTTTATGTTTTTATGCTTTACTGAAATCGTTTGAAACTAAGGGAATACATGAGGAAGCTTCTAGGGATCCCTGAAGTTCATGAATTTGTATAGAAGACATCTGTGGCTTTTTAAAATTTGTACTGGAGAGCAGGGTCATGCTCTAATTAATGACACGAGTAAATATACAAAGCACTTCTGCCTACATTACTGGAGAAAAGGCCTGAAAGAGGTAGGTGAGAGCTATGCTTTCTATAAGGTTGGAGCAAACAACAAATGCAAAAGCCCTGAGTTAGGAACGTTCCTGAGATGCTCCAGAAATAGCCAGGAGGGCAGTGTGGATGGAGCAGCGTGAGTGAGGAAGGGAGTTGTAAGTGATGAGGCCAGAGAGAACTGATGTGTAATGGTATGGGTACGGCTTACACACCATCACACATCAGTTCTGGTGGCCAGTGCAGTGGCTCCCGCTTGTGATCCCAGCTACTGGGGAGGCCAAGGCAGGAAATATAGCTTGAGACCAAGAATTTCAGACCTGCCTGGGCAACATAGTGAGACCCTGACTCTACAAAAAAATTAAAAAAAAAAAATGCCTGATGAACCATTCTAAGAATTTCAGCTTCTGTATCTGTGTGAGATGAAAAGCCAAGGGAAGCTTTTGAGTCCAGAAGTGTCGTGATTGGATTTTCATTCTGAATGATTTCCACAGGTTGTCCTGTTGAGAATAGAATTAAGGAGGTTGGGGGATAGAGAGGCTCAGGGTTGATCAAGGGGTGATTGCAATCATTGAGGTAAGAAATTATGGGGATTTCACTTAAACTAGAAGCCATGGAGGAGATTAGATGAAGCCATTTTCTGGATGTGTTCTGTGGAGCCACTAGGATTGTTGATGGATAGGTTATAAGCGTCAAAGAATGAACGGAACCATGGATGACACTGATTTCCAAAGCAATCTCTCCATCTTTTTTTATTTAAAAATCCTGGCACCCCAGCGGCTTTGATCTTGGAAGCTGGTGAGCAGCAGTGGCCTCACACTCGTGGTCCATGCCCATGAGGAGCTGTTCCCTGCAGAGGAGGCTCCTGGCTCTGGTAGTCACCTTCTGCAGGGATCATGGGGCCAAGGGCCCACTTAGGGAAATCCCACACCCACTGATCTGTCCTGATCGAATCCTGAATGGACTGTATCAGAGAAATGAGCACCCCTCACACCTTTTCACTAAAGGCAAGACTAGAAAGAGGTGGGTAGGGGGTTGGGGGAGAGCTGATGCCCCCAGAGCACTGGAAATCAAATAGCGGCAGGTGCTCAGCAAGGCCATGCTGGCCACCCTCTGTTTGCCTTTCAGACCCTTCTGCCTCCTTCCAAGTCCAGCCCGTGCCCCAGGACACATCCTTAGGGAATGCCTCTGGAGCCTCTGGCTTCAGGTTGAACTTGGGTATTGAGGAGCACCCGCATAAGGAGAGTTAGAGAAGGGTCAGGTGTGTATCTTATTTGTTTATTCATCTTGTTTGTTACTCTGTTTCTCCTTTGACATCTTCTTTTGTGTAAAACAAATTATTTTCAGTATACTGTTAGTAATGTATTAAATTTTATGTCTATATATACTGGCTCCTTAAAGGAATGCAATACATGTCTTTAACTCATTGCAATCTAATAATTAGTGACTTAATTTTTGTAACACGTAATAATTTTGCACATATATATTTCTATGCCCTTGTCCTCTCTCTGATGGGCTCAGGGTCTGGCTGGATCTCTTGACTCTCCTGAGGCCCCCACCCCTGCTTAGTGGCCTTCCCACACTGCTGACCTCTCTGGGGGCGCAATTTCTCCCACCCCTCCCCTCTCAGGCTGGAAGGGTTGGCAGCTCTAGGATGTTACTAGCCCAGGAAATTAGACTGTTCTCGTGCTCACCCTACACCTTGCCTGCTTCTTTATAAACAATCCCTTTACTGAATTATACTAAAATTATCTCATTTGGGTGTGCCATCTACTTTCTACAGAAATATTGACTGTTGCAGAGGCATACTTTTTGGATTTTCAAAGGCTGTTAAGAATTATAGCCTAGGGATTATAACTTTGAAGACTGTTTTTAATAAACTTTATTGAAGCATAATTTACATGCAATAAAATTCATTAATTTTTAAGTGTACAATTTGATTAGTTTTGACACATGTAAATAGTCCTGTAACGAATAACACAATAAAAATGTAGAGTATTTGTATCAAGATGTTCTGAAATTTTCCAATTCCCCTTTGCAGTCCAATCCCTCACTCCACACCCTGGTCCCTAGAGACCCTTGCTCTGGTTTCTGAGGTTTTATCAGTATTCTGACTTCAGTTGGCGTGTCCTCTGCAAGATGTCCCAGCCTCATGGAAGTGATTAAGCATACAATCTTTTAAACAGAAAGACCTTGCATGCCTCAGAAGTGCTTGGGATATTTGAATTCATTTCAAAGTCAGGCTCTATGAGTAATAGGATGCTGTCCACTGCCTGAAAGGCAATGAGGCAGGAAGACAATCAAAACGAAAGATCAGCATTGTCTGGACACAGATTTCACTCTGAGATGGAGTTCTGAGGGGAGTCATGGAAAGATTTGTCCTTGACAGTTCAGAAGAAAGAAATGGGCTCTGGCTTCCAACAAATGCCAAGTTCAAATCCTGGCTCTCCCACTAACCAGCCTGATGTTTCAATTCTGTAGACTTCTACTAGTATCTTTTTCTCTCTAAAATAGAAATAATCATACGTAGCTTATGTATTATTGTGAAAATTAAAGTGTATTATTGTATAGAATAAGCCCAGAACAGTATAACAATATATTTGTACAGTACATATGATATGTATAGTACATAGGCTTATCAGTTAATATTATTACAATCATTACTATCTATGTTCTCGAAAAGTTTACCAGGATATACAATTTGTAAGACCTTTATGGTTCTTGACATTAGTCTTAGCTTTTCTCATCTAAGAATTCGCTTTGTTTGATGTAAAAATCCCAGTACTAATTTCTAGAAATTTGAACAAGGCTGACAAAATTTTGAGGTTTACTACTGTTTTGATGCCTGGCGTGAAATGCTGGCTCGGCTGCTCCCTAGCTGTGATGGGAGGGGAGGGATTATCCCTGCCCTCTGCTTTGTTCCTTCCTCCTTAAAATGATCTGGTTGGGCTGAGCGATTTCTACTGTCTGTGCCAGGTCTAGAATACGAGGACTCGGATTCAAAACAGGAATGCAATCTCTAAGGAAAAATGCTTTGGGTGTCTCCAAACCTGATTCGGACAGAGCATGCAGAGCAGCTTGATGCAACTGTATTCCTGGTGTTCAGTGGGCTCTTCCTGCTGAACCTAAGCAGAACGAGTCAGGACAAGTTGGGTTGGATAATACTATATTATCCTGTCATTAAAATGTCAAGATGTGAGAAGGCATTCTCTGTCTTCCCAAATAAATAGAGCAAACCTTCTGGATTTCTCATAGGCACATTTCTCCTTTAATAATGCGAGTGAACAAAGTGATTATTGATGCTCACAGGTGTCAGTGCTCAGACACAAAGAGGTATTAGCCAGGGCCTCAGCAAGGAGCTCTTTCCTATAACTTTATACATGGAAAGTTAATGCCACATAGGAATAAAGCTGGACAACTTAAATACTACAATGGGATTTAGCATTCAGGTTTCAGAGGCTATCCTAATTTCATTCTTCAGAAAATTATTCTCCTGAGTTTCTCAAAAGAAGATACTCTAGTATATATTTTGGCAATAGTAAGAAGCTTATTTTAATGTAGCCAGCTTCTCTACTAGCATATTTTTAAATGATCTATCCCAGTTTCCACAACTCTTGAGTTAGGTACTATTATCCTCATCTTACACAGGAGGAAACTGAAGATCCATCGCTTGGCCAATGCCATGGTGTAGACAGTGAGTGAGCTGTCTGAGCTGTCTGATGTCCACACCCAGTCAGGATCTTTCTCCTGGACCTTAAAAAGCCTTTCATCAACTTATTCGGCCAGGGAGCCAGAAACATCAGTGTTGGTATTAGAGCAATGCTTTTGTGCTCAGCAATTATTAAAATGCAAAGAGGTAGAGAGAGCCAAGAAAATGAAAGCAGAGACAGCTTTACCTGGGAAGAACTGGCTTTGAGATGAGCACTGTGAAGGCTTGCATGGACATCCCTGATAGTTCAGTTACATTTCTATGATATGGTGAAGAAGACGTGTAGACCACAGCAACAAATATGGCTGTTCCTACCGTGCCCCTGTCCACACTCTGCAGAAAGAGAACTATCCAGCACCCCAAACTGGACGGCCTTCGGTTTTTATTTCCTTTCCTTTTTTTTCAAGAAAGTGTGTTTTACCAAGCTCAAAAACATATCTTAGCCAGACAACAGCCTCCTTTCTAGGTGGAGTAAGGAGAATTTAGGGTGTCTAAGCCAGAAAGCCAGCACCCGTTTGAACCCCGGACATGCATATTAAAGAGTTATGCAGCAATGATGGTTTTGTGTAATCAACAGTGTGTTAGTAAATGTTTAACAACTGTCTCTTGTGGGAGGTAGTAGGGGAACCCTGACTTTCTGGCATTTGCTGATTTCCATGCTATAAACATCCTGCTTTGGCTGATTTCAACCTATCAAGGTGATGTCACTGAACAGGTAGTTGGGAAGAGATGCTCAGAAAAATACTGTTATGTGGTATTTACACCATACAGATGTAATGGAAGTAAATAAACTTCATGAAAGCATAGCTGGTGGTATACAAGCAAGACATCTAAAGCAAAGAACATGCACATTTCTATGCAACATGGTTTTCAGTGTGTTATCCCAGGTCAGTGGCACCAGCATCACCTGAGAGCTTGTTGAAGATGCAAATTCTTGTGTGCATCCCCAACTACTGAATCTACAACTTTGGTGGAATAGGACTCAAAGTCTGTGTTAATAAGCCCCCCTATGATTCTGCAGCATATTGAAGTTTGGAAACCACAGATATAGAAGCTCAGATGAGTTCTAGAAACAGTATTTTGAGAAACGTTGTGGTGTAATAGAAAGCAAAACTTATCTTTGAGCCACTTGTTTTAACAGTCTTGTGTATGGGAGAAAAAAGAGAAAAAGGCAGTTAAAAAAAAAGGGAAAATGCTCCATCCATGTCCCTGCAAAGGACATGATCTCATTCCTTTTTATGGCTGCATAATATTCCATGGTGTATATGTACCACATTTTCTTTATCCAGTCTATCATTGTGGGCATTTGGGTTGATTCTATTACATTGCTATTGTGAATAGTGCTGCAGTGAACATACACATGCCTGTATCTTTGTAATAGAATGATTTATATTCCTTTGGGTATATACCCAGTAATGGAATTGCTGGGTCAAATGCTATTTCTGGTTCTAGATCTTTGAGGAATCTCCACACTGTCTTCCACAATGGTTGAACTAGTTTACATTCCTACCAACAGTGTAAAAGTATTCTTATTTCTCCTCAACCTCACCAACATCTGTTGTTTCTTAAGAGCATTAGGAAATATAGCTAGTGCATTCTAGGCTTAATACCTAGATGATGGGTTGTTAGGTGCAGCAAACCACCATGGCACATGTTTATTTATGTAACAAATCTGCACATCCTGTACATGTACCCCGGAACTTAAAATAAAAATAAAATTTTAATTAAAAAAAAAGAAAAAGAAAAAATCCACATATCACTTCCCAATGGCCTCAAAATTCCCCCAAAATCAGAGCTGTAGAACACCATCATTATCAACCTTATTTTTTATTATATTAGTAATGAACAAACACACTCATTTTATTGAAAACTATTCAAATATCACTTCTAAGTGCACACTCTCCTTTTCCCTTTGACCACAATCTGAATCCCAACAAAGTCTCTGAGATAACTTTTGCTACCCATTAGGGCAGGGGTCCCCAAGCCCCAGGCCACAGAGCAGTACCAGTCTGTAGCCTGTTAGGAACTGGGCCGCCCAGCAGGAGGAATTGGGCCACCCAGCAGGAAGTGAGCAGTGAGTAAGCATTACTGTCTGAGCTCTGCCTCCTGTCAGTTCAGTGGCAGCATTAGATTCTCATAAGAGTGCAAACCCTATTGTGAACTGTGCACACAAGAGATCTAGGTTGCACGCTCCTTATGAGAATCTAATGACTGATGATCTGTCACTGTCTCCCATCACCCCCAGATGGGACCATCTAGTTGCAGGAAAACAAGCTCAGGACTTCCACTGATTCTACATTATGGTGAGTTGTATAATAATTTCATCATAATATTACAGTATGACAATAATAGGAATAAAGTGCACAATAAATGTAATGCTCTTGAATCATCCCAAAACCATCCCCCAACCCCAGTCTGAAACCATCCCCCCAACCCAGTCCATGAAAAAATTGTCTTCCACGAAATCAGTTCCTGGTGTCAAAAAGGTTGGGGACCACTGCATTCGAGTACGTCCTTACTCACTATGTCCTATGCATTCATGTGTCTCTAAATAAATATGATAATGATGTTATTTTACAATAAATGGCATCATTTTCTTTATTTCTGCGTTTTCATTTTTATTTCTGACTTGAAAGGATACATGTACATTCACCTCAATCTCTGTGTATGGATTGTTGTCCTACAGTTAGATGTTTCTCCCCTGTTAGACACTGAGGCACAGACAGCTTAGAGTTCACCAAACGTTACTTCCCTTGGCCATGGACACATTTCCCAGCATGCTTTGCAGCTAGCCAGTGGAGACCTTGTAGATGCTGCTTCGGGGCCTGGCCCCTTTACACCCCCTTGGGATTTTGTTCCGTGGTCTCTCCTCTCCCCCAGCCGGATATGGACTCAGAAAACTCCACAGGTTGGCTGAGCCCTAAAATAAAAGGAGCCAAACAAAAAAAGCAGGAGTGCAGCCCATTGACCATACATCTATCAGGACAGTCACTGAGCAAGAAGTAAACTGTCTGTTGAGTCATTACCATTTGGTTTCATTTATTATAGCAGTTAGCCTATTCTACCTAAGGCCAATACTTAGGTTGTTTACAACTCTTCGCTAAACAAATACTGCAAGCTGGGCGCGCTGGCTCATGCCTGTAATTCCAGCACTTTGGGAGGCCGAGGCTGGCGGATCACAAGGTCAGGAGATTGAGACCATCCTGGCTAACACAGTGAAACCCCGTCTGTACTAAAAATACAGAACATTAGCCAGGCGTGGTGGCGGGCGCCTGTAGTCCCAGCTACTCTGGAGGCTGAGGCAAGAGAATGGTGCGAACCCGGGAGGCAGAGCTTGCAGTGAGCCGAGATCACGCCACTGCACTCCAGCCTGGGCGATGGGGCGAGACTCCATCTCAAAAAACAAAACAAAACAAAACAAAACAAAATAATGCAAAGATAGCCTTGTGCTGGGTATCTTTGCATTAACATTTTAATGCAATCTACCTGAAAGTTCTCCAAAGACCAATTTACATTCCCACCAGTACTGTGTGAGAGTAACAGCAGTTTTTTCATTCTAGTCAACATTAAACATTGCCAATCCTTTGAAACTGTCAATTCTATGGATCTAAAATTGCTTTTTAGTTTGGATTTCTATGTAAATTTTCTGTTTACTTCTTAGATGGGTTATTTTTCCATATATTTTGTAAGGTTTTGCGTGCCTTTTTTCTTTTCTTCTTTTTTTTTTTTTTTGGACAATTGCCTATTCACTCATTTTGCCCATTTTTTTCTGTTGAGTCTTTCATATATTTTTTATTAATAATCAAGATTTCTTTCTATTTTCCTGCTCTCTCCTTTGTACTTAAATATTTCATGACATCTTTAGTCATATAAAAATTCTACCTTTTAATGTAGAGAAAGCAATCATTTATTACTGTATAGACATTGTCTTATTGTTTCAATTATGAATCCCTTTTCTAAACTAACATAATAAACATGTTTTTAATATTTGTCTGTTTTTATATTTGTTGAATGTTTCTATAGTTCTAATTTACTTATTTGATTTTTTACAAACAACTTTTTTGTGAATGGTACAATGTAGAAATATAACTCAAGACTGTTTTCTGAATTAATAATTACTTTTTTAAACATCATTTCTAGAATAGCTTCTACTTTCCCTATAGCTTATCACCTATGTAAAACCTGTGGAGTACTCTGGAATCTGTCATGACCATTGACCTATTTTTTGTTAATGTGCTATTACTGTACTCTTTTAAATGCTATGGAAAAACATTTCAACTTGACTTTTGTGGAAACATGTTTGGAACTGAGAAATTGAATTATATTCATTTTATTTTCTTTGTACAATGTCAAAACAAAACAAAACAAAACAACAGCAACAACTTTCACTCTTACTGCCAAAACTGGTTCTAATAAGTCAATCCTCTTTTTGAAATTTAAACCTTTTGAATAAATTATTGATGTTTGATTTCAGCCCTGTTTATTCTCACATTCAAAGGCAGGATAAAAAATGGGCAAGGAAATTTTTTCCAACCTCTCTCAGACACAGGGCACCAGAAGCCTTGACCAGGTGTCTGGGGAGCATGAGGAACACTTACAACTCCACGAGAAGTTTTAGGTTCACCCAATTATACATGCTTTCCTGAATGGGCAAGTCCTGAAATGTCTTTCCTGACCATTTATCTTTAATTGATGATTTTCTAATAATCCAAAGCAACTTCCTTAGATACAGCACTTTCCTTGAACTTAAAGGGGATAGAAAGAAACAAGTGTATGTGTATGTCACACACATGAATTTTGACTGGATTGTTAAAAATGAATTTTAGGTCCTTAGAGCAACACCACCTGAAATTTGGTACATTATTTTTCAGGTAGAAAAGGAGAAAATGTGAGTGTCGATTATCAGAACATGCTGATCCTCTATTTCAGGGATGTTAAAGCCACGGCATTTGCTAACATGATGCTCAATAGACATTAGGTGTATAAACAGGATGACTGTATTTCCCAGTCTACCCAGGAGAGTCACCATTTATATCTGCTGTCCTAGTGTTGGGATTTATAGCACCTCTCCACTCTCTTCTCCAAAGGGTCTTATTTTGGATTATGAATCATGTGGTAACTGTGTGCATGAGGTTAGTAAGCATGTTTGTGCCCAGTCGGGCCTTGGGATTCCTCTGGGGTGACGAAGTGGGGTCCCTCTCTTATGTTTAGCGGTGGTGCTTGAGGATTTATGAGTAAGAGCTGGACACATGCTCAGGGAAAATGCAGATACTGAGAAGACAAATCAATCATTCTTGATGAGTAGGGGTGTGTGTTTCTAAAGGAGATGCCTGGGGAGAGTGGAGTTGTTGGATTGTGGACGTTTACCTTCAGGGAACCCTGCATTTGTACCAGATTTGCAGACAGTCACATGGTCTGGACACCTTACAGTAGAGGGGCTGGGGCTTTGATATCATGGCAGCTGCGGTGAAATGGGAAAAGCACTGAATTTGAATACTAGATGTAGCTTGCTAGCTACGTGACTTTAGGGTGCCACAAAGCCTTTTTGAGCTCTTTAGGATGGGAAGAATAATACCACTGTATTAGTCAGTGTTCTCCAGAGAAACACACACACACACACACACACACGTATATGTATGTGTGTGCATATATATATATGGAATTGGCTTGTGCAATTGGCAAACTGGAGGCTCAGGAGAGTTCAGTGATATAGTTCTCATTAGAATCCAAAGGCCTGAGAACCAGGAGAACCTTCTGATGTTGTGAGTTCTAGTCCAAAAGCTGGCAGATTTGAGATCCATGGAGAGCCATTTTTTCAATTAGAATCTGAAAGCAGGAAAAAACTAACATCCCAAACAGCCACTTAGGCAGGGGAATTCCTTCTCACTCAGATATTTGTTCAGGTCTTCAGTTGACTGATGAAGCCCACCCAATGTAGGGAGGACAGTCTTCTCTATCTAGTCTGCCAATTCACATGTCAATCTCACCCCAAAACACCCTCACAGATACACCCAGAATAACGTTTAACCAAATGTCTGGGCATTCTGTGGCCCAGTCAAGTGGACACATAACATTAATCATTACAACCAGCTCACAGGATTTTTGTGTGAAATAAAATGTATAAATATGCATGTGTACATATATACTAAATTTACTTACTGAAATTGTATGTAAAGAAAAGGGAATCAAATATCATGGACTGAGGACAGTGCAATGACTTGAAGCTTCAAAGCCTGCTTTTATAGAAATTTGTGTAAGCAATTTTAATGTTGCTTCTCACTAAGTGTGGTCTCTGTGTGTGTCTAGGAGAAAAAGAGAGATCTTTGTTACCATGTCTAGTTGCTTTGAAGAAAATGAATTAGAATACCCAAGTTTGACCTTCATTTTTTTGTTTCTAAAAACACTTGCTGTCATAGAATTCAGTTCCTTACTGTCCTGGTTTGACAAATTCAAGAAGCCTTAGACAGAACCTCATTGTTTGGTGCCTGGGGAGAGTGGGAAGCTGGATGCACAGACGGCTCTCCAAACAGGGAAGTCTGTGCAGAGCAAGTGCCTGTCCTCGAGGGTGATTCAGAGGGTCCTCCTTCAGGAGAGTAACAGAAGTGCCACTTGTGTCACAGAAGACTACTGTAATTAAAAAGGAAAAAAGAATGTGCATATAATCAAGTCCAAGGATTACTATATGCTGTTTCTTGCATGCCCACAAACATGTCTGCTCAATGGGCACAATGAACAGCAATTGTCTTCTCCAAGCAATGAAAACCCAAGTAGCCGTTGTCAGTGATGGTGGCATCCTACGGGCTCTCAGTTTGAAGGAGCTTATTGGTAATCGCATGATGTCTCCTCCCTGGGTCAAGCCTCGGAGACGTAGGCATCAGCATTCCTTCTGCATGCCCCCCGAACCCAAGCAGCAATGAGTGCTTGTAAAAGCCACTGTTTGGTGAGAAAGTGAGGACATGGAGCTCTAGCTTCAGTTTTCCCAAACTATCCAGCTGTGCATTTGATCTTGCACCAAACAATGGCAACTTAGATGACAAGCTGAGGCCTTAATCCCCCAAACCAAATGAAATTTCAATGGCCACAAAGGGGTTTCTTCTTTTATTCAGCAGATGTAAGATCAAGGCAAAGTTTTCCCCTGTTCCCTAAGCCCACTACAGCAATGGAGTTTCCTTCTCACCTCTCCAGTGACAGAGAAAGGCCAACTTACAAAAAAAAAAAAAAAAAAAAAAAAAGTAACTCAATCAACCAGAAGCAGAGCCTTTCTTCCATCTATATCATTTTTAAAGCAATCAAGCTACCATTTTCCACCTAAAAATGGGGTTCCGTGAATGTTCTTGAACTTGAGATTCTATCTCCTCTCCTGTTCTCTGATGGTGGAATGCGGATGCAGATCCAGAGAGAAACTCTTTTGTTCTAGATCAGAGCTTTCCAACCTGAGTTCTTGAATGTGCATAGGTTTGTTGAGCTATTGATTCTCCTGTCCTCAGGGCAGAAATTCCTGAACCTGACCAGTAGATTTTATAAATACCACTACTTTCTATGTGTACCATTACATGAAAACTTGGGGAAACACTGTTCCTGCAAACACCTTCCAGCAATTTTGTTCTTTGCCATCCTGTTTATCTCAGCTGCCACATCCAGGATTCATCAAGGTACTGCTATCCTCACGTAGGTCATAACATCTCTGGAATATAAGAAAATCCTATAGCCGCCTGCATAGACACATTCTCCAAGCACACTCTGTTTTTTCTTTGTAACTACTATTCAAAGTTCAGGCATGCAGAGTACAGGTCACGCCTTTGTGAATTAATGGCTCTTTGATGTTATGACCTAGAGTTATGAAATAAGTGAGGACCAAATATTACTTAAGTTTACCTACCAATCCCACTCTGAAGTTAGCTCATTAGTTACGTTGGTTTATTTCCCTTCTCAATAATATGCTTAGCTACTACTGTGGTTTGGATATAGTTTGTTTGT
Organism: Homo sapiens; assembly: GCF_000001405.40. NCBI lineage: Eukaryota > Metazoa > Chordata > Mammalia > Primates > Hominidae > Homo > Homo sapiens. The sequence goes on along the minus strand of NC_000002.12, from coordinate 7,836,020 downwards.
CCCCACTAAATCTCAAGTTGAAATTTGATCCCCAGTGTCGTGGGAGGTGTTGGCTCAGGGTAGTGAGTGAGTTCTGGCTCTCCTAAGACTGGATTTGTTCTTGAGAAACAAATTAATTCCCCGGATAGCGGGTTGTTATAAAGGCAGGAAGCCCATCAGGTGCGGTCTCTGTTTGCACTTGCATGTTCCCACTTCCCCTTTGAACTTCTCTGTCATGCTTCAGTGCAGCACAAATGGCCGCACTAGAAGCCGAGCACATGCTGCTGCCATTCTTCTTGCACAGCCTGCAGAACCATGAGCTAAATAAACCTCTTTATGAACTAAATTACACAGCCTCAGGTATTTTTTTATAGCAACAAAAAATAAACTAAGATCGCTCTTGTCCATCCAAGTTCACAGGCAGTGATAAATAAAGTGTACCAGGTTTGGGTGATGATGTTGCTTAAAAAATATAGCAACCCTGAAATTTGCAGCCACAATAGTGATGTGACAAAGCAAGTCCTTGACCAGTAGCACATCTCAAAAATGAAATATTCTCCAGCCTTTCCCACAGAGAAATCAGAGACCAAACATTTCAATTTCCTTTATCCTATTACCACAGACATTAGACCTGAGAGACGCAATGAAGCATATCCTGTCTTCTATTTATTTCTGCTTAACGCCAGTTGGAAGAGCATCTCTGAGTGCCAGGTTCAGGTCTGATTTCCTTCCTGAAATTGCAGTCTGGGTCTTACTCCACTGACACTGATACAGAGCCAACAGAACATTCCATAGAGTTAATAAGACACAGGCAACTCCAACTCCCAATTTGACGAACTTAAGGCATCTGCAACTCTACAGTTCACTGTCCACATTAGCAAGACTTTAGCCTTTGACTGTCTATATTAATGTAATTTTTCTCTTCTAGGAAACCTTTGCCGAGATGATAAACTTACAAATTACTTTATGGTATCTGGGTCTTCTCAAAAATATATTTATCTGGAGAATAGACTTGTCAACTGAGTCCTTATCCCCATCTCAGGCAATAGATTGCTTAACTAGTCTCAGTAAATAACTGTTTTCTCACCAAACAATGGCCTATTCTTGGAAACTTTCTTCAAAGTCTCCTTTTGCTGCACCCACTGGTCCCAAACTATAATGCATGCGCTTTACATAATCCCAATTAGCCCATTCCTAATAGCATGAAAAGACTTATCTTAAAACAGAAACTCAACCCTCGCCAAAACCATAGAACTCCCCTCAGATGCTATTTAGATGCTGTCATAATGGTTTAGTGGATTCCTTGCTGCAGCAAGCAGTAAACTCAGCTTTACTATATCAATGGGTTGTTTTGGTGCCCTTTTGGGGGAAGTTAGAAGTTAACAGTTCCTATCCACAAAATGTAGAAAATGTAAACAGATGTCATATTCATATATTACCGTTATAGCAGTTTGCAAGCTAAATACCAATTTTCAGGTATATGTAATAATATTTCTCAGATAGACATGAAATTCCCAAAGCCTAATACATGAAATCAACAGGGGGTTCTGATTAACAATGGAGAGCTCTGAGCCCACTAGGTGGATTCTGCTTCATTGTGTCTGGGAAGGGAGTCAAACGTCTCCCATTCCAGCTAAGCAGGTAGCTGATGCAGATGGTCTTCAGGCAATATTGGAGAAACAGTACCCTAGACCCACATGGCTGTTTTCAGCTACAGACCATAGTGGAGAGTTAATATTATCTATTGTCAGAGTTCAGGCTGCTATAACAACATACCATAGACTGGGTATCTTATAAACAATGGAAATTTATTCTTCAGAGCTCTAGAGGCTGAGATGTCCAAGATCAGAGTGCCAGCATAGTGGGGTGCTGATGAAGACTCTCTTTTGAGTGGCAGACTGCCAACTACTCATTGTGCCCTTACATGGCCAAAAGAGGGCAAGGGAACTCTCTGGGGTCCCTTTATAACGGCACTAATCCTGTTCATAAGGGATATACCCTCATGACCTAATTACCTCCCAATTACCTCCCAAAGGCCCCACCTCCTAGTACCATCACACTGAGGTTAAGACTTCAACACATGAATTTTGAGGGACACAAACATTCAGTCACTTGCACTGGGGGGAAGATATAAATAAAATATATATCTTCTCGTTTCAGCAAAATAAAGTGCCAGTCAGCCCAGGCTGGGCATACATAGATAAAGACCTACGAGCTTAAGTCAACAGAAAATGAATCCTTCATCAAATGGTTAACTAGGAAATCATGCTTCTATTTCCTATGTGTGGGAAGTAAGGGTGATGGGCTGGAAAACCACACCTGTAAAAACAATTTCCCCCTTGAGTGGCATCAAAAGTTCCTTTTTTACCTTAATTTAAGAAAAGTGCTACAGTGGGACAAATGTTTATTGAGGAATTTTCTTTGCCAATTCTTTAAAGCCTCTCACCTCTTATTCAGTGCACTCATTGATTCTAACATCTCTGATATTCCCACGCTGCATCAGTTCCAGTCTCTGACAGGGGACATTAGCTTCACTGTCTACCAGCATTCACAGTGGACAACATCCGTGTCTTGCATCCTGCATAGCACTGGCTCCTGATCTTTGGTCATTTCTTCATTCTCCAACAGGAGATCAAGGCTCTGTTTGTCTGTCCCTTCTATCCCAGGGGCTTGCTTCCTGCACAGAAATGACTTGGACCATGGAGTTTTGCTTAACGTGGGCCATTTTCCTTTTGCTCCCACATTTGTTACAGTGGATCTTTCACCTCAACCCTTTCAGGCCATTATTTTCATTCTCATTCTCAGGTCTATGTGAGATGGGCAGGCAGGTTTATTCTTCAACCTCTGGGATTTCAGCCACACACATAGTGTATCCCTTGCTGGAGAAGCATCATTTGTTCTTCTAACCGTCTCCTTCATTTCTGTCATATGAGCCCATCAGGAGCCACTGTGATGACGCTGATGGGACCTGAGTCTGTCCGAAGCATCCTTTGCTGAAATGCAGCATGCCCACATTGCCTCTTTGGCAGGGTGACTCTGCACGGGAGGTTTTACTAACACAGTACCAGCAGCACAATGAAGTTCAGCTTATGCTGGGTGATACTTTATTAACATTTGACATTTGGACTATGGGACTAGCTATTATTTATTTATTCTTTTGTTATTTTTCGGAGTCCATGTTTCCATACTGTGCCTTCCCCATGGGACAAGCCTTTTACCTGTATGTGGTAATCGTTATGTCAGATGGTTTTCTGGACCTTTGGGAACCCCTTCTTTTACCTCTGTGAATAGACCCAATTCCACAATTAGAGATACATTTCTTTGACTTAAAACAAATACTAATTGGTATGATGGATAAGACTTTCAGGTCACTTTTGTAAGGCAGTTTCCTTAGAAGCCGACCTTGATATGAGAACTTGTGCACAAGAAATTTAATAAGAATGCACTCTCCAGGGAGATCACTAAGAAGAGGGGGCACCTGGGGAACCTGGAACTAAATTTTGGATCCGCCATCCAGGAGAAACTAATTTCTCCTGACTAGGACAATTTAATTGCCCTGACCCAGGGGACATCCTATGTGTTCTACTTGAACCATGCCCTTTAATAATAAAAGCCAATTTCACATTGTGCTGAGGACAGGCACTGGGCATACATTGCCTGAGGTTTCAGAGGATCCTTTAGGAATAACATGGCAGAGAATATTCTTTTTCATTATTCCATGCTCCTTCTGGTAACACAGCCAGTATGTGTCCTTGAAAAGGTGCATGTATGTGTGCTGGAAATGAACATAGTCTCCTCTGAAATCTCTGAAATTACAGAACTTTATGAAGCCTATCCCTTCTGATTGGTTGTAAAGCACCAGCTTGACCAATTATAATCTAGTAGAATCTTTCAGTTGCAATTTTGCAAAGTCTTCTTACTGCAAAAGAGTTGAAGTCTTCTAAAGAATGTCTTCTTTACAATCTGTATTTATGATTGAGGAAATTATTGAATACGGCAACCCACTTAAGTTTTTGTTATATTTTTTTCACACCATTCCCTTTGCTAGGCACAATATTTATATTTATGATTTGCAAACCCATTTAACAGTTAAATATTTTGTCTTAACTATTCATCCTAATTAGGTTAGCGTAATTGCAATACCTGGTATTGTTTTTGTCCTGTTTATTTGGATCTTATTATGATTTCCCTTTGATACATCTTGAAATTCTACAGACATTTCTTCTGACCCAGAGTGGATCTCAATTTTTGACTCTCTGCCATCCCAAATTTCATCATCTTATTTTATTTCTAATTTGCTTAGAATTCACAGGACAGTAATGTTAGATGTCTCATGTAAGACTCTGAATTTGAAAAGAATATCTCTTCTTACTTTTCCTTTCCAACTTATCTCCATAATTGTGAAAGAGAATGAAAACAAAATGAAATGAAACAGAATAATGTATAAGGGAACTTTGAGAATAAGTTGGTTATATAAAAACAGAAACAAAAACAAAACAAAAACGAAGAAGCAGCCCCAGGATTGACCTATTTCACCTTGAACAGTTTGATGTTCCACGCGGTAGATGCCCTTCCAAGTTCCTGAGTCAGTGACTTGATGAGTGGCCTAGTTGCCTCTAAGTTTCATTTTACCACGTGTTTTCCCAGGACCTATTTTAGAAATCACACCAAAATGCCTACCAACTCCCTCTCACCTCCCCCTGCGCCCTGTGATCTTATTTCAAACATTTTACAACATATATGTGCAGAGTTGGGCTTTATTACAGATCAGTGATACCAAGTAACAACAAAAAATAAAACCTGATATATCTTTTAAAAACCAGATGATATGAGAGTATAATTTATTAATTTAATAAATATTTATTAAGTTCTTATAATGAGCCAGGCACTGCATTAGGTTTAGGTTTAATGGGGACCAAAACCAAACACCTTCCCCACCCCCACGGAACTCCTGGGGAGGGTAGATATTCATATTTCCAGATGCATAAGATGTCCATACAAAATGACTGTAATTCCTGGTGAGCTTATAAAACAGACAGGCTTATCAGGGAATGACATTCAGAGGAAGTTGTGCTTGGGCTAAGATTCTTAGGTGATAACTAAGTAAAGCACAATGGAACCATGTAGGTATCATTCTAAGAATGGAGAGTAGCCTGTCCAACAATGAGGGCAGAAAAAAAACGCAGATTTTCAAGGAATGGAAACCAGTCTGGTGCAGCTGAGCACAAGGAGCAAGAGAAATCACAAGAGGTGACGTAGGCAGAGGCCAGGAAATGGACTATGTTCTCAGTCACATGTTAGCAATGCCAGACTTTATTCTAAGAGATGGGAAGCTGTTGATGTTTCCCATATCATCAACTGTGCACTTAAAATGGATATTTCACTTGCTCTAGTGTGGAGAACTAAATGGACACACACAGGATATATTCAGGGAGGCTAGTAGAAAACTGTGGCCATAGCTGAAAGGTGACATAGCTTAGACTAGGGTTTTACAGAGGGCATGGAAAGAAACATAGACTTGAGAAGTGGTTTGGAGGTAAACTTGATAGACCTTTCTGAGAAATTATGTATGGGAGAGAGAGGAAAGTCAAAATGCCCTCTAGGTTTCTGCCTTGTACAACACTTAGAGATTGGGAACACTAAAAATAACAGATTTGGAGGAAAATAATAATTTTGGTTTTGAAGTTAAAATTGTGACGCCTTTGAAACATCCAAGTGAGCATACTGAGAAATAGTTGGATTTAAGATGTGAAGCTAGAAATTAGATCTTGTCTAGAAATATAAAATCAGAAGTAATTTGCATACATATGGTATGACTAGATGGTAACTGAGAGTAGATGGGATTATATGAGAAGAAAGAAGCTTAAGAAGAAAAGAGAGCCCAAGACTGAGCTTTAAGAACACTAATACTTAAATGGCAGAAGAGAACTGAATAAACATGCAAAAGCAATACAGGAGAAAAAGACCACCCACAGATAAATAAGCAAAAGACATGAATGGCATTTCATAGAACAGAAAAAGCAAATAGGCAATAAAAGCATGAAAATATGACCACTCTTAACGAGTAATCAAGAAAATACAAAGTAAAATAACAATGAGACATCACCATTTTACAAGACAAATTAAAAAGTAATAAAACCAAGTATTGGGGAGTATGTGGAGCAATGAGGATACTTTTTGTTTGTTTGTTTGTTTCGAGACAGAGTCTCACTCTGTCACCCAAGCTGGAGGGCAGTGGCGCGATCTCCTCGGCTCACTGCAACCTTTGCCTCCTGGGTTCAAGCGATTCTCCTGCCTCAGCCTCCTGAGTAGCTGGTATTGCAGACGCCTGCCACGACACCCGGCTAATTTTTATATTTTTAGTGGAGACGGGGTTTCTCCATATTGGACAGGTTAGTCATGGACTCCTGACCTTAAGTAATCCACCCACCTCAGCCTCCCAAAATGCTGGGATTACAGGCATGAGCCGCTGTGCCTGACTGCAATGAGGATTCTTAAATGCTGGGAAAAGTACAAAATATCTATGAGAGTGTGGAGAAGCAGTTTGGCATTGTCTTGCGAATTTCAAGATGCACATAGGCTATTATAGCCCAGCAACTTTGCTTCCTGGCATATCCCCAGTGCATACCAGTGTGCATGAGCAAGAATGTTCATGGCAGCATTATTTCTAATAGCCAAAAATTGTAAACCATGCAAAGGTCCAATGACAGGACAATAGAGAAATATATCGTTATATACTTATACAATGTGTCCATAGAATGAAAAACTCAGCTGCAAAAATGAATTACTTGTGTTGATAACATTATCATGGCCAAATAACAAACACGGCATTGAATGTAAATACGAGACACAGAAGAAGACATCCATACGGTATGATAACCATTCATATAAAATTCTAACACACAACACTAAATTATTTAGGGAAATAATAAGACTAGAAAGAATGCAGGAGAATAATAGTAAAATATTCAAAGTGATGCTTATCTTTGGTACTGAGGTTGAGGTTTTGCATTGGGAATGATCACATGTGGCCTCCAAATCTCGGATAAAAGTGTTTTTACTATGCTGGGTGACATGCTTATATTTTTTATATACATGTACACTTTCTTTATATTCTTTTATATGCATAGTATCCACACAATAAAACAAAAAATTAGGAATCAAATCAGAAGTAAAAAGTAAACAAGGCACATCTCACATTTAGAAGGCAGTGTGCTTTGGGATGGTGCAAAGGTCTGAGAGGTGGCCAGGGAAAAGATGGCCAAAATGCGGATGGGGTGAAGACCATTGACTTTATGGAGGTCAAGAATTCAGCAGGTCCATATCTTTGGGTAGTCAACAAGGTGAGTATAGACAGCAACCAGGACGATCTGAGGCATCGACAGCATGTGGAACTGAGAAGGCATTGGGGTCTCTTTGCATGTAGGGGTCTACACATTGGATGCTGTTGGGAACAGCACTGGGGAAAGCCTTCACTCATTTTCAGTCACTCGTTTTTCTTCCAGAGGAGGGTCCCAAAGCTGTAAGAGAGAAAACTACTTGAGCAGAGGCCCCAGCTGGGCTGGTGGCCCCGAGGCTGACTGCGGTGTGTGCTCCTCCCTCAGGAGGCCATTGCCTTGCTTGACATCTCCTGGGCAAGTCTCCACAGAACCTCTTATCAAACTCCAAAGTCATCTTCTTCCACACGTATGTTCTAGTTTGAGTGGAAATGACAATAACCACGTTTGCGTAACCTACTGATTATGCCCAATGGATGGCAAGAGCTTTGTGTTGAGTGGCTCGTGTGTGCTAATTCTAATTATTCCCCATGATTTTTCTGTACAGTAGTTAGTTTCCAGACTGATGACGGGAAGAGTGCTCAGTGCAGATGGGAAATGCTTATTATGCTAATTGAGTTCTGCGTTGTTAGTGGAAATTATTAACTGGAGATGTTAGCAATACCTCTGGTAGAATTAAGGGGGTGACAAAGTAAAAGGCCAAGATAAATGGCACCATGTCTGTAGGATGGACTGGGCCAGGGCTCCAAGTTCAAAGGAAGAAAATAGAGATTTTGTTTGTTAAAAATTTTAATTTAAAGGGTATCACATTTTTATAGTAAAATTTACTGGAAAAGAGATAAAATGATAGGGAAATGGTTTCTGTTTATTTACTAATTCTAAATATGATAATTGCATTAAAATATAGTATTTTAACAAGAAGACACTTAGGAAATGTCAAGAAGAATAAAAGAGCAATAATCCAATGTAAACTCTAATATAACATCCATATAGTTAGACAGGAACACTGAACAAAAAAAGAAGAAAAGAAGTCAGATAGAAGAAGAGTCTCTAACAACATGTACAGAGGACAGTTGTTGAAACTAGTTGAAAAAATAACTTTAACTCCTACCAATATTCTGAAAAGCCAGAAATTGATTGTTTTTCTAGAAAAGTATAGATTAAAAATGGATTCAAGCAGGTAAATAATTTGAACATACCAATAAACATGGAAGGCCTTAAAAAATTCAAAGAATTCACTTTAATGAGTGTCCTGAAACGAGACAGTTCTAAAATTATGTTTTTTCATGCATTTGTGTTTTAGGTAAATCTGGTGTTTCATAGTATATTCCATAGAATATGATGGCGAGTAGGGAAAGAAAAAGAAATTTTATTTTATTTAATTATGAAGATAGCATAACCCTTATACTAAAATCTGAAAAATAAATTATAGAAAAATTATAGATCATCTTAATTTGATATGCTAATATCTATAATGAAATTAAACAATAAGGTATAAATATCCGTAACGAAATTGAACAGTAGAATATATAAAATATTAAAACCAGAAAGGGCTTATAACTCAGGAATTAAATAATCCTTCTCTATTAATTAATGTATAGCTACTTCACAATATACATTTCAAGAAAGATAACATATATTTAAAAATATGGTAGGTGTTAAAAATACTTGCTAAATGTTCATTTCCGTTTAAAAATGTAGTGTTACATAGTAGAATGGTAGCCTTTCAAAACATATGCCCACATCCTATTCCCTGGAACCTGCAACCTTACTTGGAAACAGAATCTTTGCAGATGTAAACAACTTAAAGACCTCGAGATGAGATCATCTGTATTATTTGAGTGGGCCCTAAATCCAATGACAAGCATATTATAAGAGACACACAGACGAAAGGCAGGCACAATACTAGGAAGCAACTAACCAGAGAGGCAGAGATTGGAGTGATGCGGCCATAAGCCAAAGGCCAGCTGGAGCTGCCAGAAGCTGGAAGAGGCAAAGGAAGAAAGTATCTGTTGCTTTGGAGGCACTAAAAGGACACCTTGATTTTGGACTGCCGGCCTCTAGAATATGAAAGAACACATTTCTGTTATTTTAAACCACCAGTTGGTGGTAAGTTTTTACATCAGTCTCAGAAAACTAATTTAAAAACTTTAAAGTATTAATAGATGGATACTTATGTATTATGATGAAAAGTATCTATCTGCCAACGCTGGACTCTGTAAGTGCTTAAAATATAACTGCAACTTCTCCTGGATAGAGCAAAGGATTTGATTGCTAAATCTTTTGGACCAATCATGAGTTTATGACAGTGGACAAGTTTGCTTGTAGGTAAACCTCACTTTCTTCATCTCTAAAACGTGGTTAACAAAACACCATTCAGAGTAATTATTACAATTTGACATAATGCATTAAAAAGTTTACACAGTTCCCAGCACACAATAAGCACGTGATAAATATATTCCATACACACAGATACACAAAAGGACATGGTACCTGGGGCCACGCTGATTGACATCTGGCAGCTTCTAATTTCATTATGTGGTTCAGTAAGACAAGTGCTATTGTACAAAAGTAAAGCTAACAAGCTTAAACCAAAGTTTATTTTTTTCTTCATATGACTCAAAAAGAAATAACATCAAAGAAAAATCAGTTACAATTACAAAATGACTAAACTATAAGAAAAGTGTAAGGACCTTTTGTATCGGCTATGAATGAGAACATACTTTCCCAAAAGCTGTCTTTAAAAGCTGTGAACACCAGAGAAAAGCAGTGCCGCACACCCAGGTGCTCTCTGTGGGCGTGCTCTGCAGATGACTTGGGGTTAGGAAAGTGAGTTTCTAGAATTCTTGGCTTGTGCATCTGAGAGGTACTTTCCTCGGCTTGTTTGTTTTGCGTGAAGAGTTGCTAGGAATGATTCAGAATGTACATGTTTGTGTAGTGAAAGTCCTGGGGTTCTGGCATCCAGTGAGGGTCCTGGCCCCTGTACAAAGTCTTCTTTCTCATGTGGGAGCTGGCTGCTCCCCGGAAGTGGGTATAAAAGTCAGACAGCATTCCTCTCATTCCCAACCAAACAGGTCTCTCACAGAGAGGGAAATAAATGTCCCACTGGCCTGTGTGGGGGCGTTCCGGAAAAGGGCCTATTTCCATTCTCCAGGCACTTCTACAACTGCCCTGATGTCTGGAAGAGCCTTCGTGATTGGTGAAAATACAACTGATTTTCTAGTAGAAATATAGCTTCCCTCCAGAAGATCTATTCCACCTGAGCAAGAAGCTGGTTCTTTAGGCTGAGGATGGTATGGAGACTGTCTTAGTCTGTTTTGTGCTGCTATAACAAAATACCAGAGACTGAATAATTTGTAAATAACAGAAATGTATTCCTCACAGTTCTGGAGGCTGGGAAGTCGAAGACCAAGGTGCCAGCAGATTTGGTGTCTGGTCTGTTTCTAAGGTGGCACCTTGTTACTTCATCTTCCAGAAGATACAAAGGATGTGTCCTCACATGACAAGGCCAAGTGAGCTGAATACTGCTTGAAGTCTCTTCTATAAAGGCCTCAATTCCATTCTCAAGAGAGGGGCCCTCATAGCTTAATCACCTCTTAAAGGTCTCATCTCTTACTACCACCACATTGACCATTAAGATTCAACACCTGAAGTTTGGAGGGGACCCATTCCAACCCTAGCAGGGATTACCTCTCCTGTCCTTCCACTCATCAGTGAAAGGATGCCTCTGTCCCCCTCTCCTGTTTCTGGACCTATTAGATTTAAGGACATTTAGAAAGGGAGAAATGGCTGAGGAAGTTAAAAAAAAATGGTTTGATAAACTGTGGAATAAAAATAATCTCCATAGAACTTAATTGGTACTTTTTACTTGAGGGAAATCCATGTGGCCCCAGTTAGCATGATTATTTTTGGTCATGCTTGACATCTATGTTTGCAAGAATATTAATTTATTTGGCTGACAAGCCATGAAATGTCTATCTTTATGTTTCCCATTTGGTTATTCATCCTATGCATTAGGGAAAACACAAAGAAACCTAAAGACACCAGTAGGTGGTCCAAGTGGGGAGGCAAACACTGGCAACTGACACATCTTGCTATGTGTAAAAATCTATGCTCACGTCGCTCTGTTTTATTCCACAGGTTGTGCTATTAGAGATTAGAGGAGTTAATGTAGGTGCAGCTTCCTCACAGAAAATGCAAGACACACAAGGGCTGCTTTCAGCATTCTGCTTGATCGTGCACAGCTAGACGCAGAGCACTCAGGAGCACACAGGAGGGTAATAAAAATCACATCCACCATGCTTTCTGGTTTGCAAAAGCCCTTTGGGAATGTCATCTCATGTGCCTGAATGCAGTGCTCCCTACCTCTGCTTCTCACAGTGGGGTTCTCCTTCCAGATCCTGGTGTCCAGGAGAAACCTAGACATGGTCTTTATCACATTCAGACACTTCTCCATCTGCATGAGCAAGTACAGGATAAGGTGCTATGTTTTACTATCTTTGTACTGTCAGGGATGCAGATGGATAAGTGGTATTTTGGCACTAATTTGCAAAGCTAAAGGCCCCAGCTCCTAGTTACAAAGAATTTTTTGCTTCTCTTTAGTGGTTTCCATAGCAGTGTGTTTCTCCCCACAGAACAAGCTCTGGAAGAATTAGCACAAGAGTTTTGGAGATGATACTACTTGTTTCATTTTACAGTGCTTACCCTTTGACAATAGCTGCGTTCTTTGCTACATCTGAGGTTCATGATATTTTTATACCAAATCAAGAACTTAATTTAAAATACTGTCCAAAATAACATCTCATACAAACTTGGAAATCTTGGGAAAAAAAAATAACCAACCATTATGAAACTTTTAACCCACTCTATAATTTCAAGGGATAAAAAGCTCTTTATGTGAAAATGTATTGATAACATTTTGCCAAACACACAAGGACTCGAATCTTTCCCATGATGAAAAGATTTCTTCACCCATTGGGAAGATGTGTTTGCTTCTTATTTCATTCAACAAACACTTACTACACACAAGGTACATGCCAGCATTGCTTCAACCCTTGGAGATATACAGCCCTAGGACATTGTCCTCAAAGAACAGCAAGAGTGTAGTGTGAGATTTTTTAAAAAGGAAAAGATGAAGGCAATATGGCAGTGGTTGAGGGAGGGCTTTCCAGTGTCTGTGGAGTATGATGGAGGGGCACGGAGGTGGGGGTGGCCGTCCTCACTCCTCCGTCTGCGTGGAGGGTCAAAAGAGGAAATATACCAGCATGTGCTGGATTTGTACTATAAGCCAGACACTGCACTGTGCTGGTGGACACTCCAGCCTTACACCTTGCAAGTATGTTTGTACATATAGATTTTAAGAATTCAACAATTCTAGGAGATAGCTAGCCTTAATCCCATTTTCCAAATGATAAAACTCAGGCCAAAAGTGTTCCCAAATATATTCCTTACCCATCCCATTCTAAAGCCAAGTGTTGTAACACCGCTTCACCAGTCTTCAAAAATATGTAGCAATTGTCCAGATTTCACCATGAGCAAATGGACAAATGCCCAAATTAGCAAAAGTCGGGGTTAAATTTTGGAATAACATTAATTCAGGATTAATTAGGATTAATCAATTAATTAGGATTGAGATGGGAAAGGAGCAGCGGCAGATTGGGCAACCCTGGCATGCTTCAGTCAGGAAGGAAAACTAAATGTGGGTTGGTGCCGAAGGATTTTATAATGGGGACGGATGTTTTTAGGCGATAGCAGGTAGACACTGCATTGACAGGTGAAAATAGGGAGCTGTTGCCCAGGGAAGACCCCTTCATGCCCTGGCTATGAGATGCAGAGGAGTCATTGTTGTACTGGCTTCATGATTCTTCAGGTACCAAAGTCTGAAAACAACATTGGGTTTAGTTCTGGAGGCCCGGGTGATCCCTTCCTTCCAATCAATTGCTCTTCCTTCTGCGGAAGAACTGAATAAAGAGGGAACTTTCCATGAGGCTGAAATGTCATCCTTTGATCTCCAATCCACTATGCACCTGGACTGGACTAGCCTCATGACACCAGGATAGGACCTAATTCCAGCATTCAAGCAACTCCATGTCTGTACATATAAAACATGATTAAGGGGCAATCAAATAAGGACCACCACCCCTTCTGCCTGGCTGGACAGCAGTCCTGGAGGGCAGTCAGGTCCCTGGTGGCTGCTCCTGCTGCTGCTCAGCACCAGGTGGGCACAGTGGTCCAGGAGGACTGTGGCCTCCACACTCCTAGACGGGGAAAGCCCCCATGTGGAGGCTCCCGCTTTGCAAGGGATTTGGGGGATTGCCTCTACAGGAGCTTTTTCAAATATGCATCAAGTGTAGACAGTTCTGCAGGCCTGGGACTTCTGGACATCCCGGACTTTAGTCTTTCAGGCTCAGCTCAGGTGCAATGGGTAGGCAGAGGCTTTGTTAGTGCTTTGGACCTCCTGGGACCTCCTAGGAGTTAGCAACTGTCATGTCCACAGCAAACCCTTGCTGCTTATGTCCTTGGACCTTGGGCACACGGCTCATCTGGAGGCTAGAGGGTGAGCAGATTCTGAACAGGGTGCAGTTGGGAGGTCCAACACCCCTCCTGGGCTCAATCAGTCACCTCCTTCCTGGTTATGGCTGGGACCAAGGCGCTGGGACCCTGGAACTGTGTGACCTGGGGCCTGGGACCCAGGCACTGAGACCTCAAGCTGTGACCAGGAGCTGCACCCAGGGAGCTGGGTGGGCAGGTGGAATTCTGGGCACAATCTTTGCCAGCTTTATCTTCCTGAGCAATGTAGAATAAGAACAGGGATAAGGGCTTCTCTGTCTGATTTCTGAGTAAAAGGGAACTGTCTATATTTTCACCGTTACGTATGATATTTGCTATAGATTCTGGTTTTCCTATTTCTAAAGTACTCAGTTTTCATACTAGCAGATTATGAATCTTATATGTAATTTTTCTGCAACTAGTATGAATATTTTTCCTTTTGACATCTATATATATGGTAAGTTTGTTAACACATTTGTAATGTTGTCATTTCAACCTTTAATTCCTGAATTATAACAAATTTGGCATGGTCTATTGTATTTTTTATTTTTTTTTGAGATGGAGTCTTGCTCTGTTCCCCAGGCTGGAGTCTTGTGGTGCAATCTCGGCCCACTGCAACCTCCACCTGCTGGGTTCAAGCGATTCTCCTGCCTCAGCCTCCTGAGTAGCTGGGATCACAGGTGCGCGCCACCATGCCCAGCTAACTCTTATATTTTTAGTAGAGGTGGGTTTTCACCATGTTGGTCAGGTTGGTCTCAAACTCCTGATCTTATGATCTGCCCACCTCAGCCTCCCAAAGTGCTGGGATTACAGGCTTGAGTCACCGTGCCTGGCTGGTCTATTGTATTTTTATGTATATTACTTAGATTCAATTTCCCAATATTTTGCTAAGGAACTTTTTGCATCCTCATTCAGGAATGAAATAGCCTGCAGTTTACTTTTCTTTTGCTTCTCTTATATGATTTTTATTAAGGTTTTGATATGAAACCTTAAATTTTTACATCTCATAAATGGACATAGTGAGTGCTCTCTTATTTTCTGTTGTCTTAAAGACTTTGTGTAAGACTAAAATAATCTACTTAACATTTTGTAGAGCCCACCCAGAAAACTGCCTGAGTGTGATGTTTTCTCTGTAGAAAGATTATTAACTAAAAATTTCTTAAGTATGTGTTATTAAACAAGTTGTGGTTTCTATTCTTCCTTGACCTAATTTTGTTCAATAGTATTTTTGAGATGTTTGTATAATGAAAAGTTGTCCATTTTAGGGTAGACAGGCCTCCACAGTATTCTTTTACTATCTTTTTCTAAGATTTGATTTTGGCTATAGTGATCTTCATTTGCATATCTCATCTTTTACCTATTACCTTACTGCCTTTATTTTCTTTGGTTTGATTCCTTTCTGAAATCTCAGCCTTTTATTCTAGCATGTATTTCAGACTACACATTTTTTTCCTAAAATACTGTTTTAGCTATATCTTCAAATTTTTAATTAGAGTATTTTGTTACCATTCATTTCCAAGTATTGTATGATTTCCCTTATGCAATCTTCTACGATCAATTTTAAAGTGTGGTTTAAATTTTCTAAACATATCTTAGGTTATTTCTTGTTATTGTCCTTTAATTATATTTTAGAGCCATGTTTGTGTTTAGACATGCAATATATTACATGTGATGATCCTGATGCTTTGGTATTCGAGACTTGTTTAGGAAACGGCATGTGGTGAATATTTGTAATTGCTCTGTGTGCCTGAGAAAAATACATATTCCGTAACTGTTGGGTAAAGACTTCTTTAAAACAAAATCAAATAATTACAGTCATGGAAATATATACTTCTGCCACAACAGGGACCATCTGACAGAATTCAAGAAAAGGATGCAGCTGTAGCATTTCATTGATTTTTATCTTTCAGTCATTCAATACATATTTGAAGTATCTACCGTGTACCAAACACTGTTTTAGTTTTTGTGGAGCTTATATTTTAATTAGAGAAAGCAGATCATTAAGTATGCAGATAAGTAAACACATAATGCCATATTAGTGAGTCATACATGCCACAAAGACACCGGAATAGTGTGATGAGATTAGAACGCGGAGGAAGATCAGGATAAAGCTGTTGGAGTGGCACTGGAGCTGACATCAGCAGAATGAGCCGGTACAAAGTCCCTGAGGAAAGGACAAGCTTGGTGTGCTCATGAGACAGAAGGAAGTTCAGTAAGGGAAGGACAAGTGGAAGGTTACTATGTGGACTATCAGGGTTGAGACACTGAAGTTCAGGAGTCTTGTTGCCAGGCTCCAGAAGAGGTAGTTTTCCAATCAAGATGGGAGCTCACCTTCTATTGGTGCTCAGCCATGCATTAGAAGTTTCATGTCTCCAGTGGCTTGTTCAACTAGACTTCTCTCCCTCTAATTGCCATTTCATTTTAGAAAAACGAAATGAATGGGTGTGCATATAATTACCATTTAGGAAAGAGAGTGGCAACTAAATATAATTAATAAGGACCCAAGTTACTAGGAATATACAGTGTTGAAGCTGAACTGAATCTGAAATTTACCACAGCTCATTGCCCAAGCAAATTGCTGTTACGTAGCATAACTCCTAATTCATTAATAGAATTTTAAAATATTATAGTTTGTTTGTGCACGTGTGCATCTAGGATAAAATGATTCATTTAAAATGTTACTAAAGGCCAGGCTCGGTGACTCACCCCTGTCATCCCAGCACTTTGGGAGGCCAAGGCAGGCAGATGGCTTGAGCCCAGGAGTTCGAGACCAGTCTGGGCAACACGGCAAAACCCTGTCTCTGCAAAAAAATACAAAAATAACTGAGCATGGTGGCATGCACCTGTAGTCCCAGCTACTTGGGAGGCTGAGGTGGGAGGATTGGTTGAGCCTGGGAGGTCAAGGTTGCAGTGAGCTGTAATCATGCCACTGCACTCCAGCCTGGGCAACAGAGTGAGACTTTGTCTCAAAAAACAAAAATTAAATAAAAATGAAAAATAAAATGTTACCAGAATAAAATTTTCAGAATTTACAAGTATAAACCCATCAAATTGTGTTTCTTCTGAATGAGGAAGCTGGGGTTTGAGTTGGACGCATCCCCTTATGTTCTTGAACACCCTACTTCCCTCACTGAAGAATTATCATAGTGCAGTGTAGTCACATGAGGGCAGGACTCATGTCTATTTGGTCCACCACAGTAACAGTGCCCATCACTGTTACTGATATGTAGGAGCTTATTTTGTTGAGTTAATGATTAATTGCATGCAATCCGTTAGTCTATTCCACAATTCTGTCTGTAGATCATTCCTACTTGTAACATATTAATTTTATATATATATAAAAGTTCTAATTTAGAAATGGATGTAATCAGAACAGATAACATGGCTCTTTTTGTTAGGATTTAAAACACATAGCCCTATAAAGACAATGATAAAATATACTAATAGAGACGACTCCAGTAATTAAGTACTTAGTTTTAATTAAAAGAGGCAACAGTGGGGCTGCCTGAGGACACATCTATAAAGACACAAAGCAAAGAACTCACTGGGTTTTTGTGGGTATGACTTGTTTTTAAGCGTAAAGGAGCATTGATTCTGTGACCTCCACATGCCCCGTGTGCTCATACCTGCTGCCAGCCTCCATATCCACGGATTCTCTGGTCCATAACAGGAAAGGCAAATGGAAGCTGCTTAGGGACTACTTTGCATTATGGTGGAGATGGGCTGGAAAGAATGGAAATGAAGTTGGAGAAGAGAAAGAGTGGGGCTCTCCAGTTAGCCTTGGGACTTGATATGGGTCAAATTTTTCTTATTTTTTTAATTTTTCTTTTTTTTATTTCCATCGGTTATTGAGGAACAGGTGGTGTTTGGATACATGAGTAAGTTTTTAGTGGTGATTTGTGAGAATTTGGTGCACCCATCTCCCGAGCAGTATACACTGCACCCAATTTGTAGTCTTTTATCTCTCACCGCCTTCCTACCCTTTACCCGCGAGTCCCCCAAGTCCATTGTGCCATTCTTATGCCTTTGCATTCTCATAGCTTAGCTCCTACTTATGAGTGAGAACATACGATATTTGGTTTTCCATTCATGAATTAACTTCATTCACTTAGAGTAATAGCTCCAATCTCATCCAGGTTGCTGTGAATACCATTAATTCATTCCTTTTGATGGCTGAGTAGTATTCCGTATGTTGAAGCCTTAACCCCTAATGTGACTGTATTTGGAGGTAGGACCTTTAAGGAGGCAACCAAGAATAAATGGGGTCATAAGAGAAGGGCCCTAATCAGACAGTGCTGGTGTCATTGTAAGAACTGAAATGCCAGAGTTCCAGGGTTCTCTCTCTCTCTCTCTCTCTTTCTCCCTTTGTCCTCCCCTCCCACCGACATCCGCATGAGGATACAGTGAGAAGGCAGCCATCTACAAGCCAGGAAGCGAGCCCTCAGTGGAAACCAACTGTCACAGAACCTTGGTCTTGGACTTCCATCCTCCAGAACTGTGAGAATTAAACATCTGTTGTTGAAACCATCCAGTCTGAGGTATTTAGCTATAGCAGCCTAAGCAGACTAAGACACCCAGTGTGTAATTTTAAGACTAAACACAGGGAGAAGCTCATAACAGCAGCTTATATTTGCACAGTACTTTATGATATGTAAGGTATTTTCATTTATCTTATACAGTTTAATTGTTCCAAAAACCTTGCAAAATAGGTACAATTTACAGATTCAACAATGGCATAAATAACCAAGGCTAAGAGAGTTCATTTACCTTATCCAAACCAGAAGTAAACCAGATTTTATTCTTTCAATTTATTCATCAAAAAAAAAAAATACCACCAAAGAGAGAATGCATCCATTCCCACATTTCTTTGGTCAAAGTGAGACAAATTGTAATAATTCATCCTGCCTTTCTACCCTTTTCTAAAAAAATTTTATCTTGGTACATTAATCTGATTCTGCTTCAGGTGCTTAGAAAATCTGTCTCTATCTCTCTGTCTCAGCCAAGCCTCGCTTTACACATTCATATGCAGTCTTTCTTTTGAGACAAGGCCCAGAACATCAATTCAGGCTGTGCCTGTGAATTGCTGGTGTCACATAGCTCCATGCTCCACCTCTTTACAATGAAATGCCGGTAAAGTCTTCAGCAACCAATGTCAGCAAAAGCCTCATCTTCCTTCATGTATCCTATTTCTGGGTACTACCCAACTCTCCTGACTTTTACCATTAAGTTTGTAAATATCACATCAAAGCCACAACAATTTAGAAGCTATGGATTGTGTTTGATAATTATTCAATAAGCTTGGAGTTTTACCTAAAATCTATCTCTGGGGAAGGATACTCTTGAATAAATCTTGTCATTAAGCACATTTCTGGGGAGTATTTGTCCACTTACCTTCCCTCAAAAAATTGCTTTTTAAATTTGCAAGGTGACATTTTTTATGATACCTTAAAGGAACTTAATTCAGCAAAGGTCACCGAAGTCATGCAGGACCCATGAAATAAGATATGGGCATTTCCTAATCAGGAGAATAGGGCTAAAGCCTCTGTACTTGTTTCATGGTGGAAATACTAACCACCTATATTCAACTGGAAATAATTCAATCCTTTCATAAAGTCCCATGACATCTAGGTTTATGCCAGTCCAGTAAAATAAAATATATATACATATGTGTGTGTGTGTGTGTGTGTGTGTGTGTGTGTGCATGCGTGTAATTCCATACTGACTCATCCGTCATCTCTTCCCAGGACTACAGCAGCCTCACAGTGCGGTCCCCTCTTCCGCTCTTGTACTCTTAACATTTATGCATCAATCAGCAGCCAGGATGTTTCTTGGAAATATAAATCAGATCTTGCCCCTGACTCTGTGTTCAAGGTCCCCAGTGGCTTCCCGCAAGAATCAGCACAGCGTTCTCTCTCTGTGCTGTGGTCCAAAGTCTCTCTTAGCCTGCCGACTTTCCCATCACACTTCCTCCTGCTCTTCTTTCCAGCCCCAGCCTCCAGACTTTGCAAGGATTTTCAACACTTCAAGTTCACCTTTGCCTCAGGCCCTTTGGGGGAGTCTCTTTCCTTACATTTCCATTCTTCGAATCATGTGGGTCTCAACTCCAACGTCTTCTCCTTGGAGGAACTTCCCTGGCCAACTCACTGATGTCCTTGTCACCTCTCCCCTCTATGGCATCCTTCATTTCCATCATAACACGTGTCCCTTGCTGCCACAACTTAGCTTATTTATTTGCTTACTTGCCACTGATTTGCCCCTCCACATGCTTATCTCGAGGTTTCCTAGGCCAAGGACCTTCTTTGCTTTCCTCTACTCAGTCACAGCAGCTACACAAGTCCATGACCTTGAGAGGCACTCAATAAACATTATGAATCACTTTTATTTTCTCTTTAGTGGAAAATCAGATAAAATTTGGAATACTTTCATTTGGATAATCATCAATTAATAAATTTTTAAAATATATATTGATTTATATATAATTTACATTTATATAAATGTAAACTATATACAGATGAAGAATAATAGCTGTTAGCAAAAACAGATGGAATAAGACAGGTGTGGACAGGGCAGATGTGCACACACAGTACAGGTAGGAGAAGATAAGTCCATGGTGGGGGCAGAGAGGATGTGGCCGGGGTGTGACTTCAACAAGAAATGTTAATGTCTTCTTGCCCTATCCAGGAAGAGATGCAGGATCTCAAGCTTAAAATCTAACTCACAGAGCGGGATCGTTACAGTGTGTGTTCTCTGCCCAGGTTGTTGGTCCCACAGCGGCCAGCAAATTCTCTTAGGGCAGCAGTGCTGAGGGAGGCAAAGACCTTCTTAAAGTAGTGAAGACTCGGAGCAGAGTGTGCGCACTTCAAAAGCATCCTAGGGATGATTTTGAGGCCAGTTTGAGACCAGCCTGGCCAACATGGCGAAACTCCAACTCTACTAAAATACAAAAATTAGCCAGGCATGGTGGCATATGCCTGTAATCCCACCTACTAGGGGAGGCTGAGGCAGGAGAATTGCTTGAACCTGGGAGGCAGAGGTTGTAGTGAGCCAAGATTATGCCACTGCACTCCAGCCTGGGCAACAAAGCAAAACTCCATCTAAAAAAAAAAAAAAAAAAAAAGGAACCCTACAGGAAGCCTGATACATTGGTCAAAATTTCAGAAATGGTCTGCACTTTGGTATAGATTTTAGAGACAACAGCAAATATACTAACTGAAAGCAAAAAGGAGGACAGAGAGAGATTTTGTGACAGGGATCGTATGAGTTCGTTCTCGCATTGCTATAAAGAAATACCTGAGACTGGGTAATTTCTAATGAAAAGAGGTTTAATTGGTTTGCAGTTCTGTAGACTGTACAGGAAGCATAGTAGCTTCTGCTTTTGTGGAGGCCTCAGGAAGCTTCCAATCATGGCAGAAGGCAAAGGGGAAACAGGCATCTTACATGGCAGGGGCAGGAGCAAGAGAAAGAGAGGGAGCAGGTGCCACACACTTTTAAACAACCAGATCTCATGAGAACTCACTATCATGAGAACAGTACCAAGAAGATGGTGCTAAACCACATATAAGAAGTCTGCCCCCATGATCCAATCGCTTCTCAGCAGGCCCCACCTCCAACACTGGGGCTTAAAATTCAACATGAAATTTAGGAGGGAACACGAATCCAAACCATATCTAGAAGAAACACTTACCTTCTGTATTCTAGAGTTTATGTGGTTGCCTCCCATACCTAATGTCTTGAAGCCTGGGAATGGGTTTATTTTGAATTGGCTGTATCTCACATAAAGGCATTTACAACAATCTCTTGAGTTCATTCACTCATTTATTCAATAAAATATTTATTGCATGCCTATTATGTGCCAGACCCTGATCCTGTCTCTGGGAATATAGTCATGAAATTCCATTTTAGAAGAAGAACAAACTACTTTGCAAATGAGTAATGAATGAATGAACTCTTCATGGAGTTTTGGATTATATCAATTAAATAATAAAATTTCACTTCAGTAGGACTGCCCCATGTTGTGAATGAATCACTGGCAAAAAGCTGTTGGCCAGTAACTAAATGTTCGCGTTTCCCTTGAAAGTCACACTGCCATAGTTTAAGGCTAAATTCCAGGTCACAGCTGCGGCAGCGCTGAAAACGTGAGCAAGTTCATGAACTGCATTTGGCTGTATTCTCATTCGGCGACATCTGGACATCCTGCTGAAGTCTGAGATGCTTATGCAGGCTCTCTGAAGGAAAACACAACCTGTGTCTAGCCTTTGTTTTCTCTTTTCCTTTTCTGCAGAGCCTTTCAATCTTTGCTTTATTGTTTTCTTTCATAACCTCCTTATTTTCAACCCCTCAGCTCAGTTTGCAGATATGGATGAAATCTTCTCTGTTAGACTGTCGTTGATGGACTATGACAGCCGAGGACACCAGCTTGGAGTTTTCAAGGGTGTCTGGTTTGTGGGAGTTGATACTGGTCTTAGGCAAAAATGGGATGGAAGCCAAGCTATGACTGGTCAATTCACATGGCTGATGTGAGCATGGGAGCAGGTCAAGTAAGGCAGTCAGATCTGGAAGGCCTAAGAAGCTTGACACAAGCAGGTGGGACAGGTATCCTGGTTAGGGTCTACTGCTCCTTGGAAAGGCTTAGCTCTCCAATGAAAATCACTCCACTGCCTCTGCTAGTTTCCATGCAGGTGTCTTGGCTCTGCTAGTCTGATTCCCCTATATCAAATACTCCCTGACCCTAAAAGACCCTCTGCTCAGATATGTGGGTCATTTGCAGTCCTTTGAATCGGTCCGTCTTCCTCAGAGGGCTTGAGGTCAGCTCTCTTGGGTTGGTCTCCATTACAATGGCATTCACCAAGGAGCCACACTCCCAGAAGATTGAGATTCTAGAAGCAGAGTCTAGGCCTGTGCCTTCTTGCTGATATCAAACTCTATACATTACAAAAGATCCCCAACTCTCATTACCTCCTTCAAGCTGCCTTCCATAAATATATGTCCACAGAACGTATCACTCAGTCCATTTTCTCCACTGATCTTGAGCATTTACTGTCAGCTGGTAGCAATCCTTGGGGAAACATAGTTACCATTGTTAAAGTGGACTAAATATGGCCTGCAAAGGACTCCATACTTCTATATTTGAGTCCCTGTGGATGAACCGTAACTTAGCTTAATAGGTAGACAAGACTGAAAACCTAACTTAGGAGTATGCGCCTGTAACAATAGCTGAGTGTTGGCCAATCCCAGTTGCCATATTTCAATCACTCATAGACTGATGGGTGTTCAAACTGTGTTCAAACAAGGCAAACACCAGTAACCAATCCAGCTGTTTCTGTACCTCACTTTCAATTTCTGTAGATCACTTTTCTTTTTTGTCTGTAAATTTGTTCTGACCACAAGGTATCCCTGGAGTCTCTCTGAATCTGCTGTGATTCTGTGGGCTGCCCAGTTCATGAATCATTCATTGCTCAAACTCCTTTAAATTTAATTTGGCTGAAGTTTTTCTTTTAATGCTAACCATATCTCCATTCCAGAGAGCACCTCTGAGGGGTGTGTGTGTGTGTGTTGTTATCTTAACTACCCAAGCATTTTAAGGTATGCTTCCTAGAATTAATGTTTGAAGATGAATAAAAAATATTTTTATGCAGTGCTGGTATTTCACTCTTTAAAATCAATTTTTATTTTATCTATGTTTAATATTCTCTGATAGTTAATTGTTGGAATCGATTCTGTGTTTAATGGGATATAAAGAGCAATGACTAAGAATCAAAGCACATATGTTATAGTCCGCCCATATGACTGTGTGATCTTGAGTGAGTCACAACATTCCTGAGCCTTAAAAAATGTTACTTGAGAAACAACATAATCCCTGCCCAACTGGTACAGTGTTTTAAAAAATTAATTAGATATAAATTACAAAATTATTAACTCTATTAGGCTATGTAAATATAAGGTAGTTATGGTACAATTATCATCCTCTTCACAATTGCCTTATTAATACTCAACCATTTAGTTGCCTTTCTGTAAATTTTCATGAGGATAGAAATTATATTTGAATGTGCACAGTATGTCAGCCATTGAAGATGCTCAATAAATATTAGGTACAGAATAAATACATCTTCCAGATGAAAGTTTTCCAAAGAGAGGATAATAAGCCACTAGTGAATCATAAACTGAATTTAATGAGGCATTACAAGCATTTAAAAAAAAGTAGAACAGAGTGAAAAAAGAAAATATTAGTGCAGTATACTGGCAAAACTGAGAATTATTTGGTTGCTATTTGTTATAGATGTGTATGTATATTTGGAAATGTATGAATCTCAGGGTAGAGTGCACTTATACTTTTTACCTGAAGATATAATCAAAAAGTCTAAAAAGTACTTCTTTAAACAAGAGGAATTTAAATTTTTAAATCCTTGGAACATTACACAACAGATAATATGAGTGAAAAAAGTTTTGTGTCAAAAGTACTGAAGAAACTTCCTGGGTGAACACAGGTACAAGTCAGCGTTTTTCGGTTCTCCCCATGGACATTATACCAAAGCAGCAGGGAGAACGTTAAAAGACAAAACAAAATGAAACAAAAACAAGCATATAATCTCCAGTTTTAGTGGAACTTGATGATACATATAAATCCACAGATCTCTAAATACATACAAAGCTTGCCCAAATCCTCCAAGATCATGCAGAAACACTGGTGTAAGGAAGGAAGGAGGAGAAGGTCAGTGGTAGTGAGAGACCCAGCAGGTGACCTTAGAATAGGCCAGCAAAAGACACTCCTGAAGGCAAGCGGGTACCCCAAAAAGAACATATTTTGCTGCCTGTGTGGCAACAATGGGTCGGGAAACTGGGGAGAGCAAGGATGGTGGAATAATTGTTTCTGTATCTATTTTGAATCAGGGCAAAGATAACTTAGGGGTAGAGAATGACTCACCTGAGGTATTAGAGAAAAACAGTTTCTGTGGCAGTGGGCATCTACTGAACCTTCCAGCTCTGAACCCTAGATTGTCAGCCTGCTAGTCTTAGTTTCTCCCCCAACAGCCACCACTCTCAGAAATTCCTGTGAATACGACTTAAGAAAATCCAACCTATTCAATGCTAAGTGTTAAAAGACACAACAATGATCTAACAATAAATAAATGTAAAAAAACTTGATATATGATGACTTACCAGAAAAAGTATTGCCATATAGCAAAAGAAAGTTGTTCCCATTTCCCTATGAAACACAAGGCTTTGAAACAGTTTACTCTGAGCAGAAAGACCACAGCTCAGAAATGCAAGACTGGAGGGAAATAATTGAAAGCTGATAAAAGGAGATTTTTTAAAAAGTTACTAGTATAACTTGAGAACAAAAGTAGAAGAAAAGAAATGGAAAGATCATAAAAATGAAGTGTGGGAAAATAGGTACTTCACAAAATCTACCAAGAGACACGGCTAGAAATGAGAGATGTGAAAAACGTACAAAACTAAAACAAATAGAAATGAAAACAAAGGACTAAAAAGGATAAGAAAGAAAATAATAGCCATAAAAAGGCTAGAAAATAGAGCTAACATACACATTGGCGTCTCCAAAGAAGCAATAGAACACACTGCCACAGTAGAATACAACAGACATTTAATGTTATTAAAAAAAACAATTATTGGCCAGGCATGATGGCTCAAGCCTGTAATCCCAGCACTTTGTGAGGCCAAGGCAGGTGGATCACCTGAGGTCAGGAGTTAGAGACCAGCCTGCCCAACATGGTGAAACCCCATCTCTACTAAAAATACAGAAAATTAGCCAGGCTTGCTGGCCGGCATCTGTAATCCCAGCTGCTCAGGAGGCTGAGGCAGGATAATCTCTGGAACCCGGAGGCAGAGTTTGCAGTGAGCGGAGATCGCACCAGTGCACTCCAGCCTGGGCGACAAGGGCGAAACTCTGTCTCAAAAAAATAAAATGAAATAAAACATTTATTTTCCTGAAATGAAAGAATACTTGAATCTATGTGTGGAAAGTCTTCATTATGTGCTAGAGGAAATTGATGTGAAATGGTCAACTTTGAGACCTGCACGAATGAAGCTAACGGTTTTAAAGATAAAGGAAGAATTCTTAGGGCAGCCAGGGAAAACATCACAATAAGAATGGAAAAAAATGTAATCTCAAATTTCCCCCCAAAATCGTTAACACCAGAGGAAAGTGAGGCAGCACCTACATGACTCCTCCAGGAAATGTGAGGACCAATGATTTGATATCTAGCCAATCTGTCTCTCAAATATTAAAACTATAGGCAAACTTTATGAAAAACAAGAACACCAGGAGTATGACTACAGTATTGCCAAGAACCCGCACAATAAAATTACTAGAGGATGAACTGCAGCCAAGAAGTGATGGGGGAAACTGTCACCCTAGTGGTGAACATTGAATAGAATGAACTGTAGACATGAAACAGAAATTCCCATGAGTATTGCTGAGATATAGAGAACTACAAATTTCATATGCCTAGGCAACCGAGAAATGACAAAATTGGGAGGGAAAAGGAGAAGAAAGGTGAGGCAGAGTCAATTTTTTGATGACTTTAGCTGTGATAGCTGGCTATTGGATCGTATCATTTAAAGATGAAAAATCAAATAACAGAAGTATAAGCATATTTGACAAGACAAAAGTCCACGTTAGCAAAGACTTCATGGACTGAAATTAGGGGATTGAACAGAGAAAGATGACCAGAAGGGCAAAGTACACATTATTTTCAACATGGTTTACAATAAGGAAACAGTAGATACTGTCTAAGTAAATAGAGACTAGGGGTGTTATATTAAAGTTTAGCACTAAAGGTAAACATGAAAGAAAAACACAGATTTTTCTAAGTATTAGAAAAACCACAAAAAATAAAAATGATCATGAAAGTAGACCACATAATTTTAAACAACAAATCAGAAAAGGTAACATAAAATGTCAGAGGAGTTTCATGTGTCAACTTGTCTAAGCCACAGTCCCCAGTCATTCAGCCATTTAGGTGTTGCTAAGGAAGTATTTTGTAGATGTGATTGAAGTCCACAATCAGTTGACATTAATTAGGGAGATTACTCTAGCTGATCTGGGTGGTTCTGATTCAATCCATTGAAAGGTCCCAGGAGCAGAGCCGAGGCTCTCCTGAAGAAGAGATCCTACCTGTGAGCAGCAGAAGCTCTTCTGGCCTGTGAATCACAACCTGTCTTTGCTGGTGGCCTGCCCTACAGATTTTGGACTTGCCTTGCCAGGTCCCACAACTGTATAAGTCAATTCCTTACAAAAATATGTTCATGTATATCTGAGCTACTGGTTTGTTTTTTTCTGGTTAAACTGACTAATAAAAGAGGCAAGTTCAAGTATATTTTTCTTATCAATAAATGTAAATAGTATATCTCTCCTATTATAAGAAAAAAATTTGAGAAAGAATCAGAAAACACAAAACACAATCCAACTCTATAATGTGGAAAAAGACACATCTAAGCAAAGTGATTGAGGAAACTTGAAATTAAATGAATGGGCATAGCATAATGGTAAATGCAAGAATTATATAACTAGTGGTAATGATCTTAATGCCAGGCAAGATGGAATTCATTGCACAAAATATAAAATGACCCAAAGTTGATGAGCTTCTATTTTTAAATAATACTCTCCACAATGAAGAAACATTGGAATCTAGATACTTAGGGTTAGGGATTAGAACCACTTTTTTAATCACTACATTCTAAGTCCTTGGTCAATTTCTGACACATGGCAATTCCTCAATAAAAATGCTTGCCGAGTAAATTTATGAGCGGTTTTGAAAATCTATGCATAAAGTATCATATCAGCAACATTTACAAAGTAGAAATTAGAAGAGATACAGCACGAAATTTAGCATACTGGGATAACAGACATTAATTCCTCTCTCTTATCTCACCAGCCATGATATATCAAGTGGATAAAAAATAAGTAAGACTATTTCCTGTGCCTGAGTTTTCTTGAAAGATGAGCCTGAAACAAGGATTAAAGTGCTGACATTGTTTCAAGACCCAGGCTGTGAAAATGAGAGGAAAAATCAGCGAGACAAAGGGACAATTTCAGCACTGCAGTAGGCGAGAAGGCGGTGCTGGCCTCTCAGGTGTTTAGCATTTGTGTTCACGCGACATGTGATACTTCTCGAGAAGATTTTCAAGGAGAAATGACCCTTCAGAACCTTCCTGAGAGAAGAAAGAGGCAGAATCGGTCTACCTAGCTTCAAATGGTCAAAGTTCACCCACAGGAGCTCAGCTCGTTGCACTTTCAAATTTCATCATCTACGCTGTCAGGAGCCACCCAAGAAGCCAGGTGCCATGCGCGCTGCCTTTTACCATGCGCGCTGCCTTTTACCATGCGCGCTGCCTTTTACCATGCGCGCTGCCTTTTACCATGCGCGCTGCCTTTTACCATGTGCGCTGTACCTACAGAATTATGTTCAGCTGCATTTCAGCAAGGTACTGAAAACTAGCTAAATGCCCATCAATAGTAGCATTCGAATAATTTGTATTGCTTCTATTCACAGAATTCTATCCATCTGTAAAAACGCATAATGAAGATATTCTATAGGTACAAACAAAAATATTTCAAATACACATTTAACTGTTTGGTACAAAGGGGTAGAAATACATATACATATTTGTATCTTATTGTGTTTAAAGAAAAAAAATCCGCAGAGAATTTGGTAGTTCTTTGGTGTTGTGTAGTCAGGCAAGGGGAAGAATATATACATCAAAATTTATTATTTCTAATAAACTGCAGAAATCTGAAGTATTTAGGTATTTCTAAACCTAAAGTATTAGAAACATTTGACATGAATCTAGATTGATTTAAAATTCTGGAGGAATCTTTGGAAATAAATTTCAAAGTCTTCAAAAATAAATACACCCTAAAGCAGGGGTCCCCAACCCCCCAAGCTGAGGTCCAGTGCTGGGCCTTGGCCGTTTAGGAACCAGGCTGCATAACAAGAGGTGAGCACTGGGCAAGCTAGCATTCCCACCTGAGCTCTCCTTCCTGTCAGGTCAGTGGCAGCATTCGATTCTCGTAGGAGCACAAACCCTATCATGAACTGCACCTGCGAGGGATCTCAGTTACACACTCCTTATGAGAATCTAATGCCTGATGATCTGAGGTGGAACAATTTCATCCTGAAACCATTGCCCCAACCTCCCACCATGCATGGAAAAATTGTCTTTCATAAAACCAGCCCCTGGTGCCAAAAAGGTTGGGAACAATTGCCCTAAGGGACCAATAATCTCATTTATAGGAAATTTCCATAGACACTAAAAATACATTTCATAAACCTTGTAAGTTATTATCAGTATGGATAAATTGGAACAGATAGATATTTTCTTAAAATAATGACAGATATCTCTTAATGGGGAAACTTTAGAAGCATTCCAGACAATATTGGCTAAAAACCTGTAAAGTGAAATGCTATCAGCATTGCTTAACACAATCATTAGCTGCTTCAATTAGAGAAGCAATAAAAGCATATAAAATACAAAGAAATGAGCCAAATTATCTTTATTTGAGGATATTAACCCTTTAATCTCTCCAAGCCTTATAAACTTGAGGTAGCAGTCCGAATATTTTCCCAGTTTAATGGTCTTTGTTCCAACATTTATCAAATGTACCATACCTCTGCCACTCTTACAATATAGCGTCTTATGCCCATAGGCCTGTTTATTCCTCCATTCATTCCATTGTCATATTTGTCAACCTCCCCACTGTCAGTACTCTTTTAGAGTCTATATTTTTGTGCTGTTTTGATATTTGATATTGTTTACCCTTTTCAAAATTAGAAATAACTTTTTCATGACTAAAAGTACCATAAATGAAGTCCAAAGAAAATTAGTATATTGATGACATTGTAAATACCTACAGCAGCAACATTAAGTGATGTGCAACCTCTTCTCATATAGTCAGCATCGGTTAGGGAGTGAGCTAATATGTATCATCATCTGTTTGTGGGAGAGAAACTGAGGCAACCATTACAGAGGAAAATATCTTTTAAATTTAGGTGAATTATCTGTCTTTATCTTTTTACTTATTCAAATATCATCATCCTATCAATGAAACACCCAGACATGCACAGCAAAAATGAAATTCAGTCATCTTTAATATTTTGCTGAATTTCAGTTATATGAAAACCAAGCAATTTTTCATCTCTATTATGAAGTTTTATTTGTTAAGGTTTGTGGATCAAATCTACTTTAGTTAACAATTTCTTGGTGTGCTTGATATTTTTGTCAAATGGGCTTCTATATTAATACATTCTTTTTTTTTTTTTTTTTTTTGAGATGGAGTCTCACTGTGTCGCCCAGGCTGGAAAGCAGTGGTGCAATCTCAGCTCACTGCAACCTCTGCCTCCTGGGTTCAAATAATTCTCCTGCCTCAGCCTCCTGAGTAGCTGGGACTACAGGCATGCGCCCCTATGCCCAGCTTATTATTATTATTATTATTATTATTTTGTATTTTTAGTAGAGATGATGGGGTTTCACCATGTTGGTCAGGCTGGTCTCAAACTCCTGACCTCAAATAATCTGCCCACCTTGCCCTCCCAAAGTGTTGGGATAACAGGCGTGAGCCACTGTGCCTGGACTAACATATTCTTATCATGGGCCCTGCAGGTTTATGAATGGCCCCCACCGCTGCCCATCACCTTTAGCATCTGTGGGGCCCAGGCCACCACTCGTCAGCTGTGGCTCCTTAGGCCAGTGGCTTTGGCTTTCTGGGCACTGGCTGATAAAACCTGCCTTCTCTAGAGTCGGCCTTTCTGGAAGCGCTCTACACACCAGTCCTTTCACTTAGATGCGGTGTTCTTATTGCCAGCGCAGACTGCAGCTTCCTCAAGGGCACTGGCCAGGACCTGACGGGCATTTCCCGCAGATTCAGCCTCAGAGCAAGGTGTGTTCTGGGGGCCTCCAATCCCAGGCTCTTGTGGCTGTCATCCTACAGGGAAGGGAGGACCAGAGGCTTTGAGGCCACCAGGCAGGCAACCCCTTGACAATTAGTTGGGTAAATGGACCTGATGCTGTGTGGCCTGGCCCCCTGCAGTCCTCTTCTACCCTGACACTGCCTTTGGCTCCTCACTCTGGGTCTACTGACCACAGTATCCCTACCTCTGGCCAAAGCAACCAGAATATGCCCTGTGTCCATTGACATCTGGGTTAATGAATCTCCATGGCCCAGGTCACCACTGTTCCTTCTCAACACCTTGTGGAAGACCAGAAACCACCCACTGGAGAGGGTTATGGGGATGTCTGGGACTGAGAGCAGAATAGAAGCACCCACGCATGTGTGTGTGTGTGTGTGTGTGTGTGTGTGTGTGTGTGTGTGTTCAATGTGGGCTTTCTGTGGAGGTCTGAGCCATCAGGTACTCTGGAATCCTGGTGCTAAATAATCTCCACTCAAATGTTAATGCAGGAGCCACAGGCAGAGGCTCCCCGGGAGTCCTGGGCAGATATGGCCACCATCCATCATCTTGGCTGTCAGTCAAGCTGCATCCTGGATGACACTGGGCTCTTGGCTGTGCAGACCAATCGTCCCCACCTCCCACGCACCTCCTCCCTGCCCGTGCACACATGCCCAACTCAGGCCTGGGACCCTACTCTCCATCTGAGTTTCAAACTCATGCCCATTGGGATAGAAATGTGGGGGATGCATGGCATTTATTGCTCCAGAAAGATTTGGTCTTGTTTGAGTAAAATGCAAGGTTGAATTAGATGAGCTCACAAATCCTTTATAGCATTCTTCTCTCAATTCTAAAATTCCCTAACTCTACAATTCTATTAGAATGGTGCAAAAGTAATCACAGTTTTTGCCATGTTTTTTTAAAAGTAATGACAAAAAAAACCACAATTACTTTTGCACTAACCTAATAGTACCAGAGTTTACTTAGAGGTAACTTATGGATGCTTAATTCAGCTCAAGTTTTATCCAATGCCCAGTTTTGTGAGACTAGCATTTCACATCTTTACAATGCATCTAAAAAGATGGAAATTAATACAGCAAAACTAGCTATGCTTAATTAATATGATTTTGAAAATAGTGTTGCAATTTTTTTCTGAATGTATTTTGCTTACAAGAAAACAGAAATCTTCCAATGAGAGGGAAATTGAAGTGGGAAAAAAATCAATGTTCTTCTGGACCACTTTGGTCAAGACCTTTCAGCTAGTAAATTAGTTTAATATGTGTACAAAAATAATTCTGAGTTGAGTTTTTAAAGTCAATTATAATACCGTAAGTTCAAATTCCCTTGTTTTAAGTAAAACAATAAGATAGAACATATGTAAGTTTTTAAAGAGGAATCTCCCAGCGGGGGAGGGTTGTGGGGAAGCCACCAAGTCAATTTTATGCCTTTTGTGAATGTTTTGGACTGCAAAACAAGAGTATTTTCCAAAATCACATCAGTTGCAGCCTTGGGTGGTTGGGGAGGGAAGGCCAGGAGAAATGTCCCGGTGCATGCTTCTTTCCCAAAGTTGTCGGGCTGCTCACAGCTCACCAGACTCCTGTTCTGCATTTTTCACTCACCAGGAGGCCTTGGTCCACACATGTTCCCAGGCTTCATAGGCTGGAAAGGTCAGGGAATGAACTAGAGAGGAGAGCATGCCGCACTGACCATGGAGATTCTCCTAATACAGAGGACACACAAGAATAGAGTGTTCGTGCTTTTATTTTCTGTGGCCTGTCTTAGTCTGTTCAGGGCACTATAACAAAATACCATAAACAGGGTGACCTATAGATGGTAGAAATTTATTTCTCATGGTTCTGGAGACTGGAAGTTTGAGATCAGGGTGCCAGCATGGTCAGGTTCTGGAGAGAGCTCTCTTCCCTGTTGCTGACTGCTGCCTTCTTAGGGTGAGGGAGCTCCCTATTTGGCAAAGGCATAAACCCCAATCATGAGGGCTCCAGTCTCATGGCCTCATTTGTTCCCGTAGGACCCATCTCAGAATACCATCGTATTGGGTATTTCAATATATCCAACATATGAATCTGGGGAAGACACAAACATTCAGACCATAGAATGGCCCCACAGGTATTTTTAGAGAAGGGCTAAGTTGTAGCTACTGGGGGTGAATGTGAGTGAGGGGCCAGGGAAAAACACAGAGGCAAGGGAGTGTTCTGACAGCTTGAGAGGCAGCAATCAGGGAAATGACAGTGGGAACCCAGGAGCTCAAAGGCTGTGAGGTCTGACCAGGTTGGTCTATACCAGAAATTCTCATATTATTCTGCCATATCCCCAAGCACAGAAACAGATTGTAAACAGGTGAGACACAATGCTCCACTGTGTAGATAAAGGGTTGCTAACTTCTAAGAGGGCCTGGCAGTAAGCAACATCAGGCTTCCCGGAGCTCCTCTCCAACCACCAGCACAACAATTAGGGCCACATCTCATGGACCACCTTTATTCCTGCAATATTTCATGAATTTCCCCAGGGAATTAACTACATGGGATATTGCCAAATGGCTTCTATCCACCCCATTCTCCCAATAGATCCAAGAACAGGTGAAATTTATTCAACCACAAAAATGTATTGTATCTCTCCCATGTGTCAGTCATAGTTCCAGGCACTGAGGATACAGCAGTAAACAGGAGCAGAGTCCCTGCTTTGTCTCGCATATGTCCTAGTAACAGAGGTAGATGAGATAAACAAACAGACAACTTACATGTAATATGTCAGAGAGCAAAAAGTGCTGAGGATTAAAGTAAGACAGAGGAAGGGAGAGAACATGATGGGGATGATATTTGATCAGGTTAGGTAGTCACATTCCCTCTGACAAGGTGGCCATTGAGAAGAGACCTACAGGAAATAGAGAACTATGCAGACATAGTGTATGAGCCCATTTTCACACTGCTATAAAGATATTCCCCAAGGTGTGTAATTTATAAATAAAAGAGGTTTAATTGACACAGTTCTGCATGGCTGGGAAGGCCTCAGGAAACTTACAATCATGGTGAAAGGGGACAAGGCACATCTTACATGGCAGCTGGTGAAAGAGAGCAAGCAACAGCAGGAAAAACTGCCTTATAAAGCCATCAAATCTCATGAGAACTCACTCACTATCACTATAACAGCATTGGGGAAGCCACTCCCATGATCCAATCACTTCCCACCCTCCACACATGGAGATTATGGGGATTATAATTTGAGATGAGATTTGGGTGAGGACACAGAACCAAACCATATCATTCCTCCCTAGCCCCTCCCAAATCTCACATCCTCACATTTCACAACACAATTATGCCTTCCCAACAGTCCTCCAAACTCTTAACTCATTCCAACATTAAGTCAAAAGTCTAAGTCCAAAGTCTGAGGCAAGGCAAGTCCCTTCCACCTATGAGCATGTAAAATCAAAAGCAAGTTAGTTACTTCCAAGATACAATGGGGGTACAGACATTGGATAAATGCTCCCACTCCAAATGGGATAAATTGGCTACAGGCCCCATGCAAGTGCAAAATCCAGTGGGGCAGTCATTAAATCTTAAAGCTCCAAATAATCTCCTCTGACCCCATGTCTCACATCAAGGTCACATTGACACAAAGGGTAAGCTCCCACAGCCTTGGCAGTTCCACTTCTGTGGTTTTTCATGGTACAGCTACCCTCCTGGCTGCTTTCACAGGCTGGCATTGAGTGTCTGCAACTTTTCCAGGCACACTGTGCAAGCTGTTAGTGCATCTACAATTCTGGCATCTGGAGGGCAGCAGCCCTCTTCTCACAGCTCCACTAGGCAGTGCCCCAGCAAGGACAGTGTGAGAGGTCTCTGACCCCACATTTCCCTTCCACACTGCTGTAGCAGAGGTTCTCCATGAGGGCTTAGCCCATACAGCAGACTTCTGCCTGGACATCCAAGTATTTCTATACATCCTCTGAAATCTAGGCAGAGGTTCCCAAACCTTAATTCTTGTCTTTTGCACACCTGCAGGCCCAACACCACATGGAAGCCTCCTAGATTTGGGGCTTGCACCCTCTGAAGCCACAGCCCAAGCTGTACCTTGGCCCCTTTTATCCCTGGCTGTTGGGATGCAGGGCACCAAGTCCCAAGGCTGCACAGAGCCACAGGGGCCCTGGACCCAGCCCAGGAAACTATTTTTTTCTTTCTAGGCCTCTGAGCCTGTGATAGGAGGGGCTGCCACAAAATTCTCTGACATGCCCTGGAGACATTTTCCCCATTGTGTTGGCAATTAACATTTGGCTCCTCATTACTTATGTTAATTTCTGCAGCTGGCTTGAATTTCTCCCTAGAAAAAAATGAGTTTTTCTTTTCTATCATATGGTCAGACTGCAAACTTTTCAAACTTTTATGCTTTTTCTTTTCTTGAATGCTATGCTGCTTAGAAATCTCTTCTGCCAAACAGGCTAAATCATCCCTTTCAAGTTCAAAGTTTCACAGATCTCTAGGGCTGGGGCAAAATGCCACCAGACACTTTGCTGAAGCATAGCAAGAGTGACCTTTGATCCAGTTTCCAAGAGGTTCCACATCTTCATCTGAGACCACCTCAGCCTGGACTTCATTGTCCATTTCACTATCAGCATTTTGGTCATAACCATTCAATAAGTTTCTAGGAAATTGTAAACTTTCCCACATCTTCCTGTTTTCTTCTGAGTCCTCCAAAATGTTCCAACCTCTGCCTGTTACCTGGTTCCAAAGTCGCTTCCACATTTTTGGTTATCTGTATAGCAGTGCCCCGCTCCACCCCACTCCTGTCCGACTCCCATTTACTGTATTAGTTCATTTTCACACAGCTATAAAGACATTGCTGAGACTGGGTAGTTTATAAAGAAAAGAGGTTTAATTGACTCAGTTCCACGTGGCTGGGTAGGCCTCAGGAAACTTACAATCATGGCTGAAGGGGAAGAGGCACGTCTTACATGGTGGCAGGTGACAGAGAGAGAGCAAGAGCAGGGAAAACTGCCTTGTACAACAATCACATCTCATGAGGACTCACTCATTATCACAAGAACAGCAAGGGAAACCACCACCATGATCTAATCACCTCCCACCTGGTACTTCCCTGGACATGTGGGGATTATGGGGATTACAATTCAAGATGATATTTGGGTGGAGACAGAGCCAAATCATATCACATAGACAGGGAGTGGATTCCCAGAAGAGTAGACAGCAGATTCAAAGACCCATGCCTGGAGCTGCAGGGCAGGATGGACAGAGGAGGCCAGAGCACTGAGCAGAGTGGTGGGTGGGCTGTGGTCCTTAGTGGAAAGGTAGTTTATGAACAACTAGCCTCAGCAAAAATTAATTGAATTATGAAGTGATATTATGCAATAATTATTAACAATTATATTAATAAAATGTATGTTAATAATTACATTAATAAAACAATAACTAAATAGACAACTTGGAGATCATATAAAGTTAATAACTTTCCAGCTTATCACAAAATTGATTTAAGCAGAGAAAGGAAAATATTTATGGAGAAAACTAACAAACACTCTCCACAATGTGGCTGTGTCAGTCATCAATTTATTGCCTCTTAGATCCAAAGGCACCTACTAGACCCACAGTGGGATTCCTTTCCCTTTTAAAGTAAGCAGGGGTGTTAGGCAATAGAGACACTGCAGGGGCCATGCAGGGCAGCTGGGTTTCTGTGATTACTCGAGAAGGTGGGGCCCTTGGTTGGGGGGTGTGAGGACACCCAGGGAGTCTGCCCCATCCTCCAACTTGAACGCAGCCCTGTGCACACCCCCAGCCTGGGAGGCAATGACCCACAGACACTGAGAGCCACTTGCCCCATGCTGCCTGGACAACCTCAGCAAACTCCTGTGCTGTGCAGCCTGTTTGCTCCACCTGTGTCCAGAGAGTCACATGGAGCAGTTGTCCCTTGCCCAACACCTCCCTGCCCCATGTCTCTTTCTTCCCCCTCCTGATGCAGTCACACAAGTTTGGCCCCCACCCCCTCCTCACTCACTCCTTCTGTGCACTGTCCCACCTGTCCTGGGACTGCCTTCTCCCCAGACCCACACCCTACACTCAGAGGGAGGCCTCCTGCTTTCCCAGAGATTGCTGGCCAGCTTGGGCCTGGCTAAACTATGAACTTCTCTACCACCCAGGGGGTTAAACTGTATCTTCTCCAACAAGGTTTGACTCCCTTCCAACTTTTTCCTTACTTGGGTACTCTCTCTTGGTCCTAGTGTACCAGAGAGTTTCCTTACATCAGTTACTCTTTTGTAGTAGTTAGTAATTCTTTATATTGAACTTCCCTGTTTAACCTGTTGCATGGATT
The DNA here is from genome assembly GCF_000001405.40 of Homo sapiens. Lineage (NCBI taxonomy): Eukaryota > Metazoa > Chordata > Mammalia > Primates > Hominidae > Homo > Homo sapiens. The sequence goes on along the minus strand of NC_000002.12, from coordinate 7,798,981 downwards.
CTGTCTTCTGATTAGACCCAGACTCCTACAAAGACCAAACCAAGTTTTTAAAAGCTTCCAATTTAGAGAAGATTTCATTTTTATGCAAGCTCTTTATGTTTGTTTTTAAAAGTTAATCTAGCATACAATGCAAAAATAAACAAAAAAACAAAATAGAATATCTTACTTGTAAACGTTATTGCAAAGATAGTAAATAAGAATCATAACAAATGGCAGTCCATTAGAAAGTAGCAGAGGTAAGTGCGAGGGGCAATTTTGTGTGTCAACCTGTCTAGGCTACAGTTCCTAGTTAGTCCAACCTTCATCCAGGTGTTACTGTGAAGGTATCTTGTAGGTGTGATTAAAGTCCACGATCTGTTGACATTCATTAGGGAGATTAATGTGGGTGGATCTGATTCAATCATTTGAGAGATCTGAAGAGCAGCGCAGAAACTCCTCTGAAGTAAAAATTCAGCTAGTGGATCAGCTCTAGCTGGTGCCTAAGAGTTCTGGCCTGCCACTCCAGATGGCCAGCTTTATGGATTTTGGAATGGCATAAGTCAATTCCTGCAATAGACCTCAATATCTATATGCCACTGGTTCTGTTTTACTGAGGGAACCCTGACTGATATTCATTGTAGGTATCTAAAAATAGATGTTATAATCATGAGAAAATTGTCAGGAAAACTGGATTGCATCTCAGTTCTTAGATCAAAATAAATGATTAATGGATTTAAAAGGGAATAAAAACATGATTTAAAGCATAAATAATTAGGAATGGTAAAGTCTTTCTCAGTATGATACAAAACTAAAAAGCCACAAAGTAAAAAAAAAAAAAAAAAAAGTGAGACATTTGAATACATACAAATGTGAAGAAAATCTGAAGGGCAAAAAACTCATAAAATGAAGTAGAATGTCAAAGACAAAAGGAGGTTGTATTTGCAAGAGGATGATTTATTTACCTTCTATGTAAAATACCAACAAAATAAAAAAGAAATAAGCAACCCATTGAAAGTAGTCAAAGATGTAAAGATACAATACTTAAAATTGGAAGTGCCAATAAACAAAAAGCAAATCAAAAAGAAATTTCCTCTGTTCTAAGAAGTTTAAATTAAGAAAATTTCAGAAATGATGGGTATAAATGATTTGAGTAGAGGATCAAAAAATAGAGTTCCTCAGGTACTGTTATTGGAGCATACATTTTTGAAAATCTTTAAAATGCAAATATACAATACCTATTATACTTATTTTAGGATATTCATGCTATGTGAATCAGCAATTATATTCTAGGAATTTATTCTAAGGAACAGTCACAGTTTTTCAAAATCTATGTAAAATCATATTCTTTACATATTATAAACAGTGGAAAATTTGGAAACCAATCAAACATATTGTTTTGTTTGCTTCTGATCCGTAAGAATATCATGGAGCCCATTCATCGTAACAGTTGTTGGCCAAGCTCCCCCTTTTTCTGATGTGTACAGAACTCCGTCTCCAAAACCCTGTCCAAAACCACTAGAATTGTCAGAAATTAAGAGAAACTTAATTTTTCTGGCAGGTTTCTTTTTCTTTTTCTAATCTTTTTTTTTTTTAAATTATCTTTGTTCTAACAATTTTCTTATCTTGACTGGAGAATCCTACCCACCCCCAGTGAAATATTCAAAGACTTTAACTCTGACTTCCTCCTCTAATTCTCTGCTTCCCAATCTCCAAACCAACGTCTGCCATTCTGTTTCAGATCCAAGCAAACGGTGAAGCTGTGTAGGTTGCTGGATGCCTCCGTGGCTGTCTCATATTTTTCAACTAGTCCATGCTTCCTTCAGAGGTTGTGGCTTCTGGTGCTTGGTATGTGGATGTCTCCCATTCTGAATCCAATTCGATTCTAGGAATTTATCCTAAGGAACAGTCACACTATTTTTCAAAATCTATGTAAGATTATATTCATTACATGTTATAAACAGTGGAAAATTTGGAAACCGATGAAATGTATTGTTTGATTGTTTTTCGAAATCTATGTACAATCATGTTCATTACATATTATAAACAGTGGAAATCTGGAACTCAATCAAACATATTGTTTTCTTTGCTTCTGATCCATAAGAATGTCACAGAGCCCTTTCATGGTAACAGTTGCATGTGCATATTAAGGTGTGGTCAAGTATGAAGCAACACCCTTTAACAGGTAAGTGTTGCACTTTTGACGGGTGAGTGGACCTAGCTCTACAAGAACATCCTCCAAACGAGCCACAGAGGGTCTGCATTTCCTCACCTGATGAGCAGGTTCCTGATCTGTGGGTGTCATGGCCTTGTCTAAGGTTCAGTCACCTCCCTCACTGGGTTTGTGGACTCTTCCATTTGGATAGCCTAGCCTGTTTATGCTCTCCCTTACTGAGTTCCAGAACTGGAACTTACCGGACCTCCTCTGGTAAGGACCTCTGGCAAACCCCATGCTGGGGTTTCCCCCATGACATTCCCAAGCCAGATTGTAGGTTTGGGTGGGTGAGGAGTGGGGTGGAAGGTGCCGGGTCTTCTGAGTGTCCTCAGGTCTTGTGTAGATAACAGCAAAAGGAGAATCAGGGACCCTGTTGTGAGTTGGATTGTGTTCTCTCAAAAGATCAGCTGATTTTGTCAATAAAGTTTTATTGCAACATTGTCACACTCGCTTTTGTACAGGCTATCTGTCCCTGGCGACATGTCAATGGCAGGACTGAGTAGTTGTGAGAGAGACCACATGGCCAGCAAGATATTTACCACCCACCCTTTCCAGAACGAATTTGTCAACCCCTGCCCTAGGTCATAATAAACATTCTTTACATTTTTAGACAACTGAAATAAATGGAAAGGATTAATGCCCACAAAACTACTCCATTGGCTATTTCACAATGACTAGGAGGTATGAGACAACTTCCCTTTTCCACAGCCCAGCAAGAAGAAAATGGCTTAAGCTTTTCATAAAACTTACAAGAGGGAAACTACACTGTGATTAGGATGGATTTTCTAAGCTTTAGAAAAGCTTAGCTTTGTTTGAAAGACAGAATTATTTGTAGGGGAAGCGAAGGCAGCCTGCCAAAAGAGAAGAGGTTCCTTTTTTTAAAAAAAAACAAAAGGGTTTCAAAGTGAAACCTGAGTCAAGCCAACGTCACACACGTGTCCTCTCCAACCTTTCTGAAAACTGCAACAGGAATGGGGAGACTTGGATCATAAGAGGGCTCCCTGCTCACCAGATGGGTGGCCTTGAGTGACTTTTGCCAATGTCTCAGCATCTCACTTTTTTCATTTATAAGGTAAGAGATTTAAATAAAGAGTATCTAAACCACGTTATGCATTAGAGGAACCTGGGGAGCTCTTCAGAACCCATTGATCCTCAAGTGGCTTCTTAGAGATTCTAATTCCTCAAGTCTGAAATGGGACCTAGGAATATGACTTTTCAAGAAGCAAGCCAGGCTGTTGCTAAGCAGTCTGTTTGTTATTAATTCCTGGGCTGGCATCTAGAAGCCTCTGAATTAGAGTCTATAACATCCCTTCCAACTCAGTGACTCTTTAGGTACAGAGCCTTAACCCAGCTTCATACACGCTGTTTCTATCTTGTGTCTATTTCTGGGGAAACACACACAAACACACACACACACACACACACACACACACACACACACACACCATTAAGCTTTCTCTTTTCTGCCATCTTGGGTTTCCATATCTATGGGATGAAATCATGCATTTTTAAGTAAGCTGATCTTTCATCATCATCCTTGGCATTCTAGGAAACACCTACCCCAAACTCGTCTCAACATCCATATTTCACTAAAATCAGAAGCTTCCTCATGTGTTGGGCAGGCCACAGGCCTTGCTGACACAGGACCTGGGATGGAGCCAAAAGGTGCATGGAAGCTGCCGGGTTCCCTGTGCACCTGTGTTCAAATAACTTCCAAAAGTATGCTGTGCTTCCTTAAATCAACAAACAACACAAGGGCTTTGTTTCAACTCTAATGCTGGGCACGTTCCATTTTCAAAAAATGTCCCGATGATTTAAGAAGAAGGTGAATGATTTCTGATTAAACTTGGTATATAATTTTAAGGGGGTCCAAACAGCCCAGAAGATCTGGTTGTCATTCTCAACCAGGTTGAAACAATTTGGCAATTGCCTAATCTTCAAATGAGATTAAATTGTACTTCTTTGAACAGATTCTCATACATTTGGGTAAGTAAGTAGAGGTTAGAGACACATGTGATTACATGGAATGAGGCTACAAAGTTAAAAACCATGGCTAAAAATAGGTTTGAACACCAGGCATGTGTGGCTTCTTCTGCACCTGGGGAGGAAAGTCAGGAATACTGTGAAGTGAGTTCCTATTTTGCAACATTCTCTCTTTCTTCCTCTTCATCTTCCTTCCTCTTTCTCCCTCTCCCCAAACTGTGTTCCCTGTCTTTCTGTCCCTCTGAAGTGATTACCTTGAAAATACAAGCTGTGATTGCGTTCAATCAATCTGGTTTTATTAGTAAGATGATGATTCCATAAATAAAATCCAAGCCAAAATGCTGTCTGAATGTATGCTCAGAAACGGAGTTAATCCACCTTTTTTGGTACCTTAATACATTTTAAAACAGCCAATTATACTGATCCTTCACCTCTGAAGTTTTCCCAGTGGTCTTTTGGGCAAAGATAATCAGCTCTGTTCTGATGGGTCTTGGATGTAAGAATGCAGATTCTCGGCTCCCAGCAGGCAGTGGAACGCGCGTTCCTGTGCAGCCTCTCACCTGCACCCTGGGGAGCCACAGCACCTGCTCACAGAGCAGGAGAAAGGGAGATGGGACCATTGGCTTTGTGCAGTGACCTACACTAGGGTCTGGAGGGCAGAAACGAAAGATGTTTCCTGCACTCAAATCCATGTGGATTAATGGAGACAGGGATATGCAGAGAAATAAGCAAATCCATAGTTAAAAATGTTATGCTCCGTAGGATTCTTTCTAACGTCCTTTATTCCCATCCTGTATTTGAAGTTCCTCCCCAAATAAGAATGAGTCCTGAAGACTGTGATACAGATCAATCCGTTCCTACCTTCGAATCCCATAAAGAAACAGGGAAGGTTGTCACCGGACAGAAAGAGAGGGTGACCCAGGGATTCTGTCCCATTCAAGCAGGCTGGTGGCTGGGAGAGCACAGGATGTGTGTTCAGAAAGTCCACAGCAGTAAAACCTCTGCTCCCTGAAAACAGATCTTTTCCAACTTCTCAGCCATGATTTCACCAAGATGCCAACTAAATGAAGTGGTGCTGTGAGAATTAAATGAAATGACATAGGTGGGGTGGCCACCGAGCCCCAGCTGCACAATCACCATTCATTTTATTCCTTTTTCAAAATATAGAGCAAGTTTCTGAATGGGCAGTTTCCACATGCCTGCCTTTGTCAAAATACCACATATAATGTCATGGTTAGAGCAACTAACAGGGTACAACGCCTGGCTCCTCCTCTGTGAGCTGTGTGTGGGACATGTCTGTGCCTCGGTTTTTCAACATATGTGCAAAATTGGAAAACCAACTCTTTTGGTTGTAAAGGTGAAGGAGGCCAACAGACGTAAAAAGCCCACAACAGGGCCTGGCCCACTCTGAAGTCTATCAAGTGTCTACCCTTGTTCTTGTCCTTGGAGGCATAGGAGTGTTGCTGCTTCTTCCTGTTGTGTAAACAACCTTTACTAGAGGCTGTGCTGTCTGTATTGGGGCTGAAAAGAGCCCACCATATCTTAAAGTCCTCCCTAACCATGGAGCCCACAGTGCAATGACATCTAGACCGCTTCTCCACTGGTCTCTCAGAACACACACGGAGTTTTTTTGGCAGGGACTAACAGAAGCAAAGAATACCCAACACCCATATTTTGTCCCAGGGGTTGATATGCAAGCCCAAAATATACATTAAAATTGGAAGAGCCCTAGAGGGAGCTTGTCCATACCCTCCATTTATAAATAGGGTCAGAGACATTGAAATAGAGGGAGCGATTCGTCTCTAGCCAATTTGAGAACTTGGGCTAGAATCCAGATTTCTCCTCCCCTGACCCACTGCTCTTTCTAGAACATATTGAGGCAGCATAGTGAAGGCAAAGATCATGAACTCAGGGTCAGAATGCTGAGTCCAAATCTTTTCTCCTCTGATGTCTCATTTTCAAGTTACTTAAGACTTCGAAACCTCACCATCTTTATCAAATAAATATATTAACACCTTTCTTATACAGTTGCTTAGAAGATTAAACAAAGTACTGCTTGTGAAAGCACCTGGCTGGAGGCAGGTGCTTACTGAACATTAGTTTCTTCCCCATTGCAATAGAACTTGTATATTTATTGATGCTTGGAAATAGGAGAGAGACTCAGAATCAACAAAGATTTCTGATGGTGCAGCTGGCCCAGCGCCTGTGCTCAGAGGTGTACACAGGTGAGTGCCTTTAGGCGTCGACCCTGGGCAGATACTGAGCATTGGAGCAAGAGAGCAATGGGATCTTTCTTTTCTGGGAATACACACTAACTGGCTGGGATGCTGTGGGCAAGGGAAAGTGGGTTGTGAAACCCACAGGTGGCCCAGAGCATGGCAGTGACCAGAGTCAGTGTCAAGGCTGTTTTCCTCTGGGCTATACCCCCCACCAGGTTTGTGGGGACTGCAGCCAAGTCAAACAGAGCTGCACACACTCAGAGCTGCACTTGCTTCAGGCTTTCCCAGGGATGGCTTCACCAGGCTCTATGGGTCAAATGTTCACCCCGCGTCACTGGGAGGCAGTGCACCTGTGTGGTTATTATCCACCAGCTGAGAAGCCAACCCTCTGTTCCCAAAAAAGCTCCTGGGTTTTCATTTTCTTTAAAACGTAGAACATTCATTGAATGCAACTTGTCAAGCCCTCAGCCAAGCTTAAACATTTGCCTTGGCACCAGGCCATCCTAACACAAGGACTCAACGCTGTCCCTGGCTGACATGGCTTTAAAAGAGTTTCAGAAGTTGAAATTCAGTGAGATCGTAAATACACCAGGTAGACAGTTGAATCTGAAGATAAAAATCGTAAGGTGATTTGCTAGATCCAAGGAGAGGTCAGGAAAAACCAAGCTTCTTTCCCGATGTCCTAAAAGTTCAATAATTCTTCAATGATAGCTTCCCTTTATTGAGTGCTTCTTATATCCCAGGTCACTACTGTGCATTACTGCTAATCCCTAAAGACAACTGGTTGTTGTTATGTCCATTTGGTTGGTGCACAAACTGAGGCTCTGATTTAGCATGAGATCATAAAGCTAATACGTGATGGGGCTAGAATTTACATCAATGCTGGTTTAAGGAAAACAAAATCAGAAATAAAAAACTGAAGTTGTTTTCACTATACCATAATATCATGCTAAGAAACCAATTGAAGTGAAAAATAAATTAAATATCCTCATGAGATTAGAGTCGTAACCAAACTTAACAGAAGTGCAGTCTGCCCTTTAGCAGTCTTCAAACAAGTAATAGTCTTAGGGCAGAAGACCCAATGTCACGTTCCGGCTCATCTTGCCCGGCTCATCTTCACATACAGTATGTTCCAGCCAAAGTGCATTCCTTCCCAGGATGCTTCCCAAGGCTTTTTTTCGGTGCCTCCAAGCTCCGCCTCCCGGGTTCGGGCCATTCTCCTGCCTCAGCCTGCGGAGTAGCTGGGACTACAGGCGCCCGCCACAACGCCCGGCTAATTTTTTGTATTTTTTAGTAGAGATGGGGTTTCACCATGTTAGCCAGGATGGTCTCGATCTCCTGACCTCGTGATCCGCCCGCCTCGGCCTCCCAAAGTGCTGGGATTACAGGCGTGAGCAACCGCGCCCGGCGGTGCCTTACTGCTCCTTCTGCACAAAATCCCTTTCTTGCATTTCTTATTTTTGAAATTGCAACCATCTTTAATTCTACTGCCTCCAAGCAGATCTCTGACTCTCTTGAGTCATTCAGAGAACAAAACGTTTGGTTTTGTGGGTGTTGATTAAAGTAAAGAATTCCAAGTCCTGCCTGTAGAGATTCTGATTCCACAGGTCTGGAGTAGACTCTCAAAACGTCCATTTCAATAACATTCAGATGAGTCTGATGCAGAAGATACATGGAGCATGCCTTGGGGAACACAGGCCTAAGTGTATGAGTTCTCTCCCATTAGAACCTTTAGAGTTCTTATTTACATTGCAGTTGTTTCTGTATGTTTGGTTTAATGTCTTTACGCTTCATGCAGTGGCTGTGACTTGTTATTCTTCGTATTCTTCTACTGTCGGACACAGAGTTGGAACTCCACAAATATTTACCAAACTGACCTTACTACCACATTTTTAATTAGAGAGATACATATTTTGGAAAATATCATTTTTCTAAATTTTCCTGCTTGCATCAGGTAAAGAGTAAATCTGGGGAAGGATTAAGAAGAAATAAAGACAGCAGATTTGGAGAGATGGGAATACAGTTATCCTGGAAGGAAATGTCAGGGAAGGGTGTGGACTCAGATTGGGCCTATTTTTTTTGTTTTGTTTTGTTTTGTTTTGTTTTGTTTTGTTTTTGCTTATTTGTTTGTTTTTGAGACAGAGTCTAGCTCTGTAGCCCAGGCTGGAGTGCAGTGGCGTGATCTCGGCTCACTGCAACCTCCGCCTCCTGGGTTCACGCCATTCTCCTGCCTCAGCCTCCCGAGTAGCTGGGACTACAGGCGCCTGCCACTGCACCCAGCTGATTTTTTTTTTTTTTTTTTGTATTTTTAGTAGAGACGGGGTTTCACCATGTTAGCCAGGATGGTCTCGATCTCCTGACCTCGTGATCCTCCTGCCTTGACCTCCCAAAGTGCTGGGATTACAGGTGTGAGCCACCATGCCTGGCCCAGATTGGGCCTGTTTTAAGGACACTTGCTTACCACTTAAGAGTTAAATAAGGTGATTGCAGCATAGCCATGAGGTTCTGAAAGAACATGGAAAAGGCTCCAGGAGAGAGGATGTAGTCTTATCCTTCACTGCCAACTGACTTTTTTACATTCAGCCTTGGGTGGTTTGGGAAGTATCTACATAGAGATGGGAGACTGAATTATGTGAACTCCAATACACTTTGGTCCCTAATTGGATGAGATAGACAGGTTAGGCCTCTTGAATGTGCCTGCATCTGCAGTTCAGGATAAATTAATATATCTGCAAAAACCTTCAAAATGACAGTCCATGTTTCATCCTAGCTCAAAGCCTCCTAAAGTCCATGTGGATTTAAATTCACTAAATTCTGAGTTCACAGGGGAATGCAAGCCTCAGGCAGAGCAAAGCTTTAGGAGACTCTAATATCTTTCAGGTTTTGGAATCCAATATCTTCACAAGCAGGCTTTGGAAAAGCCAGCCTGGATCACCGATGTAGCCTCCTACATTACCACAGTCTTCACCTACAGACTGAGTCCATAGACTGTAACTTTTGTGCTTGTTGTATTCACCCATTGCAGGATTACTCCTTTGTTGTATTCTCTCCAAAGCCAGGAAAGTGCTCTTTACTGAAATAGCTATTTGGTTCTTTTCTCCCTCTTTCCCTTCTCTTTCCTCTCAATTCTAGAATGACTTTGAAATTATAATCTTAAGGGAAAATTCAAGGCCCCTTTATATTGCATATGATTATTTTATCAGGAAGTTTGAGTGAAGATGTTACTCAGAATTAATTTGTAGTTAGGAAACCAAGACATAAAAGTCCACTGGTGGGTGGACCAAGAACATAATTTATTTAGCTGATGTAAAAGAGGACCATTACTACCATGTTTTACATTTCATAAACATTTAACAAGAGGGTCACTTTCTGTTGAACTACTTTTCTTATCTCACTGGACACAGGACATCCCTGTGGTGAAGCTGGGAAGCACCAATTTGAACACTTAAGCTGGCATTTGCAACTCGCAAAATTTTCTCTCAGCTTCTTCCAGAGGTATGTGATGATTCCACAACTCAATGAATCTTTGATCGTCTACTCATTAAACAAAAAACAAACAAAAATCAGCACCCGTTACGTGCCAGGAATTCTGAAAGATGTGGGGAAATATGACCTTTCTTAAAGAATTCACGGTCTACTAGACCAAGCCAAAATGAAAATGGACACTTTCAATAAAATCAGGCAATTGCTCCAAAGAGGGTGTGAGTCACCTCAAAGAGGCAAGGGAGAAGGACCCACTAGGAATGCCCGCCCTGCCTGGGCAGAGAACGTACCCTGAGCAAAGACTGTCTGAACTCCAATTCTGTCTTCTTTGTAGCTCTTCGGTCTTGAACTAGGTGTTTAACTCTCTATACCTGTTTCTCCATCTGAAAATTGAGGTTAATAATAGCATATACCACATAGGGTTGTATGAAGGTTACATGAGTTGATATTTGCAAAGCACTTAGAGGAACACAAGACATATTTTAGTTTATTTTATTAGCATATAATGTACATGGTTTCAGCAGAAGTATCTATCAATAGCATTTCACACAGTTGGCAGTATACCTTTGCACTTGCTACTATATCTTGGCATTAAATGAATATGAATGGTTACACCAAATACAGTGATGATCATTAGAAAGATAATGCCCCATCTTCACAATTTCTCATTTGTTTATTCATTCATCAATATTATTATAAGAATCAATGTCTACAGGATACCAGGCTTCAGGCTAACAGAGAGTACCATTAAGATCATTAGGGAATTTCCCTCTGCAAAACAAGCTCCAAGTTTAGTAGGCAAAATGGGCACACGGCTTTAATGTAAAATTGTCATAGAGAAAATCAGCATATGGCCCTGGGAGGGCAGTGAGGGTCTCAAAGGAGCTTCCCAGGGCAGGTCATACCTGAGCTAAGTCTTAGAGGATGAATTGAAGTTAGTCAAGCAAAGATGTGATAAGCTAGAAGTTCTGGTGTGATCCCGATGAAGACAGCCAGCAGAGAAAGGCAGGGCCTGGAAGGTAAAAACAGTTCACACTGCCATGGAGTTTCTGATTGGTGTCTATTCTGTTGTCCTGAGAAGCAAGTCAAGCAAGGCTTGGGTTATTTGAATCTCTAAGAAGTAAAGTGGCTTTTCCAACATGATGTCAGCATGAAGGAGCTGAAGAGGTGCAAGCTGACAAACCTCCCAGAACGACAGAGGAAGTGAACAGGAGCAGGCTGGGCTGCAGCTCAGAATGGGGACCAGCCTGGCTGCTTCTCAGTCATCTGCTGCAGAGAAACACAGGGGCTTACTCTCAGCCGGGTTGGGCCATTACTTTCATCATGATTTGGCAGAACCAAATGGGTTGACAATACTGCTGGCCTTCCCTCTAAGGCCCCAAGGTAGCTCACTTCAGTTCTTTTCTTTCTTCATATTTCCTAATTTTAAGAACAAACAAAAATATCAAAGCATCTTGTTATGTTTTGAGAAGACCCTATTAAAATGTTTAACAGCAAATAGAGAAACAATTGATGGACAATGTTCAGTGTATGGGGCCTCACTAACATACGTGAGGTAGAGTGGTTTATGGAGATTACTTACGTCGTAGATTAGAAATGGTAAATATGGCTGACGGCCGGGTGTGGTGGCTCATGCCTGTAATCCCAGCACTTTGGGAGGCCGAGACAGGAGGATCACGAGATCAAGAGATCGAGACCATCCTGGCCAACATGGTGAAATCCTGCCTCTACTAAAAATACAAAAATTAGCTGGGCATGGTGGTGCGCACCTGTAGTCCCAGCTACTCGGGAGGCTGAGGCAGGAGAGTAGCCTGAACTCAGGAGGGGGAGGTTTTAGTGAGCAGAGATTGTGCCACTACACTCCAGCCTGGCGACAGAGCGAGACTCCATCTCAAAATAAATAAATAAATAAAAATAAGAGAAATGGTAAATACCACCACCAATCTGAAGAGAAACCTGACTTTGGAAAAATATTACATGTATGTTGATTAAAAAGAAAGATTTAAAATACCATAAATGATAACTTCTTTTTTCAATTCTTCACAAAACCTTCTAGTCCCAGTGTTCTGTGTTTGGGTGCCCAAACTCCAGAGCCCTACCTACTCTTTTGTTACTGGGAAGGGCTAATTATTTCCTGAAGATATCCGCTCACTCAAGTCAGCAGCAGATCTCAAGTGTCGTGGAATGTTTGTGGATCAGCTAGAACAGAGCTCCAAGATGTCATGTTGTGTTTTGCTATTTTCATTCTGCTGTTTATCCTCCCTCAGGTGGTCCTTAACGAGAATTTGGGAAATAAGCTGAAGATGTTCCCTAGTCCCCACTTTACAGATGAGAAGAGGGAGGTGGGAAATATTAATTTCATACAGACTGATGCCTAAAGATGACAATTGTTTCTTTCCACTCTAAATAAAGGATTCCATCTGCTGAACCACGAGGAAGGCAGATTCAGTATCACAACCCTGTTTCAAGCTCAATGTGGCTGGATCTCACCTGCCACAGCCACTATGTAATGATCCTCAGAACTCAGCTTTCTCATCTATAAAATGGGAATAATAACAACTACCTATTGGGACTATTGTGGAATTAGAGAGGCTGTTTATAAAGTCCTTAGAATAGCACTTGAAACATAAATAGTGAATTAATCCTACTTTTTCTTTTCTTTTCTTTTCTTTTTTCTTTTTTTTTTTTTTTTTTGAGACTGAGTTTCTCTCTTGTCACCCAGGCTGGAGTGCAATGGCGTGACCTCAGTTCATTGCAACCTCTGCCTCCCAGGTTCAAGCCATTCTCCTGCCTCAGCCTCCTGAGAATCTGGGATTACAGGCTTCTGACACCACGCCCAGCTAATTTTTGTATTTTATTTTGTTTTGTTTTAGTAGAGACAGGGTTTCGCCATATTGGCCAAGCTGGTATCAAACTCCTGACCTCAGGTGATCCACCTGCCTTGGCATCCCTAAGTGCTGGGATTACAGGCGTGAGCCACCGCTCCTGGCCTGTCCTACTTTTTCTTAAGAAATTAGTATTATTCCTACTTACTATTAAAATTTTAAAGCATCTTCAATTCCTGGTTATATAAATTGCTTTCTTTTAACTGTAAAAAATGTTTTCTTTTACTTGATCCCATTGCAGAGGGAGCTCCTGAATCGTATTTGCATATGGGAAAGCTGAAGTGGCTGGCATTGTGCAACTGGACTGAGGGACTCGGTTGTAGTAAGTAAAAGCAGATTGTAATACACAGCGTCGGCTCATCACTATTGTGCTACTTGAAATGTACTTACAAGTAGCCCTTTAAAGAGATTATGAAGAAATAACTGTGCTACTCACCTTTTCTTTCAAGAGAAGCCAAAGGGAATGAGCAACTCTGCTCTTTCTTCACTGGGTAAAGGGCTCAAAGGGCTCAATTACTTTTTTTTTTTTTTTTTTTTTTTGAGATGGAGTTTCACTCTTATTGCCAGGCTGGAGTGCAATAGTGCGATCCCGGCTCACCGCAACCTCTGCCTCCCAGGTTCAAGCGATTCTCCTGCATCAGCCTCCCAAGTAGCTGGGATTACAGGCATGTGCCACCATGCCCAGCTAATTTTGTATTTTTAGTAGAGACGGTGTTTCTCCATGTTGGTCAGACTGGTCTCAAACTTCCAACCTCAAGTGATCCACCCTCCTTGGCCTCCGAAAGTGCTGGGATTACAGGCGTGAGCCACCATGCCGGGCAATTACTCGTTTTTTAATTTTAATTTTTATTTATTTGACAATAAAGTTGAGAGTTCAAGCTTGCTTTGATTTCTCCCCAAATTCAGGTTATACCCCAATGCTCCAAGATCTCACATACCCCACACATCCAAGCAGAACCTGATACATCTAGGATGATATACCTCTGCCAATCTGATCATCATAGAGTCTATGAAATTTGTGGAATAGCTTCCACTTCTCTTAGAATAGAAAACCTAAAAGTCCCTGGCTTGAAATTCATGATTTAACCTCAACTTACTTACCTGCCATATATCCTCCAACAAACGTGAACCCTAGGATGGTGGCCTTTGCAATTTATGAATTCAACAGTCACCCAAAAAATATCATTCCCACAATGTGATCTGAATTCAATTCTCTAACTTACCTTGCATCAGAAGAAAACTAAATTACAAGCTGGAAAGTCAACAGCAGTATCCACTAAAGATTATATATAACAGCAGAGTAGGAACAAACAGAATGTTAAGATACATCTCTGGGGCACCAAGGATCAAAGCTGGGGAAATGACTATCATTATATCTAAAGGGAAAAACAGTGCAGATATTCAAGAAAAAAGCCAAAATTTCAGAATCTGCAGATGAGAAATAACATGAGAGCAAGTAAAGAGTGAGGACCTGGAGGGAAGCCTGAGAGCCAAGGACTACCAATCTAAACACACAGGGCAGAGGGGCTGCAGTTCTTTTTCATAGACACCGGAGTGGCAGAATGCTGGCGTCAAGACAAACAGCTGGAGGTGGTTTAATAAATACCTCGTTTAAAAAGTCAACTGAATTTTGAGAGGGGAGGGAAGTATTTGGCTAGACTCTCTCCATCTTGGGTACATGGTTCATAGATATTGAATAGGTATAGAAACTATAAGTAATAGCTTTTTTACTTTAAATCTAGGTTATACTAAAAATTAGAAAAATGTATAATTTTTGAATTCACTTTTTCTGATTCACGTTTTTCATTTTGATTCACAACCAAGTATTTAAACTTTTCAAACTTTTTAATTTACTAAAACTACCTATGAAAAGATGGATAAGTTGACCTACATTAGGAGTGTAATAGGTATGGTTATTTTAAAAAACATTTTGGTAATATCAATAACTAAAGCTGAATATATGCAGCCTTATCAATGAACAAGTTACTCCTAGGTATATAGTAGATGTACCCAACAAAAAGATGCACATCTATTCATGATATGACATCTTCAAGGTCATTCACAGAAGCATTATTTTATAATGGGGCCAAGCCAAAAGCAACCCAAATGTCCATCAAGAACAGAACACACAGGAGAAAGAACCTCCTGTAATGACACAGTAAGGAGCCCACAGGCCTTCTTCCCAGTAAATTAACTGGAAATATATATATATATATATATATATATATAAAATATACACACACATATATGTGTGTAAAATATACACACACATACATATATACACATATATACACATATATATATATAAAACATCATTTAAGGTCTAAAGGTCTCTGGAAATTGTTCTAAACATACACAGCAAATGAAGAAAAAACATTCATTCAAAAAAATCTGTTAAACTCTGTGATATTAGCAAGAGTCTATGGCATTTGAGCTATGACTTGCTCTATTAACTACCTCTTCCAACCCCCTGGCTGCAGAAGCTCTTCCATGGATGTGTGCAGCTAGAAGATGGAGAGTTCCCTCTCTTCCAGCTCCCAGTCTGGGGCTATGGTTCCACCCTAGAAGGAGCATGCAGTAGCGTTTCTCACCCTCCTCTCAGTCTTGTGTTGCAAAAGCTCTATTCCAGACAAGTGGAACAGGAAGTACCTGTCTCTTTCCCCTCATCCAGTCCCCTCTCCTGGGGAAGATGCTTTATCCTAGATGAGGCAGGCAAGAGTACTGGGGCATCTATGTCTTCTGTCTGCACTTGCTTATAGGGAAAAGATTCCACATCTGAAAGGGTAAGGCAAGAAAATCAAGGCTGTCCCTTCCCAGTGTCCATTGTAGAGAAAGGTGTCATTGTGGAAAAGGAGAACCCTCACTCACTATGCTGATACAATCCGCAGGGGCTTTTCCTAAAGGGGAGGATGGGCCATAAGTATGAAGAGTTCTGTAGCTCTGCTTGACAGAGCTGACTTGATTTGGAACAGGGTGGGAGGACCCCATTCCTAAAGGTATTGTTGAAAAGAATGGAGATCTTGGTGAAGATTAATGAAGAATAGGCTGGTAGTTGCAGAATGCATGCAAAATGACAGAGTGGTAATATGTTTAATAGCATTTAACAGAGATAACCAGGGAAGGTGATGACCAACAAGAATCCTCCTGAGATCACAGTCAACTCTGGGGTCAGGATAGCATGCACTAGACTTCACTCATTGAGGAACAATCAGAGCAGGAAGTGGGGTGGACTTGAATGCATTCCCCAAAAGGCACACAGACTCATCAACACAGAGTGGAAGCCTCACTCATAAAAAAGGCTTAGACACAACCTCAGACCAAACACTGATGGAACCATAAACTATTCTGATCCAGGGGCTACTCCTAGGAATTCAGCCTTAATAACAAAGTCACCCTTAGCCCTGGCAGTATGGAAGACTATGTGTATGCCCCAGGCTGCACCATCTCTGGAGTAGTTGCAGAAGAAAGCTCTAAGACAGGAGAGAGAAAAAGGAGTAGGAGAATATTCAAAAAAATATGGCTGAAAACTTCTCAAATTTATTGAAAAACATTAATTATATATATCTAGGAAGCTCAAAAAAGTTCAAGTGGGATAAACATAATATAGATACCTCACAAAGTATAGAGAGATAAAGACAGAGAATCTTGAAATCAGCAAGATGAAAATAACTTATTAAGTTCAAGGGAATCCCAATAATATCAGAACTGGTTTCTGATCAGAAAAGAAGGAGCTCAAGAGGCAGTGGGATGCCGTAGTCAAAGTACTGAATCTCTGAACAGACCAATAAAAGTTCTGAAATTGAGGCAGTAATAAATAGCCTCCCAAGCACAAAAAGCCCAGGACCAGACAGATTCACAGCTGAATTCTACCAGATGTATGAAGAAGAGCTGGTGCCATTTCTCTTGAAACCATTCCAGGCAACTGAAAAGGAGGAACTTCTCCCTAACTCCTTCTATGAGGCCAGCATCATCCTGATACCAAAACCTGGCAATAGATATAACAAAAAAGAAAACTTCAGGCCAATAAACATCAATATAAATCATTTTTCAACTCTGAGCTGCCTTTTTTGGCAGATATTGACAAGCCAAAATTCATATGGAAAAGGACAGGGCCTAGTATAGCCAAAACAATCTTAAGAAAGAAGAACAAAGTTGGAGGACTCACAGTTACTGATTTTACATCTTACTACAAAGATGCAATAATCAAGACAGTGTGGGACTGCCATGAGGATAGATATATAATCAGTGGAATACAATTGAGAGTCAAGAAAAAAACTCATGTATCTAGGGTCAGTTGATTTTTGACAAAGCTACCAAGACCGCTCAATGGGGGAAAGAATAGTCTCTTTAACAAACAGTTCTAAGAAGACTGGCTATCTATCTGCAAAAGAATAAATGTGCACTCTTACCTCACACCAAACTAAGAAGATTAACTCAAAATAAGTCATGAATGTAAGAGCTAAAACTATAAAACCCTTAGAAGAAAACATAGAACTAAATCTTAGTGACTTGGATCAGATAATAGTTTCTTAGATGTAACACCAAATGCATGAATGACAAAAAAGAAAATAATAAAGTAGACTACATCAAAATTTAAAACTATTGTACTGCAAATAATACTTTAAGAAAGCAAGAAAACACCCCACAGAATGAGACAATTATGTGAAAATCATATAATGGCTAAATGACTTGCACCCAGAATATATAAAGAACACCTTACAACTCAATATTTTCAAAAAGCAAATAACACAATTTTAAAATGAACAAAGTATTTCAATAGACATTTTTCCAAATAGGATGTACAAATTGCCAATCATCCTATGAAAACACTCTCAATGTCATTAGTCATTAAGGAAATACAAATCAAATCCACAAGAAGAGACTAGGTTACACCCCCTCGAATGGCTACAGTTAAAAAGATAGACCATAGCAAGTGTCGGTACCGATATGAGAAATCAGAACCCTTATACATTGCTGATGGGAGTATAAAATGGTTCAGCCACTTTGGAAAACATTTTGGCAGCTCCTCAAAAAGTTTATCACGGAGTTACCATATGTCTCAGTAATTCTATTTCTAGGTACATACCTAAGAGAAATGAAAACATACATCCACATAAAAACTTTAAATGGGTGAATCATATGGCATATAAGTTATATCTCAATAATGCTGGATAAAAAAAGGCTAGAGTGAATTAATTGTGGTTCATCTGTACATTAAATACTATAGAGAAATAAAAGTGAACAAATTTATACATGAAACATGGAAGCATCTTGCAAATGTAATGTTGAGTAGAAGAAGCCAGACACAAAAGAATACATATGGTATGATTCCATTGTCATAAATACACTAATCTGTGGGATAGAAGCAGAGGCAGAGGTCATCTCTGGGAGTGGGGAGGGAGTAGCTCAAGCCAAGGCCGGCCCTCTGACCTGCTGCTAATGTTGAAGTTCTTGATCTGGGTGCTGGTTACATGGGTGAATTCGGCTCGTGGAATTCATTGAGCTGAGCCCTGCTGACTTTGTACACTTTTCTAAATGCCTGTTACACTTCAATAAGGAAGATTTTAAAGCACTGTATATGTCACATCACTTTATTGTGTACCCTTGTTCTGAGCTACGATGGAGAAGCAGCCAACTGCACGAGATTTTCAGTTTGGCAACACGCTCTTTGTTGATTCAGCATAATATTTAAGAACCACATGCAGAGCCTTTGAAAATGGCCCAGATTTCTGGATCACGAAAGTGGACTGAACATTGTAACTACTTCTCTTTCCCCAATTACCCATTGAATTGGCAGAAAATATAGAACTTTGCTTAAACATAAGGAAGGGAGCCGGCAGTGGACCAGATATTTTGAGATATCTTGGGAGATAGAAAGCAGATTGAAATGGATTGATAGAAAAAAAAGAAAGAATTAGAGATCGCAGCCCAACACTAGAGGCTGGAGCATGCTGCCTGCCCAAGGGGGCCCCAGAGGAGCCTCAAATTTATAGTTGCAAAAAATAGAGAGCAGTGATCCATGGGCCACCACTGGTGTGATTTGCAAAAGAATGAAGAACTACATTCAGAGTAGCTGGGCTAGTCTAGACCCACTCTTTACCTCCTCCAGAACACAGGTCACAGGGAAGCTAGAGGCAGTCACTTTGGCTGCCTCCTTAAATCACAAAGACAGTCTTTTAGGGGTGGAGCCCGTAGGACCATCCAGCAGAGCTCCAGGACCTGTGACCCCCGACGGTAGGCTCTGAGAGAATAGAGGGAAGGTAGCTCCTGTAGCTAGGGTGACCCCACAAGTTATTTGTCCTTATCTCCATAGGTGGTGTTGAGAAAGACTCTAAGAGCTCCCTCTTTAGCTGTGGGCTAAGGGGCCAGACACCTGGAGGCTCCCACCCTGGACATACTGAATCCAAGTTTTTACTTTTACAAGACCCCTGGGTGATTCATATGCACATTAAATACTGAGACACTTGTTTACTAATACCTTCTAATCTATTAGAACAATAACAGCCACATACATTTCACTTCATCATTGTGCTGTCTTTTAGATGTGCAAGAGAAATGTCCCTCACATCTGAGTGCTAAAAAATGAATTAACTTGTTGTATGTCACATTTCTTTAGAGAAACAGAACCAGTAGGGTGGATCTATCTACCTATCTATCTAGAGAGTAAATGATTGTAAGGTATTGGCTCATGTGATTAAGAGGCTGGCAAGTGCCAAGATCTACAAGGTGAGTCGGGAAGCTGGAGACCCAGGAGAACCCATGCTGGAGTTCCAGTCTGCAGGCTGGCGGGCTCAAGACTCCTGAAGAGCCTATGTTTCCATTCAAGTCTGGAGGCATAGACAAAGCTAATGCCCTAGTCCCAAAGCTCTCAGGCAGGAAGAGAACACTTCCTTCTCAGGGGAACACCAGGCTTTTGTTGTATTCAGGCTTCGACTGGACGAGGCCCACCCACATCAGGGATGGCATCTGTTTACCCAGTCTACCAATTTACATGTTAATCTCCCTCAAGAAGACCCTCACAAAAACACCCAGAATAGGCCAGGCACAGTGGCTCATGCCTGTAATCCCAGCACTTTGGGAGGCCAAGCCAGACGGATCACCTGAGGTCAGGAGTTCGAGATCAGCCTGACCAACATGGTGAAACTCCCTCTCAAAAAAAAAAAAAAAAAAAAAACCAGAATAATGTTTCACCAAATATGTGAGCATCTAGTGGCCCAGTCAAGTGGATGCACAAAATTAACCATCGTACTTATGCATCATTCATGTTCTTCATCGTCCATCTATTAACCGCCATCTAGTGCCATGTCAGGGGCTGTGAGAAGTGCTGGGGAGGCGATGACAAACATGGTGAACCCTCAGCGGAGCTTCCAGTTGTTCCCATGAACAATACAAGGCTTAAAACTGGTTATGTGGTCCTATTGCTTTGGTTATGAGGGGCTTAGACAGAACGTTGGAGGAAACAGTTGGTAACTATGAGAAAGCTCTCTGTATGAATTTTTCTGTACTATGATCATTTTCTCCACTGCGTTACCTTTTACTGTTTTCCTTTATTTTTACTTCACTTTGAATTTTAATATTTATGTTTCGTTGTTGTATATATATTTTTGCTATCTGATTAAACTATTTCTAGGAAAGGGTGGCACAGTTGACTAAAATCAGAGTATTTGCAATATAGCTGTCGTGGCCAGTGGTACACAAGGTGCACATGCCTGCACACGGGACATCTCTAGAGGAGAAATTGAGGTGCAGTGGTCGTGTGGGGACAAGGAGCCCCCTCTTCTCTCCCTCTCACTTTTTTTTTTTTTTGGAACGGAGCTTTGCTCTTGTCATCCAGGCTGGAGTGCAATGGCACAATCTCAGGTCACTGCAAGCTCCACCTCCCGGGTTCAAGTGATTCTCCTGCCTCAGCCTTTCAAGTAGCTGGGATTACAGGTGCATGCCACCACATCCGGCTAATTTTTGTATTTTTAGTAGAGACAGGTTTTCACCATTTTGGCCAGGCTGGTCTCAAACTCCTGACCTCAGGTGACCCGCCTGCCTCACCCTCCCAAAGTGCTGGGATTACAGGTGTGAGCCACCGTGCCCGGCCCCTCCCTCTCACTTCTAAGTTCTGTTAGCACTTTTGTTATCTAGTTCTATTCTGGATGCCTGGCATTTTTTCATTGGTGTCCCATTTTCTTATGAACTGAATTGTGTGTTGAGGCCCTAACCCCACTGTGATGATATTTAAGGATAAAGCTTTTAAAGAAGTAATTAAGGTAAAATGAGATCACACTGATAGCCCTAATCCAATCTGACTGGTGTCCCGGTAAGAAGGGGAAGGCACCAGGGGAGAGGGTGATTGTGTACAGAGGAGAGGCCACATGAGGACAGAGCAGGAAGGTGGCGTCTGAGAGCCAAGAAGACAGGCCTCCAGAAGAACCAACCCTGCTGACTTCTTAACCTTGGACTTGAGCCTCTAGAACTCTGAGAAATGAATTACTATTGTTTAGGACATCACGTCTGTGGGACTTTGTTATGGCAGCCCTCACAGGCTAACATACCTTTCTCTGCCTTAAGCCAAATGGACCCTTAACTGCTACCCTCAATCCCAGGACTGAAGCCTGTCCTTCCAGAGAACTTCAGTCACTCACTCTTTGGTCTGGCTGAGTTTATCTGATTCTCCTCCACCCCCCAGAGGTAACGTCCTACTCACCTCACTGCACAGCCCCAAGTACCAGGGACAGGAAACTATCACGCATTAATCCGAGGGCAAATGAAGAGGCTGCAGCAAAGACGTCGCTTTAAGGGATGGCATTCATTGTCCATTCTGCTTTTTCTTTAAGGCCATTTATATTTGCTGTGCCCAGCAGCACACTCCACCCAAAGCGCTATAGCTGTCTGGTTTTCATGTTTCTTGGAGCTTCATCTGCAAATGGTGTCGAAGTTGGGGCAGGTAGTACAAAGCCCTTCTTCATCCTCCCACGAAGCAGTATCCTGCCTGGCCTCTGGCTCCAGTTCGGGTCTCCACCAGCCATTTGTGAGCACTGTGTCATTGCACAGTGGAGGTGAGGTCTGGAGCGAGTTAAGCAACATCTACTTCCGTCACTTTTCCTCCTAAACAACCAGAGAGAATCTCTAGTTTGTGCTCTTTATGTTAGGCCCTGCTCCAGCTTAGCTCTTTCTAAGCAGTCCCCAAATCCCCTGTGAAAACACCTTCAGGTATCCTTGCCCTCCAGTGCACAGGCATCCCCAGTTGGGTCAGAATCCAGCAGCAGACACAGATCAGGTTCACGCTGGGCAGTCTCTGCTTCTCATGCATGCCTGGTCGTCAGGGAGGAAGATGAGAGCGCCCAGAAGCCAGAGGAGAAATGAAAGAGGCTTTCACCCCCAAAATGAGCTTATAAGAAGACAGAAATTGGCTGAGCCAGGCGGTGGCTCACGTCTGTAATCCCAGCACTTTGGGAGGCTGACACGGGCGGATCACAAGGTCAAGAGATTGAGACCCTCCTGACCAACATGATGAAACCGCGTCTCTACAAAAAATACAAAAATTAGCTGGGCGTGGTGGTGTGTGCCTGTGGTCCCAGTTACTCAGGAGGCTGAGGCAGGGGAATCTCTTGAACCAGGGAGGCAGAGGTTGCAGTGAGCCAAGATCACACCACTGCACTCCAACCTGGAGAAAAAGTGAGACTCCATCTCAAAAAAAAAAAAAAAAAAAAAAAAAAGAAAAAGAAAAAGAAGGCAGAGATTCAGTTTCAGTCAAAAACAGAAAAACAGGAGAAAGCATGTTTGAAAGGATATCAATTATTATGACTTTAAAACCCCTCAGAAATATTTAGCCATGGAAGAAAATGCAATCACGAGACAAACATCTTGGAATCAACAAAGATAAAACTGATAAAATACCAGCCTCTTTTTCAAACAGGCACTGACAGAACCAATAGACACAGACAGCATCAGCCGTCTCGACCCTCACACTCCAAGATGTACTTACAGACAGATTCTTGTTTTGCCTTAAAATAAATGCACCTACTATTGGAAAGTTCCTCAGAGAGCAAGGCCAGGATGAGCACCCCATGGTGTAAGCTTGGTTCAGCGGAGAGCGGAGACAGGCCTGGATCAAGGTAGCGATGTGATACCCACCGACCACCCTCATCTTCCTAAGCCTCTGTGTTCTTTATCCCCTCTGTGCTATAAAGATTAAACAAGAATACGGTGTAACATGTCGAGGATAGATCAGAAACAGCCAGAAAGTATGAGGAGGTGCTCAGATCAGTCTGGTCCAGTTACAGACCCTTTTTTGAGCCTAGAAAAATCTTTGTGCTGAATCTGGCCCAGGCTTTATGAACCCTTTCTGGCTGTTCCATGCCTCTTGAACACCCAAGTTTGCCACAACTAAATGCAGTAGTTACAGCGTTTTCAGGAAACCATTCAGAATAAAAGGGAGACTTCTATGCTTACACAGTGTGTAATTATCTCTAAAAATGAACCTTCTTTCCTGAAAAGAGGACATCCAGCCAAGAGTCTTGTGAGTTCTGTGTTGGACACATGGGAGAATGAAGTTGCCTGCCTGGCGTACGTCAGTGCCTTTGGATGCATTTTTTAACTTTAAGTTTGATATCATATTTATTTTTCCTGATTACAAAAGTATGAAAATTTGTAAATCATAAAATACAAGCAAGAAGGGCCTAAAAAAATAGTTGAAGGGCCTAAAAAAAAAAAACAGATCTTGTTGGTGCATTTTGTGTGCCATTTTCACTATAACATCTCTATTATTAAGATAGAAACCTCTCTCTCTCTCTCTCTCCCCTCCCTCCCCTCCTTCCCCCCACAACCCCCCCACCCCGCCACACACAGCAGAGGCTGCTCTGTTTTGCTTACCTTTCACATTTTGCTCATCCTAAAAGACTCAGCTCACATCCCACCTTCCCACTGAAGCTTTCCGTGAGTTGCTGTTAATGCCTTCTTCGCAACTCTCCCTTCCACGCTTAAACATGTATTGCAGAAATGGTTCACAGCTTCCTTACAATTATTTTAAGTTCATCTCCTATACTAGATTGTAAATTTCATAAAGGTAGGATTGCATAGCATATTTCCTTGTACTTTTTGTGGCAGTGGAATTTTCCTATGAAGGAAGAAAAAGTGTGGAGGTTAAGAGCTGGCTAAAATGACATTGGATCAATTAACAATGAGTCCAAAGACTCAACGCAAGACAGACAATAACAATTCAAGTTCGTTCTTTTCATGGAAAGGAACTTGATAAGATTTCTTGTGGAATTTTTTATTTTATATACTTGTCACACTGAAAATTTAATATGTATTTTTCTAGCTGTTTAATATCTGATGCTCCTATTAGATTCAATTTCCAGAAGGCAGGCCCCTGATTGTTTTGCTCACCTGAGCAATGTCTCTTCAGCACCCAGCGCAGGCCCCATGAGCACAAGTACTCACAGAATAGAGAAACGAAGGCATGCCCAGCACCCTAGAGGAAGGACTGTCATAAAGAAAGAAAGAAAGAAAGTCACATTTCTGAGAACTACTGTGTGCATGTGTGCATCAGAGTGTCCTAATGTCAAATCACCTCTGTTGAGTCCCTCATAGGGTAAAACTTTCAGGGAGGGCCAGGATGTCTGCAGAAACGTTTCAGGTCCACATTTCTCCAAAGATAGAATGCACAGCTTTTAGAGACAGCTGACCTTCCATTGCTAGGGGCTTCTTAGTGGAAGTGTGCTGGAGACCATGGCTGGGGAACTGGGCTCAGTGAATTGCCATATCCTTTTCTAAACAAATGATTTTAGAATTTTATGACCAGGTGTTACCATAGTAAGACCTGCTCAGTAAAAAAACAAACAAACAAACAAACAAAAACAAAAAACACTATAGGGCTCTATCCAAGGTGCTTGTCTAACTCTCTAACCCCAGTTTCAATTTCTCGCCCTTAGGGGCAAATTGGCAGGTTGTCCCCTGCTCCTCCTGGCCCACACAGCCTTGCTTATTTGTCTCTGTGTGATTTCCTTCTGAGGTATGGCCTCAACATTCCTCTCAACATAGAGTCTGGAGAGCCACATCTGTAGACCTGTCTGGGCTCATGGGAAGTTGACTTGCGCTGTGAAGCTCTTGTAGGGCCACCTGCCACACCCCTCTGATGACAGGGGTCACTCACTGGGCTTGAATCTTCCCTTTATTTCTAAATTCACTTTTTTCTTCTCATTTGTCTGCATTTCCTTTTCTTCTATTGTCATGGTTCTCAGACTTGCAGGTGCTTCAGATCACCTTTGGCACTTGTTAAAACACAGCTTGCTGGGCCCCAGCACCAGAGTTTCTGATTCAGTAGGGAATTTGCATTTCTAACAGATTCTAGGTGATGCTGCTGTGGCTGGCCAGGGGGGCCCGCCTTGAGAGCCACTGCTGTGCTGTGACCCAGGGTGTAAGAGAGAAGCACCTACTGACCATGGACCCATGGCCAGGAACTCCGCATGGAAAAGGACAGCAGGGGTAGCCGCCCACAGGGAAGAAGCGAGCTGCTGCCAAGTGAAACCTGTGGCCAGCCCCACCTTTCTTAGCAATTCAAGCTCTGAATCAAAGTTCAGGCCAACCTTGGGAATTGTGGTTTTTAGCAACTTTGCTGAAACCAAAAACATTGCCCAACTTGAAGTGTCAAAAGCCTGCATCAAGCACTGGCTCTTCCTCTTTTCTTCCGTAGGAGCCTCCACTCCTCCGTATATGAAAGTTTCAACTGCTGTCGTCCTGAGGGTTTGGCAAGGAGGGACATTCCACAGTTGTGAGATGACTGTGTTCTAGAGAGTTGACAATGCGGCATTTGTGTGTGTGGCGACTTCCTCCATAGAAAAACTCCAGAGAGCCTCCCTTCCGATGCTGCTGATACCCTTCCTTCCCAAGGTTCAGAATCAGGGAGTCCATTTGAGCAGAATCTTAAACAATATCACACACTTATGGAGCCACATCAAGCTGGGACATGCCACTGGGTCTAGAAAAAAATTTTGAGAAAGTATTGCTGTCATAAAGCTGATGTGTTTTGCTGTGTTAGAAGGCAAGATAATCTTGCAGAGACACAGAACCAGATAATTCCTTTTAAAGCAAGGTCATGAATAATATATATAGATAGCCATAGTCGCTGAGGGAAGATAGCAGAAGAAATAAATAGAAGAGCTTTAAAAATTGGAAAGAACTTCATAAGAACAGCAATCTGGGGCCAGTCTTGGGGGAAATTTACTCTTGCAATCTAAAATGTCTGAGGGTAGTATTAGGCATGCTGTAGTGGATGTAATGTTCCAAATTCATGTGGGTCACCTTGAATTATAAGCAGAAGGCTCAACTAGGTTCACTATTCTCAATTTGAGAAGGCAAAGACATGCATACTCCATTCTATTAAGATTTCTACAAAACTAGAGAGGGGAGTATGGCTTAGCGATTAAAAGCCAAGAGTGTAGAGCCAGGCTGCCTGGATTTGAATACCAGTTCTTCCACCTACCAGCCATGTAATTCTAGGTAATCTATTGGATGTCTCTGAGCCTCAGTATTGTCATCAGTAAAATGGAAAAATGATAGTTCCTACTTTATGTCGTTTTTAGGAAGACAAAAAGCTTCAATATATGTAAAGTGCTTTGAATGGCACATATTACAACGTTGTTTATTAAATATCTGCTATAGTAGTTAATGAAGTACTGTAGTTATTTGTTAAATAAATACTCGAAGTTGAATTTTAGATGGGTCATGCTTTTAGCCATAACATTCTGTTATGGAGAGAATTCCTATGCTGTGGGAGCTCCATATTTTCTGAAACTGGTAGGAAATCAGAAGTCTTGGCTGTTATCCTCTAAGTAGAGAGAACATGGGCCTTGGAGTCCAACAGGTTTAGGTGCAAATCCTGGCTGTGCCAGTTCCAGTTCGATGACCCTGGGCAAGACGACCACCCTCAGTGAACTTCAGTCTTGTACTCTCTGACATAAATGTCAATGATTTAATTAAAGCACCTGATAAAATTTGAAATATTCACGAAGCCATCTCTAAGTGGGGGCTCATGTCAGTGTGGGTGGCAGGCAAAAGGAGTTATTACTGTAAGCTGAGGAAAGCATGGCAAAGCAATACATGCTGAGAAGCCTGAGGTGTGAACGGGGAAGGGCCCAGGGCTGAAAATCACCCGGACGACATCTGCTTTGCCCTCCTCCTCTCCAGGTGTGGCATTGGTGAGAGCACCCACTGCATGGATGCTGACCACCTGCCTGGCAGCCTCTCAGCACATTCCAGTCTGTTTTGTGAAATCAGGTGCAGATAAAAGCCATACTGAGAAAGCACCCAGAGGCCTGAGCTTTTGCCCCATCGTTGACTTAACTGACTGTGAACTTGGGCAAGTCACTTTTCTTTTCTGATGTTCTTTTATTCTGTCTGCAAAATAGCATGCCTGAGGCCCGTTCTTGTTCCAAGCCTGCTAAAATCAATTGCCCTGCCCAACAAGGCTGTGCATGAGCTTTAATTGCTCTGGGGTGTGCTGCATTGTTCTTACCTAGCTTTGTTTGTCTATGTGCTGGCTTAATGAATCTTCATCATGTAGCCTCTTCAGTTTTCTAGCCTTTGTATTTATGTCCATCAGCCCTTGCCATGGAAGGCCAGCACCTGGCCACATCGTCCTCCCTCTGTCCAAATCTCATGTCCCTTCGCCAGTTCCCTGAGTGCTGTCATCAAGGGACAGTTTAGAATTTCAAAATACTTTAGACAACAAAGGAAAACTAGGATATGGCAAAATCACATCTAACAAATATATTTCTAAAGGGTGTGTGAAGGAAAACCCAAAGGTTAGGTTAGAAATTTTAAGCCTTATTTCATCATTATTTGCACCTTATCTTCATCATCCATAGGATGGGGACAAACAAAAGCAATCTAGCAGAGTGATCTGTACAGTAAGGTCGCTAACTTGTGGTTTTTGAGTATAGTGACTTTTGCGATTGAGTTGATCATTTTATTATTTTCTTTATATGTTTTTACTTTTCTTAGTTAATGTCAATATAGATTATAAGACAAAGTGAGCTTTGGAATATCTCACAGGAATTATTGCAGTGTGGAGGCTATGGAGGGGTAGAACCTGACAGAGGGCTTGCTCTGCTGACCCTTGGCCAGCGGGGACCCAGACAGAGCACTGGATTTGGGTTTGGGAAAGGTGGACTGGGATCCTGGTCCCATCACATGTTAACGATGGGGGATGGTGCAGTTTTCCCGACCTCGGAGCTTCAGCTTCTCATTTGAGGATGAGTAAAAGTGGTGATCTGCTGGCCTGCTATGAATCTCACATGGATGAGGAAAGTTAGATCATAGAGGGAGTCCATCCACCATTCCTTAGATACAAATGAAAAGGCTGCTGCGGGTTCTAGAATAATTGTTGCACCCGCTGCCAGGATCTTAATGGAATGTGGGTTTTCCCCTACTTTTCAAGGTTTTCATTTCTGTTTTCACTACAGTACTGAGAAGAAAAAGCCCAGATCCTCAGAGCAGCAATCATAGCTTTTCACAGCCTTTTCCATGGCTGTTTTTTTTTTTTTTTTTTTTACTTAAAAATTGTCTTGAAAATGCAACAGATATAATTTTGTTTTCTTTTGCAAGTTAAAATTCAAATACTTTCTAAATGCAAAAATGTTCACATGCTGTCCTGTTTGTTGGCAGCTGCAGAGTTACCAATATTTAGGGGAAAGCACTACATAATCTGAGGTTTTTACTTTTTTTCATCTAGTGAATTTTCTTCACAACTTTACAATTGGTCTTTGGTCTATTTCTTCAACTTTAAGCAAACAAAAACAATTGACAGATGTGAAATTATACCACGGCAGGCATTGCCAAGTTAACTTTTTATCTGTTTCTGCACAGGCATCTTAGCTTTGGCCTTGAGCATTGCTACCATTAATATTTTGATTTTTAGGAAACTAATTTGAGAATTTGTTGTTTCTTGCCCAGTATGTTTTGTTGGGTTACACAGCTCTCTTCATGAGCTGATATGGTTTGGCTCTGTGTATCCACCCTAATCTCATCTCCAGTTGTAATCCCCACATATTGAGGGAGGGAGGTGATTGGATCATGGGGCGGTTTCCCCCATGCTGTTCTCCTGAGAGTGGGTAAGTTCTCACAAGATCTGATGGTTTAATAAGGGGCCCTTCTGCCTTCACTTACACTCTCTCCTGCCGCCTTGCGAAGAAGGCGCCTGCTTCCCTTCTGCCATGATTGTAACTTTCCTGAGGCTTCCCCAGCCAAGCAAAACTGTGAGTCAATTAAACCTCTTTCCGTTATAAAGTACCCAGTCTTGGGCAGTTCTTTATAGCAGTGTGAGAATGGACTAATACATAAGCTAATTAAAACAGTAATGTGCAAGCTGATCAAAGCTCCATCTTCCCACTTGGGTACCCTTCCTGCAAAGCAGTCATTCAGTCATTTGTTCATTCATCCACCTATTCACTCTTCCGTTTAATAAAAACACTGAACAAACACCTGCTGTCTCCAAGGCACACCGCTGAACAATGTATTGCATAGAGAATTCATAGTAAATATTATACTGGGGTTATATATAAGGTGATACAAAAATGCAGAAGAAATAATTTTAGACAGGTCATGACATTTGAACTGGGCCCTGAAGAATCTCTTCAATGATCCCTTTAAATGAGCCCACTGTTTCAAAACAAACATTCCCAGCCAATAGAAGGGGCCGGCTCTATTAGAATTCTGGTCCTTAGAATTAGCTCAGACATTTTTGCTGCCTTGAACACCACTTGACTGGAATGCAATGCGGGCATGTTTTCTGGTGTGGGGCTCAACAGTTTTCTTATGCATACTCACCAGCCCTGCTCCTCCAGGCCTATGCAGCATGAGCGATAGAAACGATGCGCCCATTTGTGCCCCTGCCAGCTGCCTGCTCCCACGTGTGGGCCCACAAAGTAGATGAACAACTTCCCCCTGCACACCTCAGCACTGTGCTGTGGGTGTCTATGAACATTTTGCTCTGTCTCTTTTTTCTCTCTTTTTCCCCTCGCTACCTCCCAACCAGGAGCCAGAAATGCATCTCCCTCCATCTCCTATTTAGAAGCTTCAATGAACGAAGCCTTGGGCACACGCGGTGGACTGTGCCTGGGAGATGGACTTGGCGCCCGAAAGGTTGGTTTCTTCTACCTGCACTGTCCTTTTCTCCAGGCGCAGCCGGGCAAGGACCTGCCCGGCCTGGTGGTGTCAAGAGTGGGACTAAGCCCTTGTTCTTCCTGCCACAGAGGCACAGGCAGAAGATTCCGTGTCTGGGGCGATGTCCCCTCAGACTTCCACGTGGCTAGAGAAGGAGAAAGGGTGGTGGCCCACATATCTAGGGGCTCCACTGTATGGCTCCCAGGGGACCTGAGGGCACAGGGATGCTTGGGACTGGATTTGGCCCTTTGAGGGTATTGCATGGGGAGGATTTCCACACCAAGCCCACCTTTATTTATACACAAAATAAACAAATGTACTTAAATTGGATGATTTCTGAAGAGCATCTTGTACATGATAAAATCCTTTGAATACTCATAAAGTGCTAATGGGTCATCAGCAACCCCAGTCACCTGATCTGCAGGGAAGGTCTCCTCGCAGGCTGCAGCATCTGCCCTGGAGGCTCTGCATGGAGTCTCCTCTGGGCTGCACGGAGGTCCTCCCAGCATACACATTCACCCCTCTGTTGTGTGTTTCTGCTTATGTATGTGGTGTTTGTGTGTATGTGGTGTGTGTTGTGGTGTATATTGTTGTATGTGGTGTGCATGGGTGTGGTGTGGTTTGTGTATCTGTGTGCAGTGTGGGTGTGTGGTGTGTTCATCTATGTGCTGCGTGTAGTGTGGGTGTGGTGTAATGTGTGCTGTGGTATGTCTGTGATGTCTATGTTTTTATATTGTGGTATGTGATGTATGTGTATGTTGTGTGTGTTGTACTGTATGCTGTTTGTGGTGTGTGAGATGTGTGTGATGTGGTATTTTTGTGGTGTGTATGGTGTGTGTTTCTGTGTCATATGTATGGTGTATGTGTGTGTTGTGTGGTGCACGTGTCTGTGTGGTGTGTATGGTGTGTGTGTGTGTGTGTGGTGTGATGTGGGGTGTGTGTGGTGCATGTGTCTCTGGTGTATATGGTGTGTGTGGTGTGTATGGTGTGTGTATGTGTGGTATGGTGTGGAGTGTGTGTGGTACATATGTCTGTGTGGTGTGTATGCTGTGTGTGTGTGGTGTGTTGGGGGTGTGTGTGTGTTGTGGTACGGGGTGTGTGTGGTGCGTGTGTCTCCGTGAGGTGTGTCTCTGTGAGGTGTGTGTGGTGTGTGCCTGTGTGTGTGTGGTGTGGTGTGGTGTGTGTGTGGTGTGTGTGTCTCTGTGTGATGTGTGTGGTGTGTGTGTGGTGTGATATGTTGTGGTGTGGTGTGTGTGTGTTGTGCATGTCTCTATGTGATGTGTGTGGTGTGTGTGTGGTGTGATATGTTGTGGTGTGGTGTGTGTGTGTTGTGCATGTCTCTATGTGATGTGTGTGTGTGTGGTGTGGTTTGTTTGGTGTGCATGTCTGTGGGTGCGGCGGGAGTCGTGCTCTTGGGTGAGGTGTCTTAACCCCTTACACTGTTGTGAATGGCCCTGCGACCACGTTTTCGTTCAAAAGCCCCGTTATTCGTTTGCCCCGTCTTAGTGAGAGCAGGTGAACCATGAGGGGAGCCCAGGGAAAGCCAGGGCCCCGGGCAAGGGACAAGTGGAAGAGCTCGCGTCCTCGAACGGGACACCTGGCTGGGGGACGGCCTGGGAGCTGCTCACAAATGGGACAGGCCCTCTGGGCACCGTGGGAAGGGGACATGGGCGCCGCCTGCCCCGTGCCCAGCGCGAGTCCCTTAGGTCCCAGCTCCCTGCAGGAGAGGTGCCTTATTTGGTAGCACGGCCGGCCTCGCCGTGCTTGGCGGTCTTCTCCTGGCTCCTGCCTAGGGGTCTGCGGTTCCTCAGAAGCACTAGGCTACGCTTTCTCAGGGTAAACACGCACTCCGGACAGTGTAGCCGCGGCTTGGCAGGTGATGGCTGCCAGAGAGCAGCTCACACAGTCAGGACTAATTTGGTCATGGGGAGCATCCTAGTGTGACATTTACTGGATCTTCTGGGGGTGCTGACAGAGCACACAGCCGGGGGGACCTGGAGAGGGACGACGGGTGGAGTTAGCAGGGAGACAGGGCCTGGGCTGGGCTACCCTGCAAAACCAAGCTGGGCCAATGTTGTTTCTGGATGGTGGGGTGTCCAGGTCTCCCTGCCTCTGTGATGTGTCAGTCCTGACTTACACACCCCTGGACACCGCTCAAGGTGCACTGAGGTATGGGATGTAACACTGTCCCTGGAAGAAGCAGACTGTCCCCTGACACTGAGCAGGCAAATCAACTTCATCCTCTGGCAGAACAAATGCCGGTTCTCTCACCTTTGGTTAAAACAGGAGCTATTAAACAAATAATTCCACAAATTAAAGCTGTGTTTGATTCCAACGGCCTGCTATGAAGGAACATCTTCCTTTGAGACATTCATCTTTCAGCTCCAGGGCTGCCCGACGTTTTCCATCAATGGTAGGAGGTGAGACAGTGAATAGTTTCGTCCTTG
Source organism: Homo sapiens (assembly GCF_000001405.40). Taxonomy (NCBI): domain Eukaryota; kingdom Metazoa; phylum Chordata; class Mammalia; order Primates; family Hominidae; genus Homo; species Homo sapiens. The sequence goes on along the minus strand of NC_000002.12, from coordinate 7,766,619 downwards.
TGAGCCTTGAGGTTTCTGTTGTAATCACTCATCTTTGCTGGACATAATGCAAAGGCAGCTCTAGAAAACACGCACAGCGACGGGAGTGGCTGTGATTCTGTGGGGCTTCCTGCATAAAAATAGATGCCTGGCTGGATGTGGCCTGTGGCTGTACATCGCCCACCCGGCTTTCATTTGTCACCAAATATGTAGTGGATGCCTACACATTCTAGGCCCTGCAGTTAAAGTGATGATCTCAAAGACAGAATTGTTTCCACAATAGAGTTATATTTTTATGGGAGAAAGAGGCCAAAACTCAAGTAATTATGAAATAAATGACAGAGTACTGATAGTTGCTGTCAAAAAGAGTAGCACAGAGAAAGAGTGTGTTAACACCCAGTCAGCTTCCTTCTCTTTCAGCTCAAATCTTGCATTTAACCCTGTGAGGACAGGGACCTAGTGTCTGATTTATTTTGCATCCACAGCAGCTTGCTTAGGATCTCCCCATCATCATTTCTGACATTCTGGTGAATGCAACTAGATAAGAGAAACAAACTAAAGACATACTAACTAAAAAGCAGGCAGTAATACTGAACTTTTGTGGCTGGTATGATTATATTCTTATATAAGAAATACAAACAGTAAGGAAATTCAGTTCATAAAAAGGGGCATATAAAATTAAAAAGATAACATATATAGCTTCCATATATGAAAAAATATATATGGGGAAGAATAAAACATTAACAAAAACAGTAACAAAACAATATTTAGGAAAAAACTTAAGATATATGTGACTTATAATAAGAAAATTTGAAAATGCTCCAGAGACAGAAAAATACAAGACTATGACAAACAGAAATTCATACTGTATTTTTGAATCAGAAGATTTTTCTCATTATAAATGTGTCAATATTTTCAGGCTAAATTATATGTGTAATACAAGCCCTATATATATCATTTCATATATATTCATATTTAATTCATATATGTAAAGTAATAATTATTGCATATATAAAATGTTTGAACTATTACATATATAAAATTTAATAATTATTACATAAAGGGAAGTTAAAACAAGAGTCTTTTCAAACTAGCAACACCTCAGTTTTTTTCTAAGGGAGGTGCTGCTAGTTTGAAAGGGCTCTTGTTTTACCTTACCTTTGAAGCCATGGTGATACATAATGTTTCATAATGATGACTGGCCTGGTGTTTAGACTCTTGCATGCTATTATTTTTTTAACAGAGCCTGCTTTCAGTCAGTACTTTTAAGTTGACAAGAAATATGGGAGAATAAACTTCCTAACCCTGCCTGTGATTGGATTATGTTAGTTTTTTATCGTTTTTGTGAGAAAAGAAAGTAGCTAATTTCATCTATGAAAAGTGGTACAAAAATTCTAAATAAAATTTTATGATGCTCAATCTGATAATGTATAAAAGTGATCAAATAGGGAATATCCAAGTAATGCATTGCTGGCTCAATATCAAAATATCCATTAGCATGATTTGACACATGAATGATTTAAATAAAATAATCATTTTAATAGATGTGGAAAATTGAAGAAAATCAGTAAGCTGTATTAATTTTTTAAATTCTTAAGAAATTAGAAATAAAATGTAAGTGTCTTTACCAGAAAAGGCATCTATCAAAAATCTACATCATGCTTAATGGTGAATTATAAAATACATTGCACTTACCTTAGAAAAAGATGAGATTTTTCATTATCGTTGATATGGTTTGGCTGTGTCCCCACCCAAATCTCACCTTGAATTCCCACGTGTTGTGGGAGGAACCTCATGGGAGGTAATTGAATTATGGGGGCAGGTCTTTCCCGTGCTGTTCTTGTGATAGTGGATAAGTCTCATGAAATCTGATGGTTTTAAAAACAAGAGTTTCCCTGCACAAGCTCCCTCTCTTTTCCTGCTGCCATCCATGTAAGATGTGACTTGTTCCTCCTTGCCTTCTTTCATGATTATGAGGCTTCCCCAGCCACTTGGAACTGTAAGTCCCATTAAACCTCTTTCTTTTGTAAATTTCCCAGTCTTGGGTATGCCTTTATCAGCAGTGTGAAGATGGATAATACAGTAAATTGGTACCAGTAGAGTGGGGCACTGCTGAAAAGATAACCCAAAAATGTGGAAGCAACTTTGGAACTGGGCAACAGGCAGAGGTTGGAACAGTTTGGAGGACTCAGAAGAAGACAGAAAAATGTGGGAAAGTTTGGAACTCCCTAGAGACTTGTTGATTGGCTTTGACAAAAATGGTGATAATGATATGGACAATGAAAGAAATACAGACTGAGGAGGTCTCAGATGGAGATAAGGAACTTGTTGGGTACTGGAGCAAAGGTGACTCTTGTTATGTGTTAGCAAAGACACTGGTGACATTTTGCCCCTGCCCTAGAGATTTGTGGAACTTTGAACTTGAAAGAGATGACTTAGGGTATCTGGTGGAAGAAGTTCCTAAGCAAGAAAGCATTCAGGAGGTGACTTGAGTGCTGTTAAAGGTGTTCTGTTTGATAAAGGAGGCAGAGCATGAAAGTTTGGAAAATTTGCAGCTCAACAATGCAATAGAAAAGAAAGTCCCATTTTCTGAGGAGAAATTTAAGCCAACTGCAGAAATTTGCATAAGTAACAAGGAGCCAAATGTTAATTCCCAGGACAATGGGGAAAACGTCTCCAGGGCATGTCAGAAGTCTTCATGGCAGCCCCTCCTATTACAGGTCTGGAGACCTAGGAAGAACAAATGGTTTCTTGGGCCAGGTCAAGGGCCCACATGCTGTTTATAGCTTAGGGACTTGGTGCGATGCATTTGAGCCACTCCAGCCATGGCTAAAAGGGGTCAAGCTACAGCTTGGGATGTGGCGTCAGAGGGTGGAAACCCAAAGCCTTGGCAGCTTCCATGTGGTGTTGAGCCTGTGGGTACACAAAAGTCAAGAACTGAAGTTTTTGAACCTCTGCCTGGATTTCAGAGGATGTATGGAAATATATGGATGCCCAGGCAGAAGTTTGCTGCAGGGGTGAAGCCCTCATGAAGAACCTCTGCTAAGGCAGTGCAGAAGGGAAATGTGGGGTCAGAGGCCCCACACAGAGTATCTACTGGAGCACTGCCTAGTGGAGCTGTGAGAAGAGGGCCACCATCCTCCAGACCCCAGAATTGTAGATTCACTGACAGCTTGCACCATGGGCCCGGAAAAACCGCAGACACTCAATGCCAGCCCATTAGAGCAGCTGGGAGGGAGGCTGTACCCTGCAAAGCCACGGGGGAAGAGCTGTCCAAGACCATGGGAATCCACCTCTTGCATCAACATGACCTGCATGTGAGACATGGCGTCAAAAAAGCTCATTTGGAGCTTTAAGATTTGACTTCCCTGCTGGATTTCAGACTTGCATGGGGCCTGTAGACTCTTTGTTCTGGCCAATTTCACCCATTTAAAGCAGCCATATTTACCCAATGCCTCTACCCCCATTGTATCTAGGACGTAACTAACTTGCTTTTGCTTTTACAGGCTTATAGGTGGAAGGGAGTTGCCTTGTCTCAAATGAGACTTTGGACTCTGGACTTTTGAGTTAATGCTGAAATGAGTTAATACTTTGGGGGATTCTTGGGAAGGCATGATTGGTTTTGAAATGTGAGGGCATGAAATTTTGGAGGGGCCAGGGCAGAATGATATGGTTTGGCTCTGTCCCCACCCAAATCTCCTCTTGAATTTCCACATATTGTGGGAGGAACCTGATGGGAGGTAATTGAATCATGGAGGCAAGTCTTTCCCATGCTGTTCTGGTTATAGTGAGTAAGTCTCATGAGATCTGATAGTTTTAAAAACAGGAGTTTCCCTGCACAAGCTCTCTCCCTTTTCCTGCTCCCATCCATGTAAGATGTGACTTGTTCCTCCTCGCCTTCCTCCATGATTGTGAGGCTTCCCCAGCCATGTGCAACTGTATGTCCGATTAAACCTCTTTCTTTTGTAAATTGCCCAGTCTTGGGTATGTCATTATCAGCAGTGTGAAAATGAACTAATACAATCATCAACACTTCCTTATTCTTCAACATTTTCTTCAAGTACTAGAAAATGCATTACATTAACAACAACAAAAAGAAATAAGAAATATAAGAATCAGTAAAATAGTAACAAAATTCTTGTTTGCAAATAATAAAGTTGTCTGCAGACAAAATTCACAAAAATCTATAAACATTCTGTAAGAATTAGTTACAGTTTAGGAAAGTTGCTATATATATGAGTAATATATAAAAAGGGAGTTTTTATGCCAGCAAAGACAAATAATTAGATGTAAAAAATACAGTACTTATAATAGTGACAAAACTATAAGGTACATAAAAATACATCTAATGAAAGCTCTTTATGGAACAATTTTTATAAAAATTATTGATTTAGAGACTTTCAGTTCTAGAAATGTCAGGCAGGATAAAACAAACTCTCTCACAGAGGACAGCAATAGCAAAAAAAGGTATTATATGGGGTTTCTTTGTGAAGTGATGAAATGGTTTAAAAATAACTGTAGGGAGATGGATGCACATATATTTAAATACGTTGAAACCACTGAATTGTATATTTTAAATGTGTGATTTATATGATATGTGTATTGTACCTCATGAAGGCTTTTTAAACAAAACAACAACTGCCATAACTTAGACCAAACCAAAGTTTGTGTCAAATCCTGTTATGTAATATTAGTTAAATTTTATAGTCTAAAATCTAAGCTTTATTTATGAGGATACTCACTTCATTGCTGAGGTGTGCCAACAAAACATATTAGTAAATTTATAGGAACAAAATATTAGACCTATTACTGAGAAAATACAAAACCTGGAAATAGGAATATATCTTTAAAAAGAATCTTATTTAGTGTCAAGGGAAGTTATGAAACATATCAAGGAAATTAGTATTTGGTAAATATTGAGTTAGTATGTTAGACATTCCCTATTAGTGATTACAGAATACTTATATCAAATGAAATTAGATTAAATATATATTTTAAAGGTAAACATCCAAAGTAGAATAAATGTATCATTTTGTATCCTAAGTAATAGAATTTCTTGCATTTACTTTCAATCAACAAAATAGTTAAATGCTCTATTGTTACTACTTTGATTTATTTCAAAACCTCTTCGTACATCTAAAAGTAACTTTAATGTAAATTGTTTTTATATAAATTGTGACTCTTAAAATTAAAAAAACAAAAAAAAGAGGGGAAGAGGATAGTGGAAACAAGTGTAGCAAAGTGTTGATGGCTGTTGAAGCTGAGTTATGAGTATGTGAGGGGTTTTATTGTATGTTCTACTGTTATGTACATTTGAAAATTTTAATAAAAAATTTTTAAAGCTAACAAAAAGAAATAGCTGGGCTAAAATCTAACAGAAGATGATACTTTGTACAGATAAATTCCATTAAAATGTGCTTCTTTTTCTTGAAGACATTTGCTAATGAAGAAAAAACAGCAACAAAATGTAGATTATAGGATGGAAAAATAAAATAAAAGTCCAGTGTCTGTCTGATGCCCACCCACACAGTAAGCTGGTATTCAAAATGGCTACAACCACAAATTAAACATAATTTGAAGTTATTCCATTATTATATGGGTTCCATTAGTTTTGCATGTCCTGGATTTCCAGAATATCTCCTGGATTTGAAATTAAAGTGATAGTAGAATGTTTCTCCTGTAGCTATAAAAAAGAAAATATTTTGTTAAGAAATATTACATTTTTATTACCTGAAATTATTTCTAGGAATAATTTTAAATATTAGGATCAGCTCACAAAAATAAAGAGCCAGAAAATAAATAAAGGTTTATTTATGCATGAGAGTCAGAGAAAACAATGGACAACAGTAATACAATGGCTCAGATATGGGAAACATACACAAACTCTAAAGTAGGTATGCCTGTTATATACAAGGGTCTTTTTCTAAAAGGGAGCAAAGGAACTTATTAGCATTAAGCTTTGATAAGTCAAGGGAGCTTCACAAAATTTCCAAATGTCCAAGTTGTTAAAGAGGCAAAAATTGGAATGGTAAAAATTCTCCATCAAGCTAAACAAGGCAAAATAAAATGGTTAATTTAACTCAAATATAAAAGTAGTTACATTAAAGCAACAGGTAATAAATTCTTCAATAAAAAAACAAAGATGGTCTCAAAAGGGAAAAAAAGGGGAAACAGGTACAGCTTATATACAAGTATATTAGTCCTTTATTGCTTTGTAAAAATTCTCCGAAATCTTAGTGACTTAAAGCAACACACGCTTATTATCTAACGATTTCTGTGGACTAGGGATCCAGGCATGATCTAGCTGGATCCTTTGTTCCAGGGTCTCTCACAAGGCTGCAGTTAAGATATTGGCTGTGCTGGAGTCCATCTCATCTGAAGATGTGATTGAGGAAGGATCCGATTCCAAGCTTACTCACGTGGTTATTGGTGGTTTTCATCTCCTTCACTGATGTTGAACTCGTGGCCTATTTCTGAATAGCTACTCACAGTTTCTTGCCTCTGCATAGGGAAACTGGCAACATAACAGCTTGTTTCATCAAAGTGAACATGTGAGAAAAGCCAGAGAGGGAGATTAAGCAAGGCAAAAGTCACATTCTTTTATAACCTAATATTACAAGTGATATCCCATTATTTTTGCTGTATTTTATATCTAGCAGTGAATAACTGGTCCAAACTCAAGGGTTGGAGATTGCAAAAGATTGTGAATTCCAGGAAATTGGAGGCAATCTTAGAAGTCTGACTGATAAAATATATTATCTGTTGAAATTAAAAGAAATAAAAAAATCCTTTTGAACATTGGATCATATAAACTCTAAGTCAAGAAGCATTGTCAAATACAAGTGAGTTCATAAGAATAGAAGAATGAGTTACAATGATGAAATGAAAAATTCTACAAGTATATGTTTCTAATAACATGGTGTCAGATCACCCGAAAACAACATTTAATACATTTACAAGAAGAAGTAAACTGACAAACTCTTGGGTAATTTTAAACTTCCAATGTTTTCAGATTTATAGATAAAGTAGGCAAAACAAATACAATGATTATATAGTAGATTTGAATAATTAGAATAACAAATTTCTCTTAAATACATAGACTTTTACACTTACTAGATGTGTAATGCATTTTAAGTACATTTGCACATTTGGAAAATAGAATGGAAAACAGATGAGGTCAAATAACTAAAGTCATATGGATTATGTTCTCTGATAACCAGGTGATTTTGGTGAAAATCAATAATAAAATATATGACTAGAAAATTACTATATGTTTGGAAAATAAAAATTATACTCCTAGGTTTTGAGTATGTCAAGGGAGAAATCTTAGTAAAAGCTGCAAAATACTTTGAACTGAATAATGGTAAAAACACTATGTACCAAAACTTCTGTAATAAAAAGAATATTGAAGTGAAATTTATGTCCTTTAGCTCAGGTGGGGGAAAAGAAGAAGGGCTGAATGTAATTTACCACACTTAAATTAATGATTATATTAATAAGTGCAGAAAGTTATACCTTATAATATTTCACATAAATTAAAAATTAGCAACATCATAAAATCTATAGTAAAAGTACATAGTTGGGAAATATCAAAGTTTTCTCTTTGAGATTTTTAATATGATTGACCACTATCATTTTATTAAACTGAAGATACTACCCATCATAGAAATAGACTTATAAAATTGTAAAAGGAAGAAACTCATCATTTTCAAATGCTATGCATTTACATACAGTAAACAATTTACAGAAAATTATTAGAATTAATCAGATTTAGCTCATTTGCTGAAAACAATATTAATGTATAAAAATCAACTTTTTTTCTACATACCAGCAACAAACAGTGAGAAAATGAGATTTAACCAACATTATTTGCAATATTTACAAATATAAGATAACTAGGAAAAAGTACACAATTTTGTTAACAGATATTAAAGTAGATCTTATTAATAAATAGATATACCATGTTCATGGATAGCACAACTGAATTTGTGTGTGCTTGTGTGCACCTAAGTGTGTCTCTGTTAACTCGACGTGCTGATTCTGAAATTTATAGGAACATATGTTTTTGTATTTAGAGCTGTGAACCTACTAATCAAACATCCTTGCCATGCCAGAAGCCTCATGATTAATAGAAGAAGCAACAGAGGAGTTGAGAGTATTGGAAAACTTCTTCCTTAAACTGCAGTGTTTTGGAGACCTACTTTAATTGATTGCTATTTGTGGTAAACCCCAGCATAAATACTGTGATCCTTTTTAAATTTGGAATTAATTTGAAAATTGGCAAGTGGAAGGTCTCACGGATAGTCATTTCAGAGCTCTGAGTCATTTAAGAATCTGAGTCCTGGGTAGAAATGACTATCCAATGTGGTTCTTACTATTTGTTTCCTTTCTCATATATTTCAATGAAAGTCTAAAAAAAATTGCATTACATGAACATTGATTTCAAAACCTTGTTTTGCTTTTAATGTGGAAGATGGTGTTCAGGTTCTGTTACTAACTGGTCATAGAGTATTTAGCTAATAGCCTAGCAAAAGTCCATATGTATGTCTTTAATTATCCTTTTATTAGAGATTGATATTACACACAGGACAGCCCAACAATCAAGGATGAAGGAAAAGGGTCTTCTATTGCTTTATGACAGCCAGCAAGCATAGGGGAAAAGAATTGCAGTCCAGAATCTTCAGCCTATTCCCGAGCTCTAGAACTAAATTGTCACCTGCTTCTTATCTCCATAAGTAACTCATCGCCAAACCTTATTGTGTTTACCCCCAAAGTGTGTCTCAAATCTGCCTGTCTCCCCATTCCCAAAGCTTCCATTCAAATCCATCATCACTTTCTTAAACATTTGCAAGGACATCCTCTAAAGTCTCCTTGTTTCTAATACCAAATTCTCCCATTCGCCCATTTTTCTACCCATAATTTAAGGTCATCTTTGGAAATTTTTTAAAAATCTACTTATAGCTCCTGAGTAAATTCACAATCCACTTCCCTATTGAAACGCAAAAGCATGTAGGGTTACAAGACCATACATGATCTAGCTACCATCTATCTTCCCATCTTCTACTCAAACTCCTTTGCTTTTGGGTCATTATATTCCAACGATACCAATATGTGTGTATTTCTTCAAACACACCAAACTCTTCTTATCTAAGGCCTGAAATTTTTTGCCTAACTACTGTTCATCTTTTAGGTTCCAGCCCAAGTGTCACTTTCTTAAAAAGAATCTCCCTGAAATCCAAATGATCTCTGTCATATTTTTTCTTATAGTACTCTGTTCTTTTTCTTTGTTGCACTTATCACAAGTTGTAGCTACATATTTATTTGTCTGATACTATAAGAAATGTCTCTTTCCCACTGGTGTTGAAGATCCCTGAGGACAGAACCACAAAAATAATTATTTATTTTTTGCCTACCACTGTATACTTAGAAATAATGGACAGTGAATAAATATTATTGAATTAATTAATGAGCAAAATCATGTGATCTCAAGGAATTGATTTACTTTCCCTGCTATCTAGCTTATTCAAATGTATCCAATGACCTCCTGTTTTACAGAATATTAATGGGACAGCAATAGATACCAGTGAGAAAATAAATGACATTATCTGGTTTTGATAATATAATTTTCATTGCTGTTTGAAGAATAAGTTGTAGGGAGGCAAGAGAAAACAATGAACCTTAGGAAGAATGTGGAGACAAAGATGTCATTAGCTATGACACATGCTTTCACAGAAGAATTGATTAATTTTGCTAATAAGTTGGGCTTGGGAGTGAAGCAAAGGAAGTAATTAAGGATTCAGAATATTGACTTGAGCAACTGAGTGGCCATTTATTTTGACAAGAACAATATGAGGATGAACATATTTGAAGGACGTATGACTTTTGAAATGACTTCTACACACCACATGGATACATCCAGTAAAGACTTGATGGTCTTCACATCTCCATTATCCTGAAATGTACATCCTCCTCCTGGGATAGTTCTTGAACTTCATCTTTTATCACTCTGACCATACTGAGCGTGATTTTAGTAAAGCAAATGTATTCCTCCTAAAGGTGTTCTCGCCCAGTGATGATCATTGGCTGGCTCCTTCTTGACATTCAGTTCACAGCTTCAGTCTTCTGCACAGAGCAGCCTTCCTGGACCACAAACTCTAAAATATCTAAAGCTTGTTGACATCTCTACAGCAGCTCTCCACATGCCATCTCTCACTATCAGATGTGTTCCCCACTTGCTCATTTTTTAACTATGTTCACTCTTTCAAGTAATATTTCCATGAAGGCAGAAACAATACTGGTTTAATATGGAAATAAACAAACACACAACCTGAAAACACCTGAGAGGTTGGCCAACATTTCCAGGGAACCAGGTAAACTGTTCTTCCCAAGATGAGATAGCAGAAACCAGTGCAAATTTTCACAGATGCAGGAGCAATGAACCAGAGTTTCTCTGATTTATTTGGTAGCAGATGTTCTTTCTGTTCTCTGACCTCTGTCCTGGGGACGGCAATTTAGAAAATGAAGGGGTGGTAGCACATGATTATGTCACATACACTTATTTAATCGAAATGATCTCATTTTGTAATAGAGACTGAAAACAGAGAGAGAGCTCTGAGTGGCAGCTGTTGCTGTCCTCCATGGGCCCTTCACCTGGACTCTGGCCTCGTGGATAATTCTTTATTGTTCTCTTTTTCTAGCATTCTTGGTCTTTTTTTCTCTTTACTTCCCCCGCGCTCCATGGTTTCAAGACTACTTGTCTTCCTTCTCCAGCAGTTAAATTTTAATTATCCCTTTCTTCAAAATCTCATGGTATAGAATTTGTTTTACTTACATAAATTCTGTTCAATCTATAATTTCAGGCATCCTGCTACAGGCTGTGTGCAGGAACATCCTCAGCCCATGCTCAGAATCTACCTCCCTTGTTGCTCATCGGAATCCTCCAGCTCTGTAATTTCATGAACTAGGACTGAAGCTTCTGTGCCCTGCAGTGTGTTCTCCTTAGCCTGGATGTGCTGTAAATTATTTGATAAAGTTAAAGATTTTGTCCTCCACCCCTTTCAGAATTTCTGTTTTTTGGGTCAGACCTGACTGCACTGATGCAGATTCTCCACAGATGCAAGTTTCCTCCCGAAAGACAGATTTTTGGGGCTGATTCTGGTTGCCGGCTCTTTCAACACCCATCTCAAAATATGTCACAGAAGCCTATTTTGGGGTGAAACATTTTGATTTTCTTCACTGTAATCCATCCTTTCCTCTTTCTTGGTTTAGTTCCTTATTTATTGTAGTCCATGTTCCATCAAAGATTTCATGGGAAGAAAAATTTTGAGAACTTGTTTATCTGAAGGCATCATTATATTCTTTCACTTAATTGATGGTTTGAGTGCAAATAACGTTGCAGGTGAAAAATAATTTTTCCTATTATAATGTTAAAGATGCTGCTCTTTTTTTCTAGATTCTTCTGTTGCTGTTGAAAAACTCTTGTTTCTATTACTTCTTGCTAAGTAGCAAATCATCTCAGATCTTAGTGTGTAAAACAATGATTTTTTTAAATTTTATTTTCAGTTCAGGGGTACAAGTACAGGTTTTACATAGGGAAACTTGTGTCATGGGGATTTGTTGAGTAGATTATTTCATTATCCAAGTATTAAACCTAGTACTCTTTAGTTATTTTTCCTGATCCTCTACCTCCTCCCACCCTTCATCTTCCACCCTCCACCCTCCAAAAGGCCTCAGTGTGTTGTTCCCCTCTATCTACCTGTATGTTTTCATCACTTAGCTTCCACTTATAAGTGAGAAAATATGGTATTTGGATTTCTGTTCCTCTGTTAGTTTGCTAAAGCCTCCATATCCATTCATGTCCCTGCAAAGGACATGATCTTGTTCTTTTTTATGGCTGCACAGCATTCCATGGTGTATATGTACCACATTTTCTTTATCCAGTCCATTGTTAAAACAATGATTTATTACCTCTTATAATTCTCTGGGTTGGTTGTCAGTTTTCTGGATGGATTCACATGTGCTATCTAACATGACACACCCAGCTGAACTGAGCTCAACTAGGAGGGTGAGATGGCTGAGTCTTTCTCTGCTTGTGATGCTTCATCCCTGAGGGGACTTGTCTGGGCTGGGCCTCTTTCACATGCAGTCACCAGTGCTCCAGAAAGGCAAGACCCCAAGCACAATACCAGTTTTTTAATCATTTACTTGTATCACATTTGCTGATGCCTCATTGGCCAGAACAACATCCATGGCCAAACCCGGCATCAGTTTGAGAGATGATTATACATGTGCATGGGTACTGGGAGATGCGATTCACCTGGCATCTTTAGTGTAACAATCTGCAATAATCTAGCCTCTGGCCCCAACGGTACATGTTCCTTCATATGGAAAACATACTCATGACCCCTAAAAACTCATCAAACCACAACATTGAGCTTAAAGTCCACTGATCTTATTATCTACATTAGCCCCAGGTGTGGGTTAGGCTCTGTAGATGCTTCTCTCTTTGATTCAGAGATGCATGAATTGAAAAAACATGCTATCTGCCTTCTACACATCTATACATGATGATGAGACAAGGGCAGGACATGTGCAATAGACATCCCTATTAAAAAGGAGGAGGAACAAGAAGAACATAGAGGTCACTGGTCCATAGCATTTCTGAAATCCAGCTGATCACATATTGTAAGGAACCTGTGTCTGGGCACAGAAAATTTTTCTTTATTAGGCTCAGTTCTGTCCCTTGGAAGTAGTTCTGTGGTTAATGGTTTCCCATGTTTCTTAAAGAAATCCTCTGGGATTCTTACCTCTGAAACATGTATTTCTTCCTATATAAAATAGGTCATATTTTCACCTGAAGAGCCTCCTTGTTTCCTGCAGAAAGTTGAGAGCTCGAGAGCATCTTTATTTTTTGAGTGATTTCTACCTCTTTTATTCCAAACTTACACAACTCCTTTAAAAAGTTTGTGGGCATTTTATAAATCTGATTGTGATTCACTCCATGTCCCAAAAACCACACCCATGATTCTTTTTTGGAGAACCATAGGCCATATGTACAGCTGCAGTGAAATAACGCTTTTAAGAGTCTTAGAAGGGTTTTTCTCTAGCTGAAGGAGTCTTCTAAGCAGAGGTCTTTTCAGGGTCTTAACAAAGGATCTTATGAACATATCCTTGATTTACTCTTTACCCTGAGGCCATTTCTTATTTTGAGAGTCTTTTGCCAGCTAGAGAGCCTGGAAATGTGAAACAGTTTGATTTTCCAACCCAGTAAGTCTGAATTGGAAATTCTTCTTGCATACTGAATAGTTCTCTCTTTAGCTCATATTTATCTTCCCATATCTTTTCATACGGAGCTAACAGAAGCCAATTGGCACTTTCAATACTCTGCCTAGAAATCTTATCTGCACGCATAGGTTAATTTGGTACATTTTCTATTTCCCAGAAGTTTTGCCACTTCCTTCGTAACTATAAAACATGGGTCATCATCTTTTAAGCCTTCTATCAGTTTCATTACTGCACCTCCAGCCTCCATTATCAAGCTCCTTACCACGGTGTCAGCCTCCACCACTGCCCCTTCCCAAAGCCAAGAGTATATACATCTTAGGTCTTTGTGATAGCAGTGCCCTATTTTCGGACCCCTTTTTGTTTTAGCTATCTATTGCTGACAAACAAAGCACCCTAAAATGGAATAATGCATGTAACTATAAAAAGCTGCATAGAAATGTGTGAAATAATATTAGCACTATTATTTCAAAGAATATTTAATCTGAAGATATAAAAATTGCTCTGTTTTTTTGTGAATGATAGACGAGAGTGGACACCAGGCTATTAACATTGTTTACTGATTTTTGGAAATGTGATACTTGAAAAAGTCCAATTAGAAGCTTTCATCATCTTCCATCTCAAACAAAAGACATGCTGCAACTCAACTGAGAAATGGCATTTTGTTGTGAGAGATGTTTTTAATTAGAGAGCTGATTAAAACTGTATTTGTCTGGAACTTAGAAAAGGTGAGTTGGTTTGCCTTTGCTCTTGTGAGTGCATTTTGGTAACAAATACCAAGCAGAGAGTTAGAAGGGCTGATTCCCAATGCCATTTCTGGCAATCAGGTGACCTTAGGCGCCTCATTGCTCTAGCCAAGGTTCTCAGTGTTCTCATTTGTAATGTGACAAGGTTAGGCCATCTGCTCTTCATCATTTCCCTTAACCTTAACAATCAATGACAGAATAATTTGAGACTTTAAGTAAATCTTCTCCATCTGGAAATTGGACTTATCCTCAAAAGAAGACACAGTGTTAGTACTGGAAAGAACTCCTGAGATGATTTTTATAAAATACCTTGAGTTATTTTTGATAAAGGACCATGACAATCCCAAGATTTCATTTACTAACAAGTTTGATCCTAAGGTAAAAATTTGGGGTAAGTCCCTTCCTTAAAATACGTTGATCACTCCTCAGAAAATATAGTGATTCAGATAATCAATCCAGCTTCAATTTAATTGCATTAAAGACTGAAAGTAAAGTTTGCCAGGTTAGTGCTGAAGGAAATGTTTACCTGATAAGCAGAGGTGCAAGTTTGCCCATGACAATCTGTGTGTCTATGTCTGTATCTTTATCTATTTAATACATTATTTTTATTCTAGAGAATTTGAGCACAGACAAGCTATAAAACATGCACGAGAACATACTCTACAGAGATTAAAGTATCTCCAAAGACATGAAAATAGAAAGCATCCTTTCTACTACAAAATGAATTTGACTCTCTAAATTAACAGTGTTGGCCGGGTACTGTGCCTCACACCTGTAATCCCAGCGCTCTGGGAGGTCAAGGCAAGAGCATCATTTGAGCCTAGGAGTTTGAGATTAGCCTGAGCAACATAATGAGATCCTGTCTTTATATAAAAAGTAAAATAAAAATAAAAATAAAATAAAATAGCCGTGTAATTTATTTTTGAGTAGTTGAATTATTTATTAGATTATTGCAGCTTATCAGACAAAGACACAAACTAAGAAATAAAAAGACTCACACCACGTCTAAGATATTACTAAATTCAACACCAATTTAAACAATGACAGATATAACAGCTGAGTTCTCTTTTGGGCTATAATACTGGAAAAATATATACTTTTGGCCAAATAATTTAATTACATTAAATTTTATCTTAATAGGCTACTGAAAGATTAAAAAGATAAATGTGAAGATATTTTGTAAACTATAAACTACTATTAAAATGTGAGGGCTTAATTTCATTTACAGTGTTACTGTTTTATTGAAGACTTCTTAAGTGGACAAACTATGACAAATCTGAAGCAAGTTTTTTTAAAATTCCATATTCTATAAGTTATTTTGAAATATTGGTGAATATGAATATTATTTGTTTATTCCTAATATGTTTATATAGCATGTAATGTTTTATATAATATATTCCATTATATTAACAAAATATATAATATGTTAGTTAATACATAATATATAACATTAATATATGAAATACTAAGAAAATATTCATAATAATATATTGATATATAATATAATCACATATGTTGAATTATATTAATCTAACATATAATATAGTATGTTATATTTATTATATATTATATATAATTTGTCTATACAGAGAGATATTTGTATCTTTTTAAAAATGCTATGTTGTAAATATTTTGCAATTTAATGAATAATTGCTGTAAACTTGACTTTAGGTGAAGGTATAATAGTTAATGTTCTCCAAGTTCCCAAATTTTCATTATTTCCATTGTTTACTCATTTAGTTGGTAATTGTTTCTATTTGTTGCTCATTTTAATGTATTTTACATTTTTAAAATCATAAATGATGTGGTATTAATACTTTTTATGCACAAATTATTATCAACATCTTTGACTATTTTGTTAGGATTCCCTAGAATTTTCCAGAATTACTGGGCTAAAGTTTTGTACTTGATAAAAATTGACATATTATTTTAGGAAAAGATTGCAAGTGTGTACAAATTCGAGCTTTTACAGGTAAATGAGAGAATTCTTTTCACATGTCATGCTCTCCAGCATTAAGGGGTTTCCAAAGTTACTTCTAATTTGTAATGCAAAAACAGCTTTTATTACCTTAATTACAAGATTTTATCATTATAGAGCTGCCCTGTCCAAAGCTGTAGCCACCAGCCACATAATTTAATTTGAAATTCACTAACTTACATAGAATTAAAAAATTTAGCTCTTCAGCTGCACCAGCCACATTTCGAGCACCCAGTAGCCCCATGTGGGCCACAGTGTTGAGCATCTCAGAACAGGACACTTCCATTGGTACAAACATTTCAGCTGCTATAGAGGCTAGATTTTATTTTTATAAATTAATAGCTAGTTGTAATTATGTTCTTTCATTTGCAATTGATCGACACAGACACATAACTCAAACCTGCTTAGAAAATAAAATTAAGGATAATTCATTAGCTCATTTCATAGGCAGTCAGGGTGGATATGGATTTCCAGGCATGTCTTAGCATGCTATTTTAAACAATGCTTCCATCTCTCTACAAAATCAGTAACATATTTTTTTTTTCCATTTTCTTCTATCGGTCTCCATTTGGTTGCAAAGATGACAGCTTGTGGTTTATTTCATTCTCGTAAATGTTCTGTCATTAGCAATTTGGTCTGACTTATTTTAATCACATAAATTCATTATGGAAGAATTTTTTAAAGGCTTATTATAAAAATTGTTTATAGTATTCAATGTTTCCATTCAAAATATAATAAACCCTGTATATTATTTGTATTTTACAGATCATAGAAATATTTTTGTTTTCATATACTTTCTACATAAATCTTGCAAAATTTATAGCTAGGTACTTTATGTTTCTACTACTATTTTGGATAGGGTCTTTTTTTCATTTTATTTTCTAAAAGCTTACTGCTCATTTCTAAAAAAAATATTGAATAATCTGTATCTATATTTTATCTGTTTACTTTGCTTATCTAAGTTATTGAGTCTAACATTTTTTTCAGTTGATTCTCTTAGGCTATCTAAGGTATAATCTAAGTATATTCTTTGAATTATAAATGGACTTTTTAAAAATTATTATTTCAAGTAGTTCCCGTTATGTTGGTTCTTGTCTCTTTTCATTCACTAGAACATTCAGAACTATTTTTAAAAATTTGATTTTAAACATTAAGAGTGCTTGCAGTTGTATACTTCGAAAAATTCACCTTGAAAAGACGAAATACAAATTTGAAGTGAGTTCTTTAAATCTTTATTTGGTCCTATATAGAACAATGAAAGGTCTTTGTTGCCATTTTTTTAAGAAAAATCGTATTGCTAGAGATTCACTTTTCTTTCTTCTTGTTGGATGACTAAACAGGAAGAGCGTAGAGCTGCCAAGCCAGGCTTTGCTCAGCTGCATCCTGCCCAGCCTCAGGCGCTCAGTGACCTCAGTAGGATCGGCTGCTCCTGTCTTCGAGCCATCTCTTGGCGAAGGACTTTCCAGGTTCCTCGGCAGGCAGTTGACGATGTAGCACCAGGGGACTCCTGTCCCTTGGTCACGTCCCTTTTTTCAACGTGACCTCAGTCTGGTCCTCTCCAGGCTGTCTTTACTGAGGACAGGCCATGCAGATCCCTGGTCAATCTTGCTCTGCACCCAGGTTGTCAGCATCCTCAGGGTCCACATCTTTCTCCCCTGTACAGAGGGGCTGGAACCCTGCTGTGGCTGGATATGGGAACAGCCACCCGCTGTGGTGGGAACAGATGTCATAGGGCTGGCCTTCAGGAGCTGTGGTCGAGCTCTCATTTCTCACCACACTTTCACACTATTAGTTGTTTAGAGGTACTTTACGGCTGCAGAGCGTCTGTGACGGCTAAAATTGTCTGTTTTACTGGTTACAAAGGGCCTGTTCCAGAGTCTGAATTTAATGGAATCTCCACGCTCTCTCGGCAGCCCCACAGCCTCTCCAACGCAGCGTCACAACGTTTCTGGACGTGGATTGCTTTGTAAATGTCTTTAATTTCACTTTTCACTTTCAAAATACCAAAACTTGAAATGTATATGATAGGTTGCTTGTTCAACATGTAATACAGAATTATGATCGGTACACATATCAAAGAAAAGACCTTGGACCTATAGTGAATTAATGATGAACAAACGTATTTTTGCATGTTTTAAAGTAACACAAAAATTTTAGCTTAATAACCTATTTTTAATTCCCAGTGTTAAATTCTGCTAAAAAAGTTTAGCCTAAAGCTGTCTCCTTACATATTTTAAATTCAGCCTGAAGGTTTCTTCACGTACAGTGAACTGAAACCTAACTAGATGTTAAACAAACTGGAACCAACCCTTGTGCCCATTACTGAGTTTTGGCCAAAGGCAGCCAACTGTCCAAACCAAGTTCAAATAAGACACTACCCAGCTGTAACAAGTCTGGCTGTTTCTGACCTCACTTCCGTCTTTTCTACCTGGGATTTCCTTTTTCAGTCTTTTTTGTTTTAAGACAGAGTCTCACTCTCTCTCTCTTTTTTTTTTTTTTTTTTTTTTTTTGAGATGGAGTCTCGCTCTGTCGCCCAGGCTGGAATGCAGTAGCATGATCTCGGCTCACTGCAATCTCTGCCTCCCGGGTTCAAGCGATTCTCTTGCTTTAGACTCAAGAGTAGCTGGGACTATAGGCACCCACCACCATGCCCCACTAATTTTTGTATTTTTAGTAGAGATGGGGTTTAACCATGTTGGCCAGGCTGGTCTCAAACTCCCGATCTCAAGTGATCTGTCCCCCTCGGCCTCCCAAAGTGCTGAGATCACAAGTGTGAGCCACTGCACCCGGCCCTTTTTCAGCCCTTAAATCTTCCCCAATCACCCAACAGCACCAGAGTCTCTCTGGTTCAGGGAACTGCCCAATTTGCAAATCATTGTTTGCTCAATTGACCTCTGTGAAATTTAATTCGTCTAAGGTTTTTCTTTTCACAACTGTTATTTGTGTGCATTCTCAAATCTTGATAGAAATCTTTTTGAAGTTTTATAGAATTAATTGGGTAGCAGTCCATGTGTCTGTGCTCTGGATTTTATTAAATATTTTACAATTAATCCTTTGTTAAATTTTGAAACAAAAAATCCATAGTGTTATACTTGTTAGCATTCTACTCATTCTTTCTACTGTTTTGGCAACTTAAAAATATCTAGAACAGGCATGGTGGCTCATGCTTGTAATCCTAGCATTTTGGGAGGCCGAAACAGGAAGATTAAAGATTGCTTGAGCCCAGGAGTTCAAGACCAGCCTGGGCAACAGAGCAAGACCCAATTCTGCAAAAAATATAGAAGAATTAGCTGGACATTGTGGCATGCTCCTGTAAGGCCCAACTACTCAGGCGGCTGAGGATAGCTTGAGCCCAGGAGGTTGATACTGTGGTGATCCACTGCACTCCAGCCCAAGTGACAGCAAAATTCTATTAAAAAAAAAATCCAGGAAAGTATCTATACAACAAGATGTAAAAGTAATTGGCATTTAACCCCGCACCTGACAGCCTTTCAGGTTTTATACACTACTGTTATTATTCACTATTATTATATGAACTTTATGATTTTTAATACTTTTATTTTTCTGTGTCATAGATTTGCTCTCTCATTTTCATTATTTCAAAAAATTGATCCTTAAAATTTCTGATCTATCTTGCTATTTTCCATATTTTGATAAGTTTTATTCACTTTCAGTTCATTCTTTTTGTTTTCCTTAGAGTTGTCTTTTATTTTTCAGTTTTTTTGAAATCAATCTCTGTTTCATATCTATTTGTTATTCTGTGACAAATAGGGTACTTTAGGATATGAATTTAACTCTGGATATAAATTTGGCAGCACCCCTTATGGTATATAACTGTAATGAGAGGCAGTTTTTTATTTTAATTTTTATTTAGATTACATATGCATGTTCCCTGTGTTTCAGAGCTACATGTGTGTTTCTCATCTCTGACTAGATGAGGGACCTCTCCCGGGTTTTAGATATCCATGGGCTAATGTCTTTCCTATGTGATTCTAAGTTCAGATGGAAGTGCACAGCTCTCCCTTAAATTATGTTCGGTTGAAGGTTTTCATCAGTTTTATTTTGCTAGCTTGAGTTTGAATCCTCCAATTGGTCAGTGTCTGACTATAGTAGAGAGTTTGAAGCATCCTGCAATTCTTTTTTGAGCTGATTTTCTACACGAAAGTGAATACAAGCTGCATCCATTGCCCATGAGCTTTTTCTTTTTGCCACTGCCTAGTTCCTTAAGTTAAAAAAAAAAAAAAAAGAAAAAACATTCTGCTTAGAAGGTGAGTATCCCAAGATGCAAGACTGCTCTGCTCATGCCCTTTTTCTTCCTTGTCTCATGGGCTGGGAGTCTGAGTGGGAATAGACGGGGGGTGCGTGAGCTGGTATGGAACACTGGGCCACTCAGGTAGCGTGTTCACTCAGCAAGAGGATCTCTGTCTCTGTTCATCAGTATTTGTTTTTGTTTACTTATTTTTTTATTGTTTGGTTGTATCTTGGCTCATTTTACAGTCACTACAAACCCTGAGATCCCTAAGAAGAGGCAGGCAACAGAACAGTGTTCAAAAGTCTTTTCCTACCATTTTTGGAGCCATCTGGCTTATTTTGACATGCAGGATAGAAAGTGGGATATTTAGTCCAAGAATATATTTCTTGGTACCTACACACATAGAAGATATATGTAGGGGGAAATACTGCCCCTTCTTGAGTCTATTGTCCATTTTTATCTCTAATGTACTGTGTTGATAGATTTTACTTTAATATGCCTTTATGGGTATTTTAATGAGATGGAAGGAACATTATCTGCCATGCTAAATGGAAGCCTCCTTTAATTCTTGAGTAACATGAGGAATTGGTAGGGACTTCTATTGATTGGAAGCATCTGTTTTGTCAGTATGGGATTCATTTCAGTCTTGGAGATAACCTTAAAAGCAGTATGAGAGAACAAGGAGGAATAGAAATCACTGTCACTTTTGTAGCCCTAAATCTATTGTTTCTCAAAGTCTTGAAGCTGTTCTAGCAGTTTAATTTGATTGGTACAGATGTGAAAGTGGAGCAGCCCTTGGCCTTGGGCTATGCGCCTGTGATTTATTTATTCAACAAATATTTATTGTGTGCCAGGTTGCATACTCATCACTGAGTACAAAATGGTCAGAAAGACACTTGGCTCCTGCCTTTTCGGTTACATATCTTAATGAGGAGGCAGACCAAAACCAAAAACTCTGCAGCAGCATGAGTAAAGAAAAGTCAATTGAATAAAAGCATTGGCAAGTTGCATTGTGTAATGAATAAAAAACTAGATACGTTTTTAAAAATATTAAGTAGAAAGCCGTTTTCCTCTGGTCAGGGAAGTCCTCTTCAAGACAGTGATATTTAAACAGAGCCAAGCTTTGAGAATTAGAAGCGGTTAAATGAAAGGTAAACAGAAACCACTATCGGTATAGGTAATAGCATTTATAAAGGCCCAGAGAAACGAAAAGAAAAAAAAAAAGAAAAAAAACCCAAACCATAAAGCTCTGTGTTTGAGAGTCAGAAAGATAACCAATGTAGCTGGCGGTTCTGACCAAACAGGAGTGTGGCAGGAAATGAGGTCAGTGAGACAGGCAGGGGCCAGATCTTGCCTGGAATTGTAAGCATGGTGAGTTTATGATGAGAAGGTCCTAGTGAGAACGTCATGGTGACAAGGTTGTGGTAAGATGGTCATGGTGAGAAGGTCATGGTGAGAAGCTCGTGGTAAGGATGGTAAAGAAGTATTGGAAGGATTTATATAGGACAGTAATATGATATCAGTTTTGTAATTTATGAACATTACTTTTACTGCTGTTGTAGAACAAATTAGAGAAACGTAAGTTAGGAACCCTGTTAAGATGGTGCTGCAATAATCCAGTGAGAGTTCATGGTGACCTCTGTTTTGATAGGCAAGGGGAGAGATGAATTGGTGCATGTAGAGAGAGGTCATTGGCTTAGTGGTAGGCATGTAAGGGGTTTTGAGCCTGATGACCTCTATTTGCAATGATCATGAGGGTGCATGTAGATGGATGGTAGAGGTCTGATTAACAAGAAGGTTTGAAAAACTAGTACTGGGAAAACATAATTTTTTGGCTACTATATAGCATCAGTTAAGGTTTGAGATCATGAGTTTAAAATGAATCCCCTCCGATTTAAAGTTATACCCAGCCATTAGAGAGACTTACCATATGTTGACATGAGTCCTTGCCCTATTACTACACCTGCTGCTAATTCTTGGGCTGGTAATTACTTTGCTGGTGCAGTTTTTGTGCCCTGGGACAGCAGAGCTTGGCTATTTGGCATGCTTCTTTCAAGAAAATGCCAACTTTTACCCCAAAAGTTCCCAAATAAGACTCTGTCTGCAAAATATTGTCAGTGTTTACTGTCCTACTTCTCCAAGAAACCTTTGAAAATCCTGAAATCTGAACATCCTCCTCCCTTCCTCACAGTAGTCTTTGTGTCTTTCTACTAAAGCATTGTGACTTTGTGCCACTGTCTGGCCCCGCCAACAATCCCTGAGCCATCTCATGCCGTACTGGCTTTCTCTCTGAGACTGTGCTGTCTTTCTTTTTGTCTTTGGTATATAACACATGTTGACCCTTTTTCTCAAAGTTCTAACACCCACTTATTTTTCAGGTTAAAAATACCCATGAAAAGGTATTTGTTAACACTTCCTACTAGTTTATGTACCCTCTGCATTCAAAAATATGTACCACTTTTCTCTGGGAGAGGACAATCCCTTCTCACCTATAGGTATCTCAGGGCTTAGTCATGTGACTCACCTTTTCCCAATGAGGTGTGAGTGGAAGAGACACTTGTCACTTCTAGGTGGAAGCTTTCAGAGCTGTCACTTTGTTTACATACTCTTTCTTCTCCAACCCCTGAGCTCTTAGACGCATGTGTCAATGATGAGATAGCCATCAGTTCAGATCCTTTTTTGACTACAAAGAACAGAATACCACTGTTTACCTGTAATGGGCATGTAATGTGGGAAGGAAACTTTTTTTTTTATCATTAAGTTGGTTGTTTTTTTGGATTGTGTAGTGCTGGAGCAGAACAATTTGTACCAAAGAAGGAATATAATCATAACAATAACTCTAAACTATGTGACATTGACTTTAGGATGGACAGCGAGCAGTAAGAAAACTCTTAACATTTGTAAGGATGATGATCCATATTAGGTTGCAGTGAAACACTTAGGAAAACTGCCATCAATGGTAAGTTGGAAGACAAATCAGTTTCTAATAAGAGCATAGGTTTAGGCAAATAAATGGGAAGAGAGACTTTGGTAACATGGTTTGGTTGCTAAAGGTTACATTTGACAAAGGTCAATGAAAAAGAGATGAGATCAGAAAAAAAATTGTTCAATTTACAAGCAGGAAGAAAAGGAATGGAAAATTCCTAATTCAATGACTTGAAGGGTTGAGAAATATAAGCGACTCTCAGTCTCCAAGCATTCAGACTCAGATTGATGAAAATTCAGTCTTGAGGCAAGGAACAAATCAAGAAGGTCATTATCCTCTTTGTTAAACTACCAACATTTTGCTGAATTACTTTAATTAGACATAATGTTTCAGGTATAAAGAGAATTGGCTTGGCTCTTCCATGAAACTGATAGGCTCAAAATACCAGCAATTAACTCTACTGAAAGAAAAATGCATGTCTGAAAAATAATTTTGGATGTGACTACTGAAACAAAGTAGATTTGAAAGAGTTGTATTTTTGAAGATCCACCAGTGTGGTCTAAAAGCTACTGACCTTTCAGGACTTAAGGCTTGGGCCCCCAACCTTCTCTAGGGAGAGAGCATGCTGGGAAACCTGTGCAGCCCTAAAGACAGATATTTCCTATTGACCTCCTCATATGTGGTCAATATGGTAATTAAAAAGAAGAAACAATTTGAACAATGGCTCAAGAAGTAGAACAGAAACTTAAAAAGCAATGTCTGTCAGTGGGATTTCAGAGTGTTCATTGAAATTATACAGTCCTTCTATCATTGTGTTTTGCTTGTAGGGAAGAAAGTAGTTTTTGTTTGTTTTGTTTTTGCTTTTTGTTTCGTTGGGTTTGTTTTTGGTCAGTATATAGATGTCCAAAGCCAAAACAGCTGCAGCCAGACCTGCCTGTGAAATAGTCATAAGCTCCTGGACTTTGAGCCTGATACCAGGAGTAGGCTTTGGATGGTTCCTTTTGGGGAAGGAGTGAAAGTATTTGCAAGTGGAAAGTAAAAAGTGAATGTTGATAGCTGTCTGCTGTCCCTCATGCATGGAGGGCGCTTCCTTCTTCATTGATGAAGGGCATGGCTGGGAAAACGGGCAATGCCTTGGCTGAGAAGTGCACAGAAATCACTTGAAGAATCAATGTGGTGATTCACTCTTTATCAGATACATGGTTTGCAATTGTTTTCTTCCATTCCCTAGGTTGCGTTTGCAACCTGATTATTTCCTTTGCTGTGCAGAACCTTTTTAGTTGACGTAGTCCCACTTGTCTATTTTTCCTTTGGTTGCCTGTGCTTTTGGTGTCATATCCAGGAAATCACTGCCAAAATCGATGTCATGGAGTTTTTCTCCTATATTTTCTTCTAGAAATTTTACAGTTTCAGGTTTTAAACATTTGTCTTTAATCCATTTTGAGTTTTTTTGTGTGTGTATGGTGTAAGATATGGATCCCACTTTATTCTTTTACATGTGGATATTTTTCTAACTCCATTTCTTAAAGAGACTGTAATTCCCTCATTGTGTGCTCTTGGTACCCAGGGTTAAGGCAAATCCAGAGCAAAGACATGAAAATTCAAAATTTGAAATAGCTTTAAAAATGGGCAAAGTACCTGAATAGAGATTTCTCAAAAGAAGACATACAAATAGGTAACAGGTACCTGAAAAGGTACTCAGCATCACTAATTATCAAGGAAATGCAAATTTAAAGCACAAGGAGATACCACCTCATACCTGTTAGAATGGCTATTATCGAAAAAAGCAAAATATAACAAGTTTTGGCAAAGAGGTAGAGAAAGGGGAACCCTTATGCACTGTTGATAGGAGTGTATAATGGTACAGCCACTATGGAAAACAGTTTGGAGATTTTAAAAAAAATTAAAACTGAATGACCATATGATCCAGCAATTCTACCTCTGTGTATATACCCAAAAGAAATCAGGATCTCAAAGAGATCTCTATATTCCCATGTTTATTGCAGGATTATTTACAATAGCCAAGATATGCAATAAACTCAAGTGTTCGTGAACAGATGAATGGATAAGAAATTTTCTATATGCATACTATCAAATATAATTCAGCTTTAAAAAAGAAGTAAATCCTGCCACCTGTGACAACACTGGATGATCCTGAAGGACATTGTGCTAAGTGAAATAAGCCAGGCACAGAAGGACAAATACTGCATGATTCCACTTATATGAAGTACCTAAAATAATCAAACTCAGAGAATCAGAGAAAATACAGTGGTTACCAGGGACCAGGGGGGAACAGAAATGGGGGATTGCTGTTTAATTGGCATGAAGTTACAGCTTTGCATGCACGTTGAGCACTAGCGGTCTGCTGTACAGTGTAGTGCCCATAGTCAACAGTGCTGTGTTATGCACTTGCAAATGTGTTAAGAAGGTAGATCTCATGTTAAGTGTTTTAAACACACACACACACACACAAACACACACACACACACACGGAGGGACCCAAGGAAGCTTTGCGGGATGGTAGTTATGACTATTACCTTGACTGTGGCGGTAGATTCACAGGTATATGTATGTGTCCAAGCTCATCAAATTGTATACATTAAATAGGTGCAATTTTTGTATGTCAATTATACCTCATAAAGCTTTTTTTAAAAAATTCAATTAAAGAAAGAAAGAAAAAAAAGAAAAAGCAAATGAATTAGTGTGTGGTGAGCTATGCTCTTTTTGTATCTTAGCTCTTGTAATTACAGAAGCATGCATTGAGACAGCACATGCAGGAACCTGGATTCCTGAGCGACTAAGAGTGACCCTTTGCTGACCAGCAACACATATGGGGTGGGGTGGGGTAAATGAGAAATAACTTTGCTACTCTCCAGCCAGGTCAGTTAGCTTCCGTTTGTCGGGTTCGCCTGTAGGCCCCATCCTATTCTAACTGATCCACCCTATTACCACTCACAGCATCCTACACATTCTCTCTCACCAGTAAGTATATCATTAGTTTTGTAACTTTATACGTATTGGGGTGAAAAACAGTACTACTTCATCAGGTAAATATGCTTCATGAAGGATGCTTTCTTTTTTTTAGGAACTTGCACTGATCAGACACTTAAGAGACAGCAGGTGGGGCCCTAAGAGTGTGAGCTGGAGGTGCAAGAAGAGACGGAAAAAATGGGCCATTATAAACCAGAAGCTGGAACTAGGGGCTCATCAGGAGAGCACAGAGATGAGCAAAGCTCTTGAGTAATTTATCAGACCAAGCTGGAGATGCCAGAAAAGGAAGAGGACTGTTCCAACTACAGGGAGTTTAATGCTCAGCTCTAAGTCTCTTGGTTGTCTTTGTAATGGTAACCACCTCCTCTGCAGGGCAGCCTCCAAGGAGTTCTGTGAGAGGGCTGTTCTTCCAGAAAGTATCAGGCCTGGGCCGTATGTCCCTGCTTGCTTTCAGGGACATGTGAAAGAACAAGCCCCAACAGAAAAGTAAATAATAAGAACACACTTAGAAACCAAAGGTGATGAGAAGAGCTAAAATCCCCAGGACTTACAGAGATCTTGAGAACAAAGGGCTTTTCGTGGTTGATGAGATGGGCATTTGGACAGGACTTCTCTGGGTCTTAAGGGCATGGTGATCCCAGCTGGTATCTATCCGGCTTACGTTTATTTGATATATATATCCCCTCCACTATTCTGCAAGCTCCCGGGGTAGAGGGCCAGGTCTGACTTGTTCAGCGTGTTTGTTCCCATGCCTGCTACAATCCCAGGCATAAAAATACGTGATGAAAAGAAAGTTGAATAAATGAACAAATGAATGAATTATTTATGTATAAATCTATCTTCTTCACTTGATTGGGAGTTTCAGAAAGGCGAAAGCCACATCCCATGTCTCTCAGCCATCTTTCTAACTAGGGGAAGTGTCAGTGTTTGGGGATGTATCAGTCTGTTCTCACACTGCTGTAATGACACTGGGACTGGGTAATTTAAAAATAAAAGAGGTTTAATTGACTCACAGTTCCACATGACTACGGAGGCCTCAGAAAACTTACAATCATGGCAGAAGGCAAAGGGGAACCAAGGCACGTCTAACATGGAGGCAAAAGAGAGAGAGTGAAAGAGCGAGGAAGTGCCACCCTTAAAACCATCAGCTCTCGTGAGAACTCCCTCACTCCCATGAGAACAGCATGGGGGAACCACTTCCATAATCCAGTCATCTTCCACCAGGCCCCTCCCTCAACATTTGTCTGGTGGACTTCCTTGTGTCCTCAGAACTCAATGTCTTTGCTTGGAAACATGGATTGCTATCTCTGAAATGGAAAACAAAACAAAACAACAACAACAAAAAGAAACAAAAACTCCAGTGAAATAGAAAATTATAGCTTTTGAGGTCAGATTGGGTTCAAATCCTAGCTTACCCCAATACAATCTCAGGAAAGTTCCTTAACTACTTCAAGGGATATCCCTTTAAAAGAAGGATAGTAATATCTGCACTGCAGTTTTGTTAGCACAATTAAATTAGACACTATGTTCAAAGCCCCCTGCAAAGTCTCTGATGCCTGGTAGATGTGCAATCCATTTTGGCATCTCGATAAGGGCCTAATGCCACATCCAGAAATGAGAAAATCTCATCCCCAATTCCACACAACTTTGGCATAGTAAGTCCTGGTATTTGCATGCCATTGTTTGAAAATGCATTCTTTTCACTGCCCCTGGGAGAACATTCCTAATATGTTTCTACTGCCATTTTGATTATTGCCTGGCAGAGGTAATTTAAGATTTCACAATTGTGATAGCATCCTTTACTCTGAGAAAATCATGGTTTCTCAAACAGACAGGCAGACAGAAAGGGGAAAATGGATTGTAAGAAACTCAGAGCATTTTTGAAACCTGGATTCCACAAATCAAAACAAAGAAAAATACCCTCTTTATGGAAACTTTATTTATTTGTCTGAGTTCTGGAATTGGAGAGATAACATGGGGAGAGAATGAGAATGGGATGATATTACCATTCTATAATGTCCTTTGGAGTTCACAGCTGGTTTTAAAAAAAATACCTTTATGATATTTAGATTAAAATTTAATTACACATTAGATCTAAGACCAAGCATGATGGCTTCATTTCCATCCTGGACTAGGACAGAGCTGAAACATTTAGCCACAGGTAGGTAACTGGGATTGTTGCAAACGATCATGAATCCCACAGAAACTTAATACCATGAGAAAGTTTGCAGTGTGATGCTGTGAAAATATTAAAGGCCTAGAATCCCGGCTCAGTGGCCTGTTCCCAGGGGAAGTCTAGTTGTGGGTCTGATATCACCAATCACAGGCTGCAAAACTTTTTCTGTCTTTGGGATCTGGAAACCTAATCAAAATTAAGGTGATACCATGCAGGCTGTGGGATACCACAGAGAGCCAAGGGATTGGCTGCAGCCTAAAACAGGAAAGACACTTCGCAGACACAGGTGGGAGGCCATTACTCATGACATCTGAGCTAGGAGCCAGAAGTGGTGGGTTCTTCAGAAACACAGTTATTTTCTCGTGGCTGTTAGCATAGTTCCGAGATGAGGCTGTCTGCTAATTAGAGAAGTTAATAGGAAACCTGCCCCTCATTCCTTGTCAGATCCCCCAAAGTTTAGAAAGTGAGGCCCTTCAGGCAACGGGCTTCACTATCTGGTGCGGTTTGCTATACTTCTTGGCCTGACTCAGAGATATGGGTAAATGGAGGTTGGTTTAAAAAAAATGCATTTGGATTTAAGAAGACATCTTTGGTGTTCATATGGCATATTTTCTTTTGTTTAATCAGCAACCTGATTATAATCCTGCCCCCACTGAAAGCTTTAATTGGCTCTCCATTGTCTGTAAGATGGTGCCAACCTCCTTTCAGCTGATATATTCAAGCTCCTCCATGGGCTGGCCTCTGGCACCCCAGCCTCATTTTTCTCTGTGCTTTCTCTCAGATTCTCCATACATGACACGTGAAAGTGCTTGCATTTCTTGGGTCAAGGTGCTTCTGCACAGACCCATATGTTTTCATTTGCAAAGATGCAAACTTCTGCTCATCATTCAAAACTTAACTGAGGAATCTCCCTCTCTGTGCTGCCTTCCCTAACTTTTGCACAGAGTCAATTTTCCCACTTATGTAGTGAAACTGTACCTGGTACATACCTCTAGAACAGCCCTTTGCATTGTATCATGGTCTATACGTTACCTTCTTTCATGGCCTGTGGTTTATCTGAGGAGAAGGAATCAGTCCAGCTAATGATGAAATGATGAATACCATGATTGGGGCACTTAGGAATGCTGGTCTAGGGGCCTCCATCTCACTGTGACACAGCAGAAACTCTAATGGCTGCTGCAGGCACAGCTGTGGGATGTTGTCCTTTGCAGCCAGGTACTCAGGTCCCAGGAGGATGGAACCACACAGTGCTGCAGCCCCTTTGCACCTGCCCTTTGTGCCCTGTGCTTTCGGCAGAGGCATATATTGACAATTTCTGGAGAAGAGTTTTCAATGGCTTCTTCAGACACTGGGTGAAAGGTTGTCAATTTACAGCCAGGACAGCCCCAAGTGTTAGAAATTAACAGACTCAGCAGTCACTGGACGCAGTGGTTTTCATGGTGACTGCCTTGTCCTGGCAAAGGTTATTGAAGCAAGACTGAAGAGGCATAAATATTCCAGAAATAAGGTCCTGACTGCAGGGGCCGTTCCTGCAATACTGTCTATGATCCTGTTTTCCAGGCACTTCTTTCCATGCTATGCTTGCATCATCAGTGCCCTTGATGAAGAAGGGCGGGAGCTTTGACGTGGTGGAGACTTGCCAGAGAGACTCCTTTAGGGCTGCTCTGGCCCCTGCTAGACACCAGGGTTGGTGTGAAGAACACACAGAAGGTGGGGCCTGCCCTACTGTCCTTGCGACTGGTGAAAGATGTCTTCATTTCTGTGGCTGAGAGAGGTGTTGACTGGAGATGCAGTCAGGGTCTGCGCTGTGACTGGGGAGGGTACCAGGGAGGAGACTGCTTCCCTGGGGAAGGCCTGGATCTGGCATTGTTATCGCTAATCAATTCAGAACTGGTTAATTTTGTGCCTTGGCACTGTTGGATAAATTCATTTATTGAAAAAGAAACCTGGGAAAAAAAAGTTTGTCTAATTGAGATAGAAATTTACCATCAAGTGAAGTATTAGTTTGGTGCAAAAGTAATTGTGGTTTTTGCAATTACTTTTAATATGTTTAATCCTTAACGAGGCTGGAATTTCACACAGAACAAGAAGAAAAGAAGAAAATGGCAATAGCAAAAGAACCAAGAAATAGACATCTAAGGCTAACTGACCCTGCTTACCATTAAATCCTTATTCTAGGTTTCCAAATACTGTGGACATATTGTACAGCAGCATGATTTCAAAAGCCACTATTTCGTTTCTCCATTAATCTGGATAGAGACCATAAAATCAGGTGGTCAAGGGAAGACTGAGACAGGCATGGCCTAGGATGAGCCACAGCCTGGGAGGGTTAATGTAACAATCTGACAAAATGCTGTTTCCTTCCATCTGGGTGCAAAGAAGTTCGTCCTCACAGATAGGAAAATCAGTCCCTCTGCATCTTCATGGAGAGTCCAGGAATAGGTTTTTCCTTAGCTCCCCTAGACCATTGTTTTTTGTTTGTTTGTTTGTTTGTTTGTTTTTTGAGACTGTCCTTGGACGGAGGCTTGTGACCTGTGAAAGATGTCTTCATTTCTGTGACCGAGAGAGGTGTTGACTGGAGATGCAGTCAGGGTCTGCACTGTGACTGGGGAGGGTACCAGGGAGGAGACTGCTTCCTTGGGGAAGGCCTGGATCTCGGCACTCTTAGGTAACTGTGACAGAATCTCACTCTCATTGTCCAGTCTGGAGTGCAGTGGCATGATCACACCTCACTACAGCCTCAACATCAGCTCAAGCGATCCGCCCACCTCAGCCTCCCGAATAGCTGGGACTACAAGTGTGCACCACCACGCCCAGCTAATTTTTTGTATTTTTAGTAGAGAAGTGGTCTCTCTATCCCCCTGACCATTTCTAAATAGAAGCTAGATTGCTTTTCTTTTCTCCTTCAAATATGTTTGGTGGGCCATATGAATAGAATTACTCACAGTGGCCTCAGCAGCCCTCACTCACTCACTGTCATCGAGTCCTTTGTGTTGACTCTAGTTCTTCCCCTTTCAGAGCTTGACATAAATGGAAGCTCTTTGCAGCCTGACTTGCAGGCATCATCTCCACCTGCCCCCTGCAGAAGGGGTTGCCAGGATTGCTCCTCAATCAGTTTTTGCAGAATTGCCTTAACGTTTTTCAGATACTTTGTTTCAGGCACAAGACATACATGAACATGCATCTCCTTACTTAATTCTTATTGAATCAGAGGTATAGAAATGCAGCTGAGCTCATGAGCTGATTTATAGGTGAGCAGAGAAGCATACCCAGGTTTCTGACTCTGAAGTCCATTCTCCTTAAATACTGCGCTTCCTTATTCTCTTTCTTCTGCTCCTGCTCCTTAAACTTCAGCTCTTCCATATGACAGCCACTGAGGCAGGGCCAGCCCATGCCCCTACCGCATAATATTTCTTAGCAAATACATAGCCCCAAACTCAAACACAGTCAAACAACACTTTCATTAGTAGATAATATCTGGCAAATTTCACTCTTACCTCCTTAACACCATGCTGTTATTCTTAATGTATCAATTTAATCAGTTTTACTAACTTTTGACTAAGAAGTCTGCTTTATCTTTGCTAATATTAAAGCAATGCTTACTCAAAATCAACAAAAAATATTGAAAATGCAGAAAAGAAGGAAAAAAGTCGCCCTCTGGAAGCCAATCCAAAGATAACGACTGTTGTACATAAATTGCCTGTTTTGCAGTCATGGCAGGCACAGATCTTTCTGTGTCAAGGTGGCCCATGGGCTGTAGGGGCTCTAGACCACCCAAGCCAGTCACCATCCACTGAGGACACTGTTTCTCTCCCGCTTTAGTCTCCTTAAAAAATTAAGTGTGTACTATATGACACATAATTTAAAAGCCCACTTGTAGATTACAAATTCCTTATCATCAAAACATCTGAAATAGATTTGCCTCCTGTGGAGTCCTCAGGAAATGCTGTCCCCATTACCCCATGTCAAGGACTGGGGTCTCCCCCCAGCCTGGACTGGATGTGAGTGTTCGTTTGGAAGATCTCTGAGAATCAGCAAACCAAACAATTTTTTTAAATGCCTACTCTTTGCCAAGTGTATTGACAAGGGATCTTAAGCTTTATGAGAAGAAGGATTGGGTCTCTCTTATTCAGTGTTGTTTCCCTAAGGCCTAGGACTGTTTCAAATACACTATGGTCTTTAAAAAGTACAATAATTTGGCCAGGCGCGGTGGCTCACACCTGTAATCCCAGCACTTTGAGAGGCCAAGGTGGGTGGATCACGAGGTCAGGAGTTCGAGACCAGCCTGGCCAACCATGGTGAAACCCTGTCTCCACTGAAAATACAAAAATTAGCTGGGTGTGGTGGTGTGTGCCTGTAATCCCAGCTACTCGGGAGGCTGAGGCAGGAGAATTGTTTGAACCCAGGAGGTGGAGGTTGCAGTGAGCCGAGATCACGCCACTGCACTCCAGCCTGGGTGACAGAGCAAGACTCCATCTCAAAAAATAAATTAATTAAAAAAAAAAGTACAAAAATCCATTGCATCTTGACAACAACAAATCCATAAGAGAAGCATTTCTAAAGGCATTAAAGGATCGGAAATCGAAGGCCTGTAAGAGTTCAGCAAGCTGCACAAGGTTACACAGTGTATGGCACAGCTGCCATTGAAAGTCTGTTTGATTTCAAAGCCCATCTTTTTTTGCACAATGCCATTCTGCTTTTTTCCCTGTCAGTGCCTTTAATATACTGGTAAATGGTTTCACGTACTCTGATTTCAGTCGTAGCAAAGAAAAAAGTATCATCAAAAAGGCCTTATTCCAGTCGCCATTGATTCATCCCTTTCTCAATTTGAGTCCAATTTTCCTTACATGCTGGATTTCCTGACCAAGCATTTTGTGTAGATAATAGTTTTTTTTTTTTTTTTCTGGAATGTTCTAAATGGTATTTTTTATATTAAAAAAATAAAATATATAGTAGTTTCTGATTCCTCCATCTTTATCAAGTACTCTGTGCTTATCTTGTCTCTTACAGCCATTAAGCCACGTTAAGGGGTTTGAACTTGATCCTAAGAGTAATGAAGGATTCCTAGGCAAATGTTAATGGATGAGTGACCTTATCACATTTGCTTTTAAAACTATCTATTCATCAGAAAGATGGAGAATGGATTGGAGAGAGGCAAGCCTGGAGTCAGGGAAACCAGTGAAAAGAATATTGTGTGACTCCATGTGAAAGACTAGGTGTTTTAGGTAAGGAATCTGCTCTTTCCAAAAAGAAGTCTGACACTTGTCCTCAGGTCCTGGGAAGGAATCTCTAGGCTCTGGGAATATTGTGCCCAATAGGAGTGTTTCCGTTTGTTCGGGGGCCTTGGCTCACACCTGGAGGGTCTAACAATGTGATTTCAGGTGGGGGCTTTGGGTCATGAAGTCATCCCTCAAGGGACTAGAGACTGAGATCAATGAAAGGAGAGGCCAATTAGCTTCATGTGATTGAGTACAGTGAACACGCTGGACACCAAAGCTCAGGGGAGCTTCCCTGGATGGCAATGCTCTCTGCATGCTATCACACGTCTTACCTGAGAACTAAGGCTGCCCACCATCCACTGGAGGGCATGCCAGCGGCTCCATGTGTGGAACCCTGCTGGACTGACCCATGCACTGCTTCCTGTGGCTGACTTTCATCTGTGTTCGTTAGCTGTACTCAACTGTAACTAAAGGTATAACCACTTTCAGCGAGTTCTGTGAGTACTTGCAGTGAAGTACCAAAATGAAGAGTGGTCTTGGGAACTCCCAAACATGCAACTGGTGTTGAAGGTAGGGAAGCCTTAAGGGACTGTTCCTTAATTTTGCAGTTGGTGTCAGAGGTGAGGGCAGACTTGGGACTGTTCTCGCAAATTCCACAGGGGTCCAGATCAAAGGAGCGGAAGTGGGAATGGAGAGGAGCAGGGGACCCCAAGAGATACTGGTATTCAGAAGCTGCTACGGCAAGGTTGGTGGATGACTGGATAGGTAAAGGGGAGGCGGAGGAAGATTCCTCAAAAACATCATTTAGATTTCTGACTCGGCCACTAGTTGAGTGGTTTATGATACCCACTCAACTTGATTTATTTCTTCTAAGACATTTTACTCTTAATGCTTAGAACAGTCTGGGACATTTTAGATAAAAAACAAATGTTGAATGAAGAATAGTCTGAGGCAGTGGAAAAGATCTAATTGATTAATAAGAACAGGAAATGATAGTTAATTGACAGGGGAACATTAGTTGGAAGACAAACATTAGTTGGAAGACAAACCCCCACTCTTAAAATCCATCTAGGAGAGCAGACTGTAGATTGAACGGATGTTTTGAATTAAAAGAATGTCACCGTCTTTGCTGATTTGCCACATTTATAAAAAGGGGGTAAGGCAATTTCTAAATAAATAAACTCAATCTTTTGAAAGGCTAATTCCATCAAGCTACGGTGGTGAATATTGTCCCACTTCAACTTTGTATTATTGCTGTTCAAACAGTAGACATCTCTCCCTGACTCTCCCAACACCTGGGACCCCCAAGAGATGTCCTGCACAAAGCTTACTGTTTACGAGATCTCTTTGTGTTATGTTCCATTTAGACTGCTGACCACTTTTTCATTCATTCCTCGATTAGCATCATGTTAAATTTGTGAAATTCTATTTCTATTTATCATATTGCTCTCAAAAGGCTAAGCCTGAATGCTGGTGTACATTTTCTTGCTAATGTACATTTTTCTCATTTCTGTGTTTCTTTATTTTTAGTAGATTTGGAATACACAAAAGTCCCCCTGATTAAGCTTTTAGAATCACCATTGTCTCATTAGTAGTGCATGTATACATGATTATTCCATTGAAAACAATCAGGAAACTGGATACAATGTCCTTCCAGCTGCTACCTGAGAGGTCTTAATATTCAGTGTGTAATTGAGAACGACAACCACCACAATAATAGTAATACATGGCTTGTATAATTTTCTACTTTTTAAGAAGATTAAATATAATAGCATATGCTAAAGTACTGAGTAAAGTAGACAGTTCTATGTAACTATTATCCATACTTGTTTTCATTAGCTGAACTCTTGATAAATGTCAAAAATCTACTTTTCGCTGACACTGTTAAAATCCAATTTTCAGAACATTTCACTTTACAAAATAACTTCACAACTTTGATCCTCCGTATTCATAACAGTGATCTTGCCAGGTGGTTGTTATTACCAATTCCAGAAAGATAAACGAAACTACAGACAGCCCAAGTGGTTTGCATCAGGTGGCATAGCTA
Organism: Homo sapiens; assembly: GCF_000001405.40. NCBI lineage: Eukaryota > Metazoa > Chordata > Mammalia > Primates > Hominidae > Homo > Homo sapiens. The sequence continues at coordinate 7,731,024 of NC_000002.12, read as the reverse complement.
GTGGATGTCAGAGCTGTCCATGAAGTTAGACCCATCCACCTTTACAACACATGCTACTCCCTGAAGCCACATTCTTTTACATACGGGAGACATTCCTGAAGCAGAGAAATAGCACTTAGTTCTTTTCTGAAATGCTTTGCCCTCCCTTGAAAGGAGGGGCATAGTCCAGTTGTCCAAGTAGCTAGAGAATTAAGTAGAAATGATACTTTTGTTCTTTTTAAACGTTTCTGGCTTAGTTTTGATGTACCAGATACTGAGTAACAATAATATTTTTTTTCCTAGAAATAATAACTGCAAACATCATAGCAAGGCACCAGCATTTCTGCATCTCATTTAATTAGAAATGGAGAGACTGAAAGTAAAACTGGTAAGTCATATATGCAAGAGAGACAGATCGTCCACGGCAGCGCTGCATGCTGAACCCAGGCAGCTGACTCCAGAGCTCTGTTGCTCAGCTTCGGCCTTTGGTAGTGTGACTCCAGCTTTTCTTGTTTCTCTTTGGTCCAGACCTGACCACAGGAAAATAAATCCATAGCCAGTTTGAGATGTTAGATCACAGTTACTTTTGCATTTTCCAAATGTATTGAGAATGCCTACAACATGTCATATAGCAGTAACATTGTTTTGGTTACACAGATACTTCAGGGAGAACAATGCAATTTCGCTAAGTTTTCCACTGAAAGCAGTCACCTCTGTGTGGAGAAAATTCAGGAATCCCAAACCCAGGAATGATGTCTTGGTGGAAAACTGAAATGTTTGGAACTGGAAATTCAGAGTGGAAATGCCCTCCTAAATGAAGAGAGGCTGCTGTTACAATGGCATTAATTATTTAAAAACAAGCAACAGAAAATAAAAATGTCTCAGGAAAATTGCATTCATACATGACAGAGGAATGGTGCTGCCTTCTCATATGAAGTAGTCAGCAAGGGTTTGCATGTCAGTGAGAGTTTGCATGCTGGGAATAAGGCCACCACTAGATCTCAGGTCAGCCGAATGCCACAGCCAGTTTTATGCATTGTTCACTCCCATCTGAACAAATGCTTAGGGAAGGGGTGGGACAAAACTGGGCTTTTCAAGCAGACTGCTTTGGTTTGGAATTCTGTCTCTAGCGCTTGCTAACTATGGACCTAGGGGAGTTCCTTAACTTTAGTAAACCTCAACTTTCTCATCCTTTTAATTGGGATTAAATAACAGCCATGCCGCATGTTACACAGACACTTCCCACAACGTTTTGCTGCTTCTGTTTCCATGCTAAGCCCGCTGCACTGAGAGCTACTTGAGAAAAGTATCCAGGGTGTTGTTTCCTCCCTATTTTCCTAGTGCTTAGTGCATGGTAGGCATTTAATACAAGGTTGATACACGGGAATCATCTATCTTCTGCTTGGGGGACACAAATTCTAAAGGTCGGGTTGAATTTAATGGTAGAAAGGGAAGACAGGAAAACAGTGGCAAATGTTTGGATCCATGCAAAGTTAGCACACTCATTTCTGGCTTTAATTTATTTAAATGGGCCCTGAAATCATAGATGCTTTTCCATCTAATTTAGAGATACTGAAGGACATTCATTGAGCGAACAGTAAAACTCGCCTTCAGTGGGTCCGTGACTGTTAATACCAATCCTATGTAGTTAATGTTGTATTCTCCAAAATTGTATTTTCCATAGAGTAATTATGAGTCAGGCAAAAAGAAAAACTGTAAATTAATCAGGGTTTACACAGTAAACAATGCACCTAAAAAGAGTCTTAATGAGCGAAGCATTGTCCAAAGCAGCCTGCTTTTAAATATACATTTCTGAGTAGATATGACTTATGATGACTGCTCCTTTCTTAATTTCATTCAATTTGTTGGATGGGTGATAGGAGCACGCATATGAATGTACTGATATATCTTATAGGGCTGTATTCCGGCAGTGCCCTGGATTCGTATAATGTGCCTTTTCCCAGAAACAGAAGCATCTTTTCCTCTGTCAGGTTCTTTACCAATGGGGGCTCGGCTGGAAGGGCTTCATCCTTGAGGACACTGCTGCTCTCCTTCCCTATGGAGGATCACACAGTGTCCACGCACACATGAGCCACTGCCGTTAACTTTGACGAGAACCGCGTGCGGTTTGGGGGTGATTTAGCCTTTAAACAATTCCACTCTGGGTCCCTAAGAGTTTAGCTCTGCTTCCCTGATGTGCAGTTTCCTGAATTCAGGCCAGGAGGGCATCACCCATTTCTCAGTCATACACCAAATCGGGCTAACCATTTGACTACATGGTACACTTTAATGAAGTTTTCCCAAGTGCAAAAGGAATGTGCAATGGCCGCCCTTTTCCAGGCACTTTCATACATGACATCCGTACATGCATGAATGCACTGCGCCGAGAATCTGTTGGTTCTTTTGCATGTGTTGTCTCCAGTCCTCACCAGGCCCTTATGCAGTGGCTACTGTCATTATTGTGAAGAGGGCAAGCCCCAGATTGACTATCTAGAGGCATATCGCACTGCTGCCGTTTCCTCTGTCTGTGCCTTTCGGCAAGTCAATCCTTCCAAGCCTCAGTTTCCTTATCTGTAAAATGGAAAGTCTACTTCTTAGGTTGTTATCGGGATTGCCACCCCTAACATATTGTTGGCCAAGTGGGAAAAGCTCAATAAACACTGTCATTAATCTCATTGTGAATTAGACTGGGTTCAAAAAGGTTAAAACCAACAATAATAATTGCATCCCTTTCCCTATAGCTTTCATGTCTCTCCTAGACAAAGAATAAAGTTTTGTAAGTTTTCAGTCTTAAGCATAGAACTCATTTCTCCCGAGACTTCATTTTCATGGTAGGGTAGTACAGATTGAATATCCCTTATCAAAAGTGCTTGGGGCCAGAAGTGTTTTGGATTTTGAATTCTGTCAGATTTTGAAATATTTGCATTATGCTTACCCATCGAGCATCCCAAATCCAAAAATTTGAAACTTGAAATGCTCCAATAAGCATTCTCTTTGAGTGTCATGTAACTGCTCAAAAAATTCTGGATTTATGAACACTTCAGATTTTGGATTTTGGGGTTGTAATGCTTAATCCATAGTAGATAAAGGCACTTTGTCAGCTCCATCAGAGCAAGCTTCCTCAGAAGCACTACCTGGTGATCACTCTCATTCCTTCCCAAAGTTTCATTTCTCTCTCTCTCTCTCTGTCTCTGGAGACAGTGTCTTGCTCTGTCCCCCAGGCTGGAGTGCAGTGGCATGATCACAACTCACTATAGCCTCAACTTCTTGGGCTCAAGTGATCCTTTCTCTTCAGTCTCCTGTGTAGCTGGGACTATGGATGTGCACCACCATGCCTGGCTAATTTTTTTAAATTTTTATTTTAGCAGAGATAGGGGGTCACTATGATGTCCAGGCTGGTCCTGAACTCCTGGCCTCAAGCAATTCTCCCACCTTGGCCTCCCAAAGTTCCTGGATTACAAGTGTGAGCCCACCGTGCCTGGCCTTAAAGTTCAATCTTAACATGGGCCCTGGCCCTGTTCTACTTCTAAAGATCTCTTTTGAATTCTCAACCCCACCTTTATCATGGGCTTCTGTTCTGTCCTTCAGAAAAGCCCGCCAGAACCAAAGATGGAAGTTACTGAAGATGGTGAAGCTAGGGAACCCCAATAAGAGCTCCCATCTTATTTCTCATTGCTTGCTTACAAGCACACTATTCTCTAGCTTCTGACCTATGAAAAGTGCTTGGCACACATTTGTGCAACAAAACTGACTGTGCTAGCTCCAGGTGCAAAACTGCCCAGCAACCACTAGACACAGTTCCTGCCCCACTGTGCTCACCCCACCTGAACTAACCAAATTATTCTGGCATAACCATGTTAGAAAAGGACTCTTGGGGACTGCTACGGGACAGCCAAGGTGGCTCAGGGGTGCTAGACAATGTGCATCTCAACATGCTTCACAAATGATTGCTTATGTTTAATAGTACATGCTCACGTGCATGCTATAATGGCTATCATTTTACACATCGTAGCTCACTCTGCACAAATAACTCTAAGAGATTTTTCCTCTTGTTTCAGAGACATAGAGAGATTAAGGAACATGCCCAAGTGCAATATGGTTAGGGAGTGGTGAAGCTAGGCTGCAAATCTGGCTCTTTTTGGCCCTGCACTTTAGGCTTTAATTCTGCCAAGCCAAAATGCCAACACAAACTGTCACACTCCATCTACCATCTTTTTTTTTTTTTTTTTTTCTGAGACAGAGTCTCGCTCTGTCCTCCAGGCTGGAGTGTGATCTTGGCTCAGTGTAACCTCTGCCTCCCGGGTTCAAGCAATTCTCCTGCCTCAGCCTCCCGAGTAGCTGGGATTACAGGTGCCCACCACCATGCCTGGCTAACTTTTATATTTTTAGTAGAGACAGGGTTTCACCATGTTGGTCAGGCTGGTCTCGAACTCCTGACCTCGGGTGATCCACCCACTTCGGCCTCCAAAGTGCTGGGATTACAGGCATCAGCCACTGTTCTTGGCCCCATTTATCACCTTAGCTCTGAGACCGGCCTCCAAGAGGGGTTCCCTGTGGAGTAAGATGTGCACATTCTACTTATTCTCTCTTCTAGGTCAAGTGAGAAAATGTACTTGAAATCACTTTGTAAGCTATAAGGTACTCTATAGAGAGTACCTTATATATATACATGTATAAATGTACACATATCTATACACATAAGTACAACTATATTGCTCACAATTCACAAGAAATGTGTGATTCATGTTAAATATTCAACATGTCGAATGTATTGGGGTTGTCTATCTTGATATAGATACTTGTTCACAAGCTATTAGTATGCCCTATTGACATTTCATACAAATAAACACAATACACACACACACACACACACACACCCATGTTGCTCTTCCCTCTTGGGAATGTTTGCTCAAGAGGCTGAGGCTGAAGTTGGCCTCCTGCTATGTCTGAGAGCAGCCCTTGCATAGGTGTGAGTGTGCACAGGAATTTATTTTCTAACCAAGGGAGAAATTGACAAAGTGAATAGAAAAACCACAAAAGCAGCTAAGTTAGATTTGGGTTCAAAAAAAGAATGCAGACAGAAAAGGAAGACTGTGAGGGGAGAGTTGATAGGTGGTTTAAGGAATGTCTGGCGAGAGGCAAGGAATAGAGTAAAGAAGAGAAAAAGTAATAAAAATAACTGCAACACTCACCTCTGAGAACAAATGACTGTAGTTGCTGCATGCTTAACGTCCCCATCTTATGAAGCACCACACATCAGCAGAAATGAGATACACAGCAGGGAGGTGTTAGAAATCTGGTTTTGCAGATGATTTTGTCAAATCACCTACAGCTTTGCTCAAACCAGTTCCAAAGGCTTTAACCACATGGTTTGCTTGTGTGCACCTATTTCCTGAGTTGCTCTAAATTGCATGACTTGGGGTGTAATGGCAATTCTTTGGGTTTTTGTGGCTCCATTTCTATGAGACACATGATTAGAAATCCTGTTTGCTTTTTGCTTGTCAAGCCTTAATCAGCTACCACGCTGGGCTTGTGTGAGGGCCCTGATAATCAGCCTGCTTTATGGAGAAGGCAGAGTGGAAACAGGACAGGAGACTTCCCATGGCACGGATACAGAAACGCAGCTTTCTTCGGGTTCTCCTTAAACTCGGAAAGTATCTCTTGTCTGAAAAATTTAAGTCACAATCTCTAATTAATTAGCTAACTAGCTCCCCCTCTTGAAACGTCTTTCAGATAAAAACTGCATAATGCTGCAAAGCAATGGCCTAAAATCAGACTAATCTACGTCTACGGCAGTCCTTAGGATCCATTGTGTCAGAAAAATACATAGAAATGTCTTAAAATCTGCCCAAACACAAAAACTGTAACTGTGCTATTACTTTCGTTGGGTTTATACCTTTCAAATCATCTTTTTTCCTTAAAGGTATTTTGACACAGCTTAAAAAAGAAAGGCACCAAAAGCCTTAGCCTGTACAGCGAGCTATAAAATTGCTGCGAGCTTAAACAGTCAAGGTAGGAAAAATGGCAAAAGTTATGTCCCCAACAAATAAGCTTGTGCTTTTGTCATAAATGAAGACTCTTAAAATGTGATGCCACCCCATGACTTATTTTGTATTATCTTATTTTTGTTTTGCTCCAGTCATTCTCTCCCTTTATCTTACATCAAAAACAAGAAAAGTTTTGCCTATGTCTACAACTTAAGTGAGGAACCTATTATGTGATTATGATATAAAATTCAGAGCCAGTGATAGGCCGTCGTGTGGTGTAAACATTTCAGAGGATAAGAATAATAGCAAAGAACTAAATTGAAATGTAATCCGTGCTGAGATACTGTAACAAAGTCTCGTAATCTCTTTAAGCCAGCTGTTCTCAACTTTGGCTGCCTATTTGAATCTTGCAGAGATCTTAAATCCTTCTTGATGCCTGGGTCTCACCCTCCAGGGATTCCGATTTCATTTGTCTAGGTTGTGACCTAGTGTCATGGGTTTTAACAGCTCCCCAGGTGATTCAAATATGTGGCCACGATTGAGAGCCCTCTTGTCAGCTGACTGTACTGTATACACGGATCTCTGACAGTAAAGGTCATCACCTGGTTCCCTGATTTGTTCTGGTCTTATTTGTGTGCCAATGGCTCTTTCTTGGACTTCAGAGTTTTATCTGCACAGATGATTCTGATACTGCTTCTGGGACTGCTGACCCAGTGTGGGCACTTGGTCATGACAGCTTTTTGACCCTATGCTGGTCTACAGGTGGCTAGGGCCCCTGTAACAAAGTATGAAGACTGGGTGGCTAAACAGTAGAAATGTATTGTCTCATAGTTCTGGAGGCTGGAAGCCCGAGATCGAAATGTCTGCGGAGTTGGTTCCCTCTGTGGCCTCTCTCTTGCTTGCAGGCAGTTCCTTTGCCCTGTTTCCCTACATGGTCTTCCCCCTGGCGTGTCTGTGTTCTAATCTCCTTTTATAAACACACAGGTGAGATTGGATTAGGCCCACCCATATGACCAAATTTTAATTCAGCAACCTCTTTGAAGGCCCTGTCTCCACAGGCACATTTTGAGATATTGGATGTTAGGGTTTCAACATATGAACGTGGGGGTACAGAATTCAGCCCTTAACAGCCAAGAGGATGTCTGCACTAGCAACATGCATGCCTTTGTCATAGCTCTGCTCCAACTATGAGTTGGGAAAATGTCAGAGATAATCGGAGTGCACAAACTATTCTCAACCATCTTCCTGGGCTTGCTTTATCAGTCAAAGTAGCAGCCACTGGGGTATCCATTCCCAGGCAAACTCTCCTGTATGGCTGAATCAGCCAGCAGGCTTAACCTGTGGAATGGCCTGGAAAACTCACCTTCCATCTCAAGGATTCTGTAAAATGTCTGGGTGCCCTTTTCCAGGGCTTCGGGAAGTGGGAAGCCCCAACCCCACCGCTCCCAGCAGGTGCAGCAGGAGCTCTTTTCCTCAGCTGCTGGTGTTTCAAGGTGGCTCAAACACCTGACCACCCAGCTGATCTCAGTGACACTGTGTGCCATCAGAGGCTACAGGTCTGTTGGAAAGAACATGTTGATTCCTCCTATTAGTAGGAGATTAGTTCTTACATTTGGTGGTTCAATCTCTGGACTTTTAGTTTCTTCTTGGTTTTCCCTAAGTTTGACTCTCAAAATCTCCTTGGTTTGGACTTATTCTTCCAGTTGGATACACTTCCACGTTCATTCCTGTAAAGGAAGATGTAGTTAGATTCATTTGCAAACAGAGCTTCTCTAACTCCTTCTGCACTCTCAGGTTCTTCACCCATTTCACCTTCACCCCTTGCCAAACTGGCTTAGCCTAGCTTAGCGCTTGGATTGTTTAGCATTGTATTGGGTTCCAGGTATTTCTGGAAGTGTCGATTGAGTCCTCTAATTAGTCAGTGCTTCAGAATGTCTATGATTTTTCAAGTCCTCTTTTTTGGCTTCACACTGTTAAAAATTACACTTAGTATCAAGGTTAAAATACAGATGATAGTAGTGCATTTTTTGAGTTCCCTGAGAGCATGTAGCATGTAGCTGTCAGTTTCCGGCATCTAGTGCATGCCATAGTCCTCGCTTCTAGGGGTCGCTTTCCAAAGTTTCAGTTACCCTTGGTTAACTGTGGTCTAAAATAGTCCATGGAAAATTTCAGAAATAAACAATTCAGAAATTTACATTGCTCGCTGTCCTGCGTCATGTGAGTGAAATCTCACCTGGGAAGTGAATCAGCCTCTGTCCAGCGGATCCACGCTATCCATGCTCCCCACTCATGACTCACTGAGCAGCAACCTCAGAGATCAGATCGACTATGGTGGTGCCACCATGCTTGTGTTCAGATCACCCTGATTTTACTGCATAATGGTCCTGGAGCGCAAGAGTAGTAATGCTGGCAACGTCGATGTACTAAACAGAAGCCATAGAGTGCTGCCTTTAAGTGAAAAGAGGAAAGTTCTCGGCTTCAGGAAAGAAAAAAAATTGTGTGCTGAGGCTGCTAAGATTCAGTCTTCTACTCAAGAAATTGTGAAGAAAAAAAGAAATTCATGCTAGTTTTGCTGTCACACCTCAAACTGCAAAAGTTACAGCTGCGGTGCGTGTTAAGTGCTTAGTTAAAATGAAAAAGGCTCTACATTTGTGGATAGAAGACATGAACCGAAACATGTTCCACTTGATGGCAATAGGGTCAGTACTGCCTGTGGTTTCAGCCACCTACAGGGTGTCTTAGAATGTATCCCCTGTAATTAAGGAAAGACTACTGTACTAATTAAAAACCCAGTGATTCGAATTGAGACAGACTTATTGAATTAAACCTATCATTTTCTGTCAAAACTGATAGGGACCCAAGACTATTTACACTTGGAGGTGGATAAAATCCAGAGAAGAGACGTGAGTGGTCTGAGGCCATACAGTGAGCTAAGGTCAGAGCCAGGATTAGCTCTATGTTGATTAATGTGTCCCATGCTTCCAACTCATGAGCATTTTGCCTTAGGAAGATGGCAAAACTGGATAGTATTTCATGGCCTTGAGTTTAGCATACTTCTATGTAGCACTTAATTTTTGAAAATAAAGAGTCGTATGGATGTTTGAATTTTTAAACACGCAGTCCTTCAGAGGAAACCATGCAGCTTGCAGACTGTGGGGAGAAGATGGTCTGTAATAAAAGAGCTGGCCTGAGCCTCCCGATGGCCAGCTCCTCTCAACTCGTAACAACCATCTGGATTGTCTGTGTGGAGACCAGATTGCCTGTTATGTCCACCAAATGAGTTGCCTTGCCCTAGAAAAACAAAATTCAAACATCTATCAAAGAAACCTGTCATCTCCCTGTCTTCCTCTGCAGAAATCAGCTTCCTTCTCACTTCCACTGGAGGCCCAGTAAGAGAGTTCATCTCTGCAAATCCGTAGGGTGACAGCTGCCAGGGGGGACTTCTGGACCAGAATCTGACGGGTAAGAGAAGACTCCCGATGAGAAAGTCAAAAGGAGGCGTTCAGCGTGGGTTTTCTCTGGCACTGTTGTCAGTAGTTTAAGAAAACAATCCCTACATATAGGTTGGGTAAAATCCTCTTTTCCTCGTCCCCTTTGCTGAATAGAAGGTGGAAATTTGGGACATTTTGTCTGCAGAGTTCTGTGCTCTGCAACTCCCTCTCTTTTGTTTCTCAGAATAAGGGAATCACTAAAAGGTTAAAACTCTCTCCCTAAAAAAAAAGAAAAAGAAAAAAGAAAAGAAAGAAAGAAAAAAAAGAAAAAGGAAAGTAGAGTTGGTTTGATTCGGCATTTAATTAGGGCTTTTTGTCTCCGTTTTACATTAGTGGGTCTTCTCCTGCTTAAGCACATGGTTGTTCTGATTTTCAAGTTTCTTCTTAAGTTGCTTTAATTTTGCTGTGAATTGTTTTGTGAGGCCAGCTCCAAGGAATGAGCAAATGCCTTCCTGGCATGGAGCTTTGCTATCAGCAGAAAAAACAACACAAATATTTTCCCAAGTAAAATGGCAGCCATTTAACAAATCAATTGTAGCAATTGTACATGACAGGCCTGAGAATTTTATACCTGTTCATAAAATATCTATTTCAAGAGCCCACAGCAGAATACATTTTGCAAACTGCTATACAAAGGAAACATCCACCAAATCATTTTATTTCTTGTAAATTTTTTTGTTAATTTTTAATTGTGATAGTACATATCACACTGATTGCCACACCAAGAGGGGGCATATAATAGAATAATCTGTTAAAAGAACATTCAAAAATCCCTATAGCCTACAGGATTTACCTTGAAATGTACTTTGCAGGTAGACTGTGGTGAAGGCATGCCGTTTTATTGAAACAGCAGAATATTTGTGGATAGTTCAGATACAATTTTCTCACGAGGCTCAAGAATCTAACTTACTTAATATAAAAAACCCTTATTATTCTGCTTTCTTACTCAAAGATTTCAGAGATATACTCAAGGTCTCTCTATGAAGAGAATAAAAGCTTATTTGCAAAAGAAATGTTAAGTTCCAAAACCTTGTTGATATGGTTTGGCTTTGTGTCCCCATCCAAATCCCATTTCAAATTGTAATCCCCAGGTATTGAGGGAGGGACCTGGTGGGAGGTGATTGGATCATAGAGGTGATTTCCCCATGCTATTCTCCTGACAGCAAGGGAGTTCTCATGAGATCTGGTTGTTTGATAAATGTCTGGGACTTACCCCTTCTCTCTCTCTTGCCTGCTGCCACATGAGACTTGCCTGAATCTCTTCCACCATGATCGTGAAGAAGGTGCCTTGCTTTCCCTTCACCTTCCATCATGATTGTAAGTTTCCTGAGGCCTCCCCAGCCATGTGGAACTGTGAGTCAATTAAACCTCTTTTCTTCATAAATTACCCAGTTTCAGACAGCACTTTATAGCAGTTTGAAAATGGACTAATATCCTTGCTTGCATATGAAGCATCATGCTAGACCAAGGGGCGTGGGGAGTAAAAACAGGAAGATGCTGACTGTTATTGAGGAAACACTAAGTACACGTGTGTACATCTATAATTATACACACATACACAGTAGCAGTCACAAGACCAGGACACACACACATATTTGTGTACATATATAACTATACACACATCCACAGTAGCAGTCACAATACTAGTGTTACCAGTGGAGAATGTCCAGGTTCTTGGTGTCTTGAACAAAGAATTGAACAAAATGCACAAACAAAGCAAGAAAAGAAGGAAGCAACAAAGGCAGAGGTTTGTTGAAAACAAAAGTACACTCCACAGGGTGGGAGTGGGTATGAGCATAGGGGCTCAACAGCCCTGTTATAGAATGTTCTGGGGTTTAAAAACCCTCTAGAGGTTTCCATTGGTTACTTGATAGAAATGAAGAGAATGAAGTCAAGTTACAAAGCCATTTACTTGGTGTACACCCTATGTAAATGCAGAGGATATTTCCTGTCATAGCTGAAGTGTTTCCATTTGATTTAGTTCTTGAAAGTCCTTAGGTTCCCTGCCTCCAGGTCTTGTTCTCCTGCCTCACTAGGCCATACACATATGTGCATAAATATGTAAATATACATATACATTTAATGAATTCAAGTTACACACAGTTACTCACAGGTTTGCTTGTGCTTTCACAAACTAACAAAGATTGCTCAGCTGGACTCAGTGCCTCACACCTGTAATCCCAGCACTTTTGGAGGTTGTGGTGAGAAGACCACTTGAGGCCAGGAGTTTGAGACCAGCCTGGGCAACATAGTGAGAACCCTGTCTCTACAGAAAATAAAAACAAAACAAAACAAAAGACTGCTCTATGTCTGCAATAACTTTTCCCATATGCACAAATCTTCCCCACTGCTTTTTGGTGAATTCCTTTTCTATCTTAAAATTGTTGGCCAAATAGCACTTCTTTTAGAAAGTCTTCCCAACTGTGCTCTTCCATCACCATCTGATTGACGGCTATTTCGTTTGCACTCCGTTAATTGCTGGAGCATTCCTTCTTGAAATTTTATTATGGCACGTCCATGATCACACTTGAGTTAAACCATGAAAGTACATCTCTGAGGAGTCTCATTTTATATCTCCCAATCCCTTCCCATCAGAAGCTAACAGGATGGGAAGAGACGTGCCTGCATCATCAAGGAGTTCAGGCAGCTGCAGAAGAAAAAGCAGGTCTAAAGAGGGCGGTGTCCCAACAGGTGCTGGCGAGGATGTGGAGAAATAGGAACATTTTACACTGTTGGTGGGACTGTAAACTAGTTCAACCATTGTGGAAGTCAGTGTGGCGATTCCTCGGGATCTAGAACTAGAAATACCATTTGACCCAGCCATCCCATTACTGGGTATATACCCAAAGGACTATAAATCATGCTGCTATGAAGACACATGCACACGTATGTTTATTTCGGCACTACTCACAATAGCAAAGACTTGTAACCAACCCAAATGTCCAACAATGATAGACTGGATTAAGAAAATGTGGCACATATACACCATGGAATACTATGTAGCCATAAAAAAGGATGAGTTCATGTCCTTTGTAGGGACATGGATGAAGCTGGAAACCATCATTCTCAGCAAACTATCGCAAGGACAAAAAACCAAATACCTTATGTTCTCACTCATAGGTGGGATTTGAACAATGAGAGCACTTGGACACAGGAAGGGGAACATCACACCCCGGGGCCTGTTGTGGGGTGGTGGGAGGGGGAGGGATAGCATTAGGAGATATACCTAATGTAAATGATGAGTTAATGGGTGCAGCACACCAACATGGCACATGTATATATATGTAACAAACCTGCAAGTTGTGCACAGGTACCCTAGAACTTAAAGTGTAATAAATATATATATATATAAAATAAAAAAATAAAAAAATAAAGACGGCGGTTTCCACTGGGCTAGAGTTGCACAGTCCTGGGAGATGAGATTGGGAAGTTGTATAAAGACAACTGGAAAATGTATTTGAATATAAAGCTAAGAATATCTTTTTTGGATGTAGTATAGTTTAGTTAATAAAAGCATAAATTTTAGAGCTAGATTGTGATAGACAATCCAAACTGACTTATTTACTAGTTGTGTAAACCTGGGGCAAATTTCTTAGCTCACTTTTCCCACCGTATAAATTATGGAGCTAAATTACCACCCACCTCCTAGGGCTGTTGTAAGGTTAAGATGAGTGAAACTGTGCAAAGCATTTAGTGCAGTGCCTGGAATTTGTAAATACTATGCAAGTATTTACCATTGTTATTATTATTACTGTAACATATTCTTTAGTTCTGAAGGAAATGGGAAGCAAATTAAAGTTTGGGGAACACAGAAATTAAAATTGACAAAACATACCCCAATGCATCGATCTATTTACTCTTTTCCTAGATCCTTAGGCTGTGGAAGGTTTAGATAGGTAAAATAGGGCAAGGTGCTGGATCCCTGTAGCCCAGCTCCACATTTGCTATAGAAAAGCACACACTATGTCCAAACTTGGGTCTGCCCATGATAGAAATAGTTTTGTTTTTTTTTTTATGAAAAGTAAATTGACCTGATACTAGTATTCAATTGGATTAATAATATACATATCAAATGGTATACTAGAATAGTTAGGAGTAAATCTTCCTAATATGGATTTAAAATGCAAAAACAAATAGATCACTTCGTATGTAGAAAGTCTAATGATACTGTTGACTATAGATTTTACTGCTTAAATGATGCTGATACATATTTAATAAATATATAAAAGAAAAAAGCCAGGCGCGGCGGCTCACACCTGCAATCCCAGCACTTTGGGAGGCAGAGGGGGCAGATCAAGAGGTCAGGAGTTCGAGGCCATCCTGGCCAACATGGTGAAACCCCGTCTCTACTAAAAATACAAAAATTAGCTAGGCATGGTGGTGCATGCCTGTAATCCCAGCTACTCGGGAGGCTGAGGCAGGAGAATCGCTTGAACCTGGGAGGTGGAGGTTGCAGTGGTAAGCTGAGATCGCGCTACCGTACTCCAGCCTGGCGACAGAGCAAGACTCTGTCCCCGCAAAAAAAGAGCGAAGCACTGGAGGAAGCCACAACTTACAGAGATTCAGCTTTTGAAGACCCCAGTTCTGTCTGGGAGGTTTGACACAGGGAAGGACAGAGGAAAGTTGAGCCATCCCAACTGATTTTCACTCCTGTGCAGGAGTTAGCTCTTTAATTTGGCACAACAGTGGAAACGTTACAATGGGAAAATTGTATTATCCCAATCAAGTGCCTAAAAATGCTGTCAATAACAGTGACTGACTTCTAGAAGGCCTGGTTATTGCTCCCCCTGCTCCCCATCAGTCCTTTGGGTTCACACTAGGCCATGTGATGTTTGTGCAGAAGAAATTCTTAACAGACTGGAGTATAAGTCAGGCCAAGCTGAACTGTTTGTTGAGCTCTGAGGCCTCTGCACTCCAGCCTGGGGACAGAACAAGACTCCGTCTCACAAAAACAAACAAACAAACAAACAAACCAACACTATCATATATAAAGAAAACACACACATATATAGGCGGAGGTTGCAGTGAGCTGAGATCACGCCACTACACTCCAGCCTGGGGACAGAGCAAGACTGTCTCAAAAAAAAAACCAAAAACAAAAATCCTGTCATATAGAAAGAAAATACACACATATATAGGCACTCATGTATGTGTCTGTGATACACACAGGCATACATATATAGGCACATACACAGGTGCCTATAAAGTCTGTTGAAATCTGAATAAGGCAATGTAATCAGTAGATTGCATGAAGGTCAATTTCCTGGTATTGATATGGTGCTCCTGTCATGTAAGATGCTTCCATTTGAGGAAGCTGGGAGAAGGTAATAGATTTCTCTGTACGATTTTAATAGATATTTCAAATTATTTAAAAATGTGTCATAATTATTCAAATAAAACCTAAAAAGTAGCATGCTGCTATAAATACCACAATCTAAAATTGTTTCTTCATATAAAAGACTGGAGAAAAGATGCCAAAATGAATGTGATTTTATTGTAATGCTGAGATTGTGGTCTTCTCCCCTTTTAAAATTGTATTTGCGTGCTTTATACTATCTTTTCCATAATATTTAAATACAATTTCAATTCAATTTAATTAATATTTAAAAGAAAATGTAGTTTAACAACATATTTCCTTTAGAAAAGAGTCCATTTTGAATAGTTTCTTCCCAAATATCAAGGAAAAATAAAAGATATTGTACAAATTCTTTCAAAATCTAATCCATGTTATCAACCTAACTCTTTAAGCATATTTTCTGTCATGACATATCAAATAATGACAGAAAACTGTGTTAAAATATCTAATAAATCATCATTTTAGATTTCAAGCATGTTCTTAAAATTCTAGGTACTGCTCATGAAAATGAAGCCATAGGCTTATCCTAAATAGGATTTAATTATTATGGTAACTGTCCTAGTTATTCCTTAGCTGTTTGTTTGCAGTTTGAGCAATCAAAATGAATATCAATAAGTCACCATCTTTTTAACTATTAATGGAATTATTTTATGTTTTTGTATTTTACCAGAGTAAAACTTTTTTTTTTTTTTTTTTTTGAGACAGAGTCTCGCCCTGTTGCCCAGGCTGAAGCGCAATGGCACAGTCTTGGCTCACTGCAATTTCCTCCTCCCGGGTTCAAACGATTCTCCTGCCTCAGCCTCCCTAGGAGCTGAGACTACAGGTGCACGCCACCACGCCCAGCTAATTTTTGTACTTTTTGGTAGAGACAGGGTTTCACCACGTTGGCCAGGATGGTCTCAATTTCTTGACCTCATGATCCACCCACCTTGGCTTTATCTGGCATTCTTAATAACTAAGATGTTCAGTATAAAAACTATATGATCACCTTATAGAAGAAAATCACACACAAAAAAATTTCAGCTATAATTTCAGTTTTCTAAAATAATGTCATCAATATCATAAGTTTCCATTCAACTAAAGACAGAATTTTATTTATTATCATTTTAAAAGTTGGGTCATTGGTTGATACCTACTTGTTGAATGACTGCTACCCTGGAAGATTGAACGTGCTTCATGGGGAGGCAATGTCTCTCTTTCTTGGCCACTGTATCCCCTCTCAATCAGATATTTTTAGCTGGCACTTTTTCTGGTGTTCCTATTTTATCTGATATTTTTAGTAGATATTTGTTGAATTAAATAGTTACCAAGTAAACATAAAATATAGACCCTCAAATTGTTATCATGGCAAAAATTCCAGATTTATCATTATTTACATGTAGGGTCAACAAGAAAAAACTCATCACCCTTTCAGGTGGAGATGAGGATTGAGGCAGAATAAATTTTTCAGCCTGAGGTTATGTAAACCCCACACTCTTCCTGGAATGCCTTGGCATCTCAGTGGTGCTCAGCCTAACGTGATTACATTGAGTTGAGACACCATCCAGGTACTTTTCAGAAGGACCAGAAACAGATTTTGTTTTGCGGCAGAGCTTAGACTTTTCCCTTCATTCATGTACTGCTTTGGCATTTAAAGAGAGCCTTGCAAGTATCAGAAACTTGATCTGCTGAAAGACATGGATGTTATGTTTTATTGGAAAAGAGATAGGAAAAACCATCATTAGAAGGATTCTTGCTAGGTAGAAGTAAACATGAGGAATCTCAGGAAGTCTTCTGAAATTCCTATGAATGCATTCATTGAGAAACATGTATGTATTAAGTGATGTGTACATGTCTAGTACTCTGCTGAGGTCTGGAAAGACAACAGGCAAGAGGACAAGCATATGGAGACTGCAATAGGGTGAAAGGACAGGTAACTGGGTGAATGTCTTTTTGCAATTTTTTAGCAACGCTAGAGTAGAATGAGTGCAGGATGCTATGGATGGATCATAGTGAAGGGTAGATCCACACTGAGCTGTGTGATTAAGGTTTCATGGAGAAACGATGACTACCCCTAGCTCAGATTGGAGTAAGGAAAGCAGATGAAAACAAATCACAAGGCACAAAGGAGTAGGTGAGAAGGCTGCTGGGCAGGACAGAGGAGGAGCAGACCCAAACTACAGGAGGAATTCTCAAGTGGGTGATGACACAGCAGAGTGTGGAAAGATACCTTGGGGTGAGGGCAGGGGGAGGAGGAGCAGATATTAAGGAAACCATCAAGGCAACAGGACATTTTCACAGATTTATTTATTCTCAGGGATCCTGAGTCTATTCCCTTTTAAGCAAGAGTATTCTCTACATCTTGGAAGCATCCACACTTGACTTGAAGGCAAGAGATGTAACATAAGGGCATGGAGATTCTGGCACGGCATGCACCCAAGTATTATTTTCTCGTTCTTCAATC
Source organism: Homo sapiens (assembly GCF_000001405.40). NCBI lineage: Eukaryota > Metazoa > Chordata > Mammalia > Primates > Hominidae > Homo > Homo sapiens. The sequence goes on along the minus strand of NC_000002.12, from coordinate 7,713,768 downwards.
ATTCATTTATCTCTTCATGTGCTTAGAGATGTTAAAAAGAAATAACTTAGACAAATTAAATTTAACAGAGTTTAATTGAGCAAAGAACAACTCATGAATGAGGCAGCCTCCCAAGCTAGAGTAGACTCAGGGTAGACTCAGAGAGACTCCAGTGTAGCCAAGTGGTGGAAGAAGATCTATGGACAGAAAAGGAAAGTGATGTACAGAAAATGGAAGTCAGATCAGAACAACTGGATTGTTTACAGCTTGGTGTTTGTCTTACTTGAACTGGTTTTAACAGTTGGCCACCTTTGATTGGCTAAAACTCAGTGATTAGCACAAGAGTAGGTTACAGTCTGTTTATACATCCAGCTAGGTTGCTGTTTACTAGGTATGGAGAACTTAAAAATTTAGGCTGAACATAAAATATATAAGGAGGCAGCTTTAGGTTAAACTTAATTCATAGAGGGCAGTCGCAGGTCCCTGCTAGTTAAAAGCAAGGGTGCTGGGGCTTAGGGAGAGACCCTAACACAGAGTCTTCCCTGGAAGCACCAGAAGTCTGGGTGGCAAGATGGAAATCTGCTATCCTGTGTGGTGTCTGGCCATGGTGGATGGAATGGCTTGCCAAATCAAGATGATGGAGACAATTTGCCAGGGGAGGAGGGCTCAGAGGCAGGGGTGACCGGAGAATGATGACAGCCTTGCTGACAGAGGGATTAACAGCAAGCAAAGAGGCCGTACGGAGGATTTCACTTACATTCACAATGGTCTCAGCAGACAGAGAGGGCAAGCCACATGCCTGAGGTTGGGTAGGGAGGTATTGGTAGAGCCAGGATTCAAGCACACTTTTTTGACTCCCATTCCAGTTGTGTGCCTGCCATGGCAGAGCCTTCTAGAGGGAACAGGAGAGGCACAATGGTGTGCTCCTGCCACATTCAGATGAACGAGTGATTCAAGGAAGAAGAAAGAGAATGAATTAGGGAAGAGCAGAGGATGAGTGGAGTCACACCTGTGACCTTGATGGTTTCCTGCATCCCTGTGTCCTGCTCTTTCCCCTACTCTGTGCTCCCTTCGTGCTCACAGGCTCTGCATGCCCTCACCTCTAGCTCAGGGTGGAGGACTGGATCCTGCTTCTGTTGCTGAGCCATCTTGAAGTTAAAAAGTTTAATAGGGCCAAGCATGGTGGCTTATGCCTGCAATCCCAACATTTTGGAAGGCCAAAGCTTGAGCCCAGGAAGTGGAGGTTGCAGTGATCCATTATTGTACCATGTCATGCCAGCTTAGGTGACAGAAAAAGACACTATCTACAAAAAAGAAAAAAACAGAAAAAATAAAAAATTTAATAGGTGCTCAGACCACCTAGAAATTCAAGGGTTTATAGGCTGTAAGCGGGGCTCTAGAGGCCACAGATGGGTCTAGAAGGTCAGGCCTTCACTTAATTATAGGGGGAAAGGTGCATTTTGATGTGAATTCATGAACTGTGACAGAATCAACCAGGCTGACTGCCCTGGGCACTGGAGTCTCTTACAACAAATCAAGAACATCACCAGGGCCTGAATTTTGGCTGCAGAAGACAAGACCATCCTGTTACGCTGAATTGGCCAGAGATGAAGAAAGGCAGTTTATAGTGGGGCTGAAGGAGAGAGAATCAGCAGACCCTTCCAAATGAAGATAAATAACACTTCACAGTACACATCTATGCCCTGTGACAGTATGCGTCAGGTGCATTCTGTGATAGGAAATGCATGGGCTGTGAAGTCCCACAGACCTTGATTTAAACGATGCTTCCCATACATACACAGATCTCTCCAAGTCTCAGTGCTCTCATCTCCGTAGGGGGCATGATGGCAGCTTCCTCACAGGAAATCCATTAGGATCAAGAGATCCATGCACATCAAGTGCCCAATAGATAGTGGGGGCTTGGTAGCCATCCTCCCTGTCCATTGCTGTTAGAGAACTGGGAGACTTTGCTTTTCTCCCTTTAGTTCATTTCTTAGTTAGCTCAGACTGTGGTAACGGAATACCCAGACTGCGTGGCTTAAATAACAAACATTAGTTTCTCACAGTTCTGGAGGCTGGGAAGTCCAAGATCAAGGTGATGGCACATTCAGGGTCTGGGGAGGACCCACTTCCTGGTTTGCAGGTGGAGGGTGGAGATCGCAGAGAGAGAGAAGCAAACTTTCTGTTGTCTCTCCTTATAAGGGCACTAATCCCAACACAAGAGCTCTATCTTCCTGATCTAATCACCTCCCAAAGGCCCCATCTCCTAATATCATCTCAGTGAGAGTTGGGAGTTCAACCTAGGCATTTTGGGGAAACACAAACATCAGATCATAACAGCTTCACCCTGCCAGTCATCATTCTGAAACTCAGTTCTCCTCCCAAGTGCTGTGGGAGTGCAGCATAGGGTGTGGATACATAGCTGGAAGGAAAAGGGCAGCCTGAGGGCAGGGGTTAGCAACCATGAGATATGCTCTGTTTATTCTCAGCAATGGGAGACAGACAGCCCAGTGTTGCAGCTCAGAAACTGATACCTCAAAATATAGCATTTTGACATGCTAAATTGAAGAAGCCTCAAGGTCTCTCTGACCCCACCCCCACCCAACTGTCTCTCCCAAAGAAGGTGATATTCCTTTATCTGTCTAGGATCCAGACCCACCAAGGAGAAGGATTGTTTTTTCTTCTCCTCCCTGTTATCTCATTATCTATTGCAAAGAAGACCAAGATGTAAGCACACCTGAGAAGACCCTTTACAAGCATAATCACTGTCTCCAAGGATCACTCATATTACAAAAATAACTATTTACAAATTGGGTGTGGTGGCTCACACCTGTAATCCTAGCACTTTGGGAGGGTGAGGCAGGTGGATCACTTGAGGTTAGGAGTTTGAGACCAACCTGGCCAATATGGTGAAACCCTGTCTCTACTAAAAATACAAAAAAATTAGCCAGGTGTGGTGGTGGGTGCCTGTAATCCCAGCTACTTGGGAGGCTGAGGCAGGAGAATAGCTTGAACCCAGGAGGCAGAGGTTACAGAGAGCTGAGATAGCACCATTGCACTCCAACTCCATCTCAAAAACAAAAAACAAAAAACAAAAAAAAAACAAAAAAAAACGCAACTATTTACAAGTTAATCTCTGCTTCTAGGATCCAATCATTCTCCTTAGCAACTGTGTATTGCCCTTCAATATAATTCAATTCTTCTTTTCCCACCTCCCTTAACTTGTTTTACCAGGATCCAAGCCCCCATTATTTTGTAACCCTAAGGTGGTGTATAAGCTTCTGGGTCTTCATTCTGAAGGCTCCTGTGTATACACATAGAATAAATGTGTATGCCTTTTCTCCTGTTAATCAATCTGCCTCATGTCAGTGATTTTTTAAGTGAACCCTTAGAGAACCAAGGGGCTGTGGCCCCCATATGAGATCTTTTGGGAAAGTTGCAGAGGTTGTGTTTTGTACAGAGGTCATTTGGAGAGAGAAGCTTGTGGCACAGATGCTACGAGGCAAGATAAGGAGACAGAGAAACGTCAAGGAGGAGGAGGAAGAGGAAGCAGCTGTTTTCCATGTGGGAGCCATGGGAGCTGCAGGCCTTTCCAGGCTGAGATATGTGGGTGTTCGGCTGGATTCCAGTGAGCGGAACTCACAGCTCTTCCACCCCTGCCCATCTCACCTACAGAGATGCTTCTGTCCCTACCAGCTGAGCTGAGTGACTCAACCCAAGCAGCTGAGTCAGGCCACAAAGAAAGCTGTCTCTACCATGGGGATACCATGAACTTTGGGGATGTTTCTACTTGAAGACGACTCTGTTGTTGGCTCTGTGGGAGCATGAACCTTAGCCTCCTGCTGAATGGCACATGTCTTATTCTGCTCAGGCTGCTAGAAGAAAATACTGTAGACAAGAGACATTTATTTTTCACAGTTCTGGAAGCTGGAAGTCCAAGAACAAGGTGCTGGCAGATTCTGTTCCTGGTGAGGGCTCTTTTCCTGGCTTGCAGGTGGCTGCCTTCTGACTGTTCTCATATGGCAGACAGGGAGAGAGAGAGAAAGTGCTCTGGTCTCTCTTCCTTTTCTTATAAGGATAAAAATCCCATCAAGAGAGCCCCACCCTCGTGATGTCATCTAACCCTAAGTACCTGCCAAAGGTCCCACCTCTAAACACCATCACACTGGGTGTTAGAGCTTCAACATATACATTTTGGAAGAGCCCAGATAGTCAGTCCATAACACTGCACCTTCATGTATGTCCTCTTACTGTGCGTATGATGGGGAAAAAGAGCCTGGGAGAGAAAGGCCAGTTTGCCTTGGCCTAAAATGCCTGTACGTTGAGTGGAGGACAGTGCTGTGTGGCCCATCATTTATGATTATTCTTTCAAGATATATAATATTTCAAACCTACTTGAGAGTGGCTCTTCCAGCTATCACTCTTTCTGGAACTCCTGTATTTTGATACAAGAAGGTGAATATTTAGAACTTTTAATAACCTTGTGGGTATGGGGTTGAAGCAGGGAGTAAACAAATCTCAGAGTGCTGATCTGGGGCTTTTCTTAGGTGAATCTGGTTTTCTGACAAACATAATTACATGCCTCAAATACCTCTTCTCTCCACAGCCAAATCTGTTTATTCTATATATAAAACCCTTATCCCATTAAATATTAGCTCAGTATTAATCTTCATTAAAATTAAACAGCAAGGAAGGAAGATTAAGGTCTATCAGTCACTTAACTTACTAGTGCACTACTCATTTTCCTCCTGCTGTTTAGCATAAGAAGGTGGGGCTAAGGGGAGGTTCCTAGGAAATATTTTTTCTTCTTTTTTTGAGACAGTCTCACTCTGTCACCCAGCCTGGAGTGCAGGGGCACGATCTTGGCTCACTGCAACCTCTGCCTCCCAGGTTCAAGCAATTCTCCTGCCTCAGCCTCCCAAGTAGCTGGGACTACAGGCAAGTTCCATCATGCCTGGCTAATTTTTGTATTTTTAGCAGAGACGAGGTTTCGCCATGTTGGCCAGGTTGGTCTCGAACTCCTGACCTCAGGTGATCCACCTGCCTGGGCTTCCCAAAGTGCTGGGCTTACAGGCATGAGCCACCACACCCACCCAGAAATTTTGATGAGGGAATTAATTGGATGCTGATGTTGTAGCCCACGACTTCTTGAGAAATGGGGCTTACTGAAATCACTATTAGTGGGCTATGGGGCCATGAAGAAAGGGCTAGTAGGGTAGATAGGAAGATACTCCATGCTCAGCAATATTTCAGGAAACTGGTTCTCACCCTCTCTCCCTTTCTTCTCCTGGGAGCTGTATGTCATTCTAGTACAGTTCAAGTCCATCATGGGTTCACCAGGGTTTAGTCGACATGTTAAGCATCATGTAGAATGTTGATGTTACTGAAAGAAAATGTGGCTTAGGTTCTCAGCAACCAAATTTCAATTTAATTTTTGTACAATAGTCAGTGTGGAAAGAAAGAGGGACTTCTTACTATACTTGCAAATGTGTAAAGCTGTGCTATTTTCAGAACAGCCTGGGATGTAAGGACCATATGTAACCCTCTGGTCATCTAATCCCAAACCCTTAATTAAAAAGGAGGAAAGGGGCCACCAGAGAAGATGAGTGTCTTGCTCTAAGCCAAGCTGCTGACTGAAGAATAGGGACCCCAGAGTTCAGCTGAGGGTCTTCTCTTCTGTCTGTGATGCCTCCCTCAATCTATCTCCCTTCCCATCTCTTCCTTCTGCCTCTAGTACTGCTCCTACCCAACCCCGCCCCCATCTCTAGATCTTCCCTATCTACACTTGTTTCTGATTCACGTGGAAATAGCTCTGGCTCTACTCATCTTTTGCCCTGGCTCTACTTATTTCTTGTTAGTTAAGACATCCTGACTTTAATGAAGGTAAAGAGCCTGCAGGGGTGGGCAGAGTGGAACTAAAATGCCAGTGGGATGAGTAGAGCATGATTCATTCTTAAGTCTGTCCTGGCTCAGGGAAACTTTGAGGAGAAGGAGAGTAGAGGGGCTTATAGACTCATTACTTAGAAAAGCATTATGATGAAGGATATGTATCTGTGATAGACCCACAGTGCACATAGGAATGATAGGAACTGACATTATGTTTTAGGAAAAGCAGATTTGTCCTTGACTGGAAATGGAAATGGTGATAGTAAGAAGCAATTCTCCATTCAGCTATGAATACAAATCTCTAATTTTAATACATTGAAAAGGTTTGCTTTTAGGAATTCAAAAAGTATATACTTTCCTAAGTAGTGGGTGCATGTTTAATTAAACACTACCTTGAATTCACTGGGCCTGCCATGCTTCTGGTGTTTCACACTTTGATGTCCGGATAGTAGGCGGTGGGAGCCCCAGGGCCACAGCTGAAATGGTAAAGGGAGACAGATGTCCAGGCTAGAGTCAGCAATCCTGGGTCTGAGACCTTTAAGCTATTAGAGCATGTCAATAGACTGATACTGAGAAAGCCAGACAGGTAAAGGGTGAAAATGAGGAGCAGCTGTAGTGTATTAAGAAAAGCACAGAATTACAGCCAAGCTGCCATGGGTTTGAATCTTAGCTTCATACCATACAAATTGTGTAAACTTGGCAAGGACTTGTCTTTTTTTTTTATTTGTAAGGAAAAGTTGGATGATAACTTCCTCCACAATAATATATTTGACATTCAAAACTAATATATGAGGAAAAACTTAGCACAATACCTGGCATGGAATAGGTGATTAATAATTGCTGAGCACATTTGAATATTAAATAAGTAGGCAAGTAGCAGAGGTCAAGATGCGAGGGGTGAAGAAGCCGAGATTTGTTGTGAGTCATGGTGATGTGTATGGACAGTCAAACCTCTGTGACCTGAACTATGGAAACAATCAAGACTATAAGGGAAAGAACAATAAAAAAAAATCTATCAAGCAATTATGTATAGCCTTTCTACATTCTCTTATATGCATTCTCATGGAAACACCAGAAATAAGAATTTTTGTCTCATTTTATAACAACTGTAATCAAGAAAATGAGGCTTCTAAGAGCTTTTCCGAAGACACACAGTTGGTCAGGTAGATAGTGAATGGAACCCAAGCCAATTTGATTCCAAAGCTCAGGATTATTCCATGCTGCTTAATGCTTCACTTAACCTAACCTCTAGGGCTCTGGTTCTGTACAAGATGGAGCAGGCTCACACCTTCTTCTCTCTCCCACTGAATGCAATTTAGAGAGAAATTGTAGCATTAATGCTTCCATTAGAAAAAAGCAAGGGCTCAGGCCGGGCGCGGTGGCTCACGGCTGTAATCCCAGCCCTTTGGGAGGCCGAGGTGGGCAGATCACCAGGTCAGGAGATCGAGACCATCCTGGCTAACACGATGAAACCTCGTCTCTACTAAAAATACAAAAAATTAGCCGGGCCTGATGGCGGGTGCCTGTAGTCCCAGCTACTCGGGAGGCTGAGGCAGGAGAATGGCGTGAACCCGGGAGGTGGAGCTTGCAGTGAGCTGAGATCGCGCCACTGCAGTCCAGCCAGGGAGACAGAGCGAGACTCCGTCTCAAAAAAAAAAAAAAAGGAAAGAAAAAAGCAAGGGCTCAAGTCAATCAAAGAAACCAGAAATGAAAGAGCAATATAAACACAAAGCAGGCCGAAGGGAGGAAATGAAAAGGAGCAGAAATCAATGAAATTAAAAAGAACAACAGAAACCCAGTAGAGAAAAATCAATAATACCCAAAACCTGTGGTTTGAAAAGGCCAATGGAATTGATAAACCTCTAGCAAGAATGACTAAGAAAAAAGGAAGAAAGATATAAATTGACCAATATGGGGAGTAATAGAGAAGATGGCAGCAGATTCACAGACATTTAATAGCAAATAAGGAAATTCCATTTATGATCATTAAGATCTTGGGAAAATTGCTTAACCTTAGTTCTTCACTCCATCCCCCAGGCTGAAGTGCTGTGGTGCCATCGGGGCTCACTGTAGCTTTGACCTCCTGGGGTCAAGCCATCTTCTTGCCTCAGCCCCCAAGTAGCAGATACTACAGGCACATGCAACCTGTAATTAAGAAATTAATTAAAAAATTAATCTTTAAATTTTTTTTTTTTAGAGTGGAAGTCTTGCTGTTTTTCCCAGGCTGATGAACTTTTAGGCTCAAAGGAAACTTCCACCTGGGTTCTTAATTTAACCATAATTCTTACATCAATAAAATTAGAATATATTACCATAAATCATCATGGAAGATTGTTGTAGGGATCAAAAACTATAACTAGATTGATAGATAGATAGATAGATAGATAGATAGATAGATAGATAGATACAACTGAATGAGATTCCTGGTATTTGAGAACGGTTCCACAAGGATAAGAAGGCATTTCCCTTCTTCCATGGAATCTTTTTGTTCTTGGAGTTTGGAATCACATACTGAGATTTTGCAATTTTAAGATTATATTCGTGTTTACTTCTTCCTCCACATTTCACAGATATCCTTTATTTTTTGTTGGTGGATAAATACCTGCAGGTTTTCACACCTGTTTCTTTTTCAGGAGAATGCAAATCTACAAAAAATAATCAGTTTCTTTACTGACAGGTGGATGTTTAGTAAAGTTTCATGGTAATTAAAACCATATTCTAAATATTTAAATAAGCAGCATAAAATACAAAAATAAGTTTATATTCATTAATTTCCTGCACATTACTCAAAAACATCAAATGTTTCTTTTAAAGCCTTTTGTTTGATTTGGGAATTTGTGAGCCTTCAAAGAGATGACATAGAAATTGATGAGATTATAGGATATCCATTTTCTATTAGAATTATAAAATCATACTTAAAAAATAGAAATGTTAGAATAATGTTAACCACTGGTAATGGATAGAGAAATATGATTTCTTAAAATTCATATAAATCTGGTAATTTTATTATTTTAACATTTATCTCAAACCAAACAATTTTTAAATGTAATTTATGTGGCCATTCTATTCCAGAGCAAATTGGGAGACAAACATGAGAGGAATATATGGAGTTGAAATAAATGGAAAGCTTATAGGGTAGTCACCATCACACAAAACAAATTTGTACTTTCAGAAAATGTACTCAGCATGCTGTCTTGTTATATAAATGACCCTGTGTTTGTTGCACAAGTTCTAGTATGCAAAAATGTGGAAAGTCCTCCCTCCCTGATTCAGGAGGCACAGTGAAGTACAGGCATTTTCTTTACTTGTACTTGTAATTTTCTTTTCATCTTCTTTCTCCTCTTTCTTCTGCAGACATATTCGAGTGGTTAGCAGTCTATTTTTGAGACGTAAGAAGTGAAGATCAGACGTCTTCTCCAGTAACTCACCTTTAGCCAATCAAAGCACAGAGTAATGTCGCTCTTCTTTCCTTTCCCCTTTAGCAATGCATACCATATGCCAGTTAAAACTGTCTTTTCTCCTTCTCTCTCTCTTTCCGATATTTCACTACAAACAGAATCTCTTCTGGATTATTATTACCAATCGGTTCCATTTATGGATGATGAAAAACAGAAAGATGTACTCAGAATAGACATGCGGCAAATCACACAGTCCAAATGCCCAGAGTGAGGACATCGTGCTGCAAAGCAGTAATTCTCCTCGACAGACTTGGCCATACCAATCTTGACATTGGGCAAATTAGCCAGGCCAGGAGTGAATAAAAAGAGGAGACAGGTGTGAAATCACCTTCCTGCCTCCCAGGATGAATATGTTGCACACTGAAGTGCGATGCACCTGCACTATTGTTTCTGGGGAAAAAATAGCTTTTAAGAGCAAATACTCTTGAGCCTAGATGGAGACAAGCTACTCCTGTGTAATTTGAGTATAAATGGGTCCTTTTTTCCTTTTATGATGGTTTATATTGTGTTAACTCTTTGAGGAAATGGCTTTAAAGCTCAATTTAAACATTTAGCTGCTGCTTGCTTTAAATAGAGAGGGGCCAGGAGGCCAGAGGGGGATGTAATTTCTGGAATGGCTGCTATTCTTTAGGAACGCCTGCATCAGGGGATCCCACATGCTGTGCAGCAGAACCCAGCCCTGTGGTCAGAGCTCTATCCTGATTTCTTTGTGACTAGAAGTTAGAGGTAGTTGGTTTGGTTCTGTGCTCACCGTCCTCCTGGCTGTTATGGCATGGCCTCCATCCACCCAAAACCAGATCACATGCCGCAACGGCTGAGTACTGACAGTAGTAAGGTGACCCTCCTCAAAATAGAATCATTAACAGCAATGACAGGAACTCACACACATCCCTGCTTTTTTTCTATGCTGATTACTTCAATGTCTTTTTAAAATAAAATTTTGTATAATTTTTTTTTCTGGTGGTCTTATTTGCTTATGCCATAAACACACAAGGTAAAGGAAACCAAAAATATTTCACCCCAAATACACTTCTTTGACACATTTTGAGATGACTTTTCAGTGGGCCTGCAAACAAGAACAGCCCTGCAAAGCTGCCTTTTGTGGAGGAGATTTGCATCTGATCTGCCTTGGTGAAATAAACAGCCAGGCTTTCTCCCTTGGTCTGGACCTAGGAAAAATTAACTCAACCACAGGCTGCTACCTGTGGTTCTGAGAGCAGCTACCTGTGAGGTTTCATTTGCATAACAAGACCACCTTTGCCCCAGGTGTTTCCTCTTCTCTTCCTGCCATGACTGGTCTTGTTCATTCCAAGACACTAGTCTTTCTGTAATCATTCTGCCCTTTCTTTGAGTTTCATATTTTTTTTTATAACTCCAGTGTTCATATGTGCACATAATATATTTGTATGCTTTTTTTTCTGTTACTCTATTATCAGTTTGTTTTATAGACTTAAATTATGAAAACTTCAGGGGAAAAATCTAAAGTTGTCTACAAAGCCTGGCACCCACTGGGTACTCTGGGGTGCCCCACACCTAGATCCCCACCTTGGCGCTGGCTGGAGCACCCTGCAGTGAGGCCCCAACCCTCTCACCATCCCTTGTTCTCTGCCAGTCCTGTCTCCTGGCCTCCCCCGTGCTCTGCCCTGCCCTGAGCTGAGGCAGGGAGGTGGGGATAGAGACGAAGCAGCTGCAAATTCATATTTATTAAGTCAAGCGAGTTCTTCAAAATGAATAATGATCTGCTAAAACAGTTTTGAAAATGGGCTTTCTTCTGACTTTTTTTTTTTTTTTTGCTAGATCATAGTTTCTGCCTGGGCCATGGTCCTGCCTCCCTCTGGTAAGTTCTTGATCTAGAGACTGGAATTTTGTTCCTGAAAACTCTCAGCTTTCTGAGGTCAGCAGAGGAGGGACACCTCTGCTGACCTCAGCTTCTAAGTGTGACCTTGCCATGTAGTTTGCTTTGATAGATTCCTTGGAATTCCACTGCCAACTCCTGGCCTAGAATTCCACTGCTCTAGCTGATGCCTTTGAACGCGTGTCTTGTCCATTAGAATGAACTCCTCCTTGGCTGGGAAAGCCACCCTAACACTTGCCAAGGTGAATGTAACAGAAAAACCAAACTCTGTAAAATATTTTAAAGAGGATTATTCTGAGCCAATACGAGTGACTGCAGCCTGGGGAAAACACAAACCCAAGAAGTTTTGAGTAAGTGGTCCCAAGGCAGTCAGATAACAATTTGGTTTTATACATTTCAGGAAGGCAGGAGCTACAGGCAAGGACAGAAATCAATGCCTGGAAGGTATACCTGGGTTTGGCAAAAATGGCAGAATATCTTGGAGAGTCAAAGTGCTTCCATGTTATAGGTTGATTCAGAGATTCTTTAATTTGCACTTGGTTAAAGAAGTGAGGCTCTATCTAAAACAGAGTCAGCAGAAAGGAATGCTATAAGTTAACCTAAGGATGTTATGTAGCAGGACTGATGGCCTGCAAGCGTGACTTAATCCTTGTCTGAAATAGCCTTAGGTTTTCTTTATAATTTGGTATTTTATTGCCACAAAGAATCTGTTTTGTCAGTTGTAGAGTCTCTATTTTAACATTGATGCTGGCCAGTGTGCCTGAACTCCAAAAGGGAGGGGGGATATAACAAGGCACATCTGACTTTTTCCCATCATGGCTGGGAATTCGGGTTTTTTTTAAGGTTTTTATGGAGTCCCCTTTACCAAGAGAGGGTCTGTTCAGTCAGTGAGGAGCTTAAAATTTTATTTTTAGTTTAAATGGACACACCCGGTACATGCTCAGAGCCGATACAGGAACCTATTCATGGTCAGGTACCACAGAGAAGATATAGGGTACCTGTTCACAGTCCACCCATATCTGCTCTGGAAACTAGGCCTAGCCTGGCAATGACTGAATAAGTAACAGATTGTTTGCTAAATACTTTACTTTGATGCTGTCTCATTTTCTGTAAATGCTATTACTGGGATAAATGAATTATAAATAAGGTCACAATGCTCTATTTGATAACATTCTCAAGCCAATCAACAAACATTCCCTGGATCTCCACCATGTGCTCGGCAGGGTGTTCAATCTTCAGGATGCACAAATGAAAAACAGGTCCTGTGTCCTAAGGACTTTAGAAACCAAAGCTGGGATGAAACATGCTCTACTTACAGGACACAAATACACAGCATGGCATGATGGTTTTTCTATGGCATCTTTTGGTGGCAACCTCACCTATTAGAAAAGTTTTTCTTTTTTCTCTTATATAAAATGAAGTGTTAGACTCCATGCTTTCCAAGATCTTTTATGTTTTAAAACTTTGTAATTCCAAGTGTCAATACAGTGATTTTTAAGGTGACCTAAGCATTTGGAGCAGCACTGTTCAATAGAACTTTCTATGATAATGGGAAAGTTCTGTATCTGTGCTATTCAGTATGGCAGCCTCTGGCCGCAGGTTATAGAGTATTGAAATGTGGCTAGTGGCCAAAGCAATCCTAAGCAAAAAGAACAAAGCTGAAGCATCACATTACCTGACCTCAAACTATACTATAAGGCTACAGTAACCAAAGCAGCATGGTTCTGATACAAAAACAGACACATGGCCCAGTGGAACAGAATAGAGAGCCCAGAAATAAAGCCATACAACTACAACCATCTGATCTTTGACAAAGTTGATGAAAACAAGCAATGGGAAAAGGAATCCCTATTCAATAAATGGTGCTGGGATAACTGGTTTGCTATATGCAGAAAAGTGAAATTGGACCCCTTCCTTAAACTATGTACAAAAATCAACTCTAGATGGATGAAAGACTTAAATGCAAAACATAAAACTATAAAAGCCCTGGAAGGTAATCTAGGAAATACCGTTCTGGACATAGGCCCTGGCAAAGATTTCATGACAAAAATTCCAGTAGGAATTAATTGCAACAAAAACAAAAATTGACAAATGGGACCTAATTAAACTAAAGAGCTTCTGTACAGCAAAAGAAACTATCAACAAAGTAAACAGATAACCTACAAAATGGAGAATATATTTGTAAACTATGCATCCAACAAAGATCTAATATCCAGAATATATAAGGAACTTAAACAAATTAACAAGCAAAAAATAAACAATGCCATTAGAAAGTGGGCAAAGGACTTTAACAGCCACTTTTCAAAAGAAGACATACATGTGGCCTGCAAGCACATGAAAAAATGTTCAACATCACTAATAATTACAGAAATGCAAATCAAAATTGCAATGAGATACCATCTCACTCCAGTCAGAGTGGCTATATTAAAAAGTCAAAAAATAACAGATGGTGATGAGGTTACAGAGAAAAGGGAATACTTATGCACCACTGGTGGGAATGTAAGTTAGTTCAGCCATTGTGGAAAGCAGTTTTGAGATATTTCAAAGACCTTAAAACAGAACTACCATTTGACCCAGCAATCCCACTATCGAATATAAATCATTCCACCATAAAGACAAATGCACACGTATGTTCATTGCAGCACTATTCACACTAACAAAGACATGGAATCAACCTAAATGCCCATCTACAGTAAACTAGATAAAGAAAATGTGGTACATACACACTGTGGAATGTTACACAGCCATAAAAATGATTATGTCCTTGGCAGCAACATGGATGGAACTGGAGGCCATTATCTTAAGCCAACTAATGCAGGAACAGAAAACCAAATATTGCATATTCATACTTATAAGTGGGAGCTAAACATTGGGTATACGTGGACACAAAGAAGGGAACAACAGATACCAGGGCCTACTGGAGGGTGGAGGTTGGGAGGAGACAGAGGTTTGAGAAACTACCTATTGGGTATTATGTTTACTACCTGGGTAATAATATAATCTGTACACCAAACCCCTGTGACATGCAATTTACCTACATAACAAACCTGCACATGTACTCCTGAACCTAAAATAAAAGTTAAAGAAAGTAAAAGCTAAAAAAAAAAAAGAAAAAAGAAAAAGAAAAGAAAAAAGAAATGTGGCTAGAACAACTGAGGAAATCCAATTTTGGATTCTATCAATTTTAATTAATTGACATTTAGATATAGTAGCCACATGTGGCTGGTGGATACCATATTGCATAGCACAAATGTAATGGAAGAGGGAGATAACATATAATATGCATTATTAAGAATGGGTAGAATTTCAACATGGAGAGGAGGGAAAGAACTTCCAACTAATATGTTTAAGTTTTCAAAAATACCTTTATTGTCCTCATTCAGGTGAACAACTAATAGTGGGGTTTCTGTTGCCCTGAAGAAAGCTGATTGTGAGATGGTTGGGTATTTTGGAATCATTCCCTTTGGCAAGATGAAAACTGACAGAGAGGACTCTCTTTAAAGAAACAGCAGATACCAATGTGTAACCCAAGCAATCCTTGCCTGCCTTTTGCTAGACTTGTCTAACTCCATGGAGCAAGACAGGGTCAGGACAGGAAGCCTGCCTCCCAAGGGTGAATTTTCAGGATGAAGTCTCTAGGATTTCTGCTGGCAGAATTGAGTTTATGCCATCTGTACCCCATTCCATTATGGCTGGAAAGAGCACTTGTTTGTGAATCAGGGAGAGTGGACTTTCAGTTGGACACACCCCTATTTAGGCGTGCAGCCTTAGCAAAGAGCCTCAATTTTTTCTACTCCTGGTTCACTCATTTGGAAAATAAGGATCTCTAAGGCCTTTTACTCAACTCCAAGATTATGAGAACATTCTTTTAGGCCTAAGCTAAAGAATCAGTATCTTTGACATGGGGGCTATAGGGTTCCAGTCTCAAGGTCTTCATTGATCTTTGCATCCATTATTGCTGACACTTCAGAGACATGAGAATCAAAAGGCTTGGACGCTAATACAAGTTTCTACATCTGATGTGGTCTTCAGTAAGTTATGTGAGGGCCCTACTCTGCTATCATATCTGCAATGTAAGGGAATGTAATAATTTTCCAGAGTTGTTGTAATATTAAACAGTGCAACTCCTAACAGACCATTGAGTACTAGCATGGAGATGCTCAATTAGTAATTCCTCTATCCCAACCTCCTGCCTAGGAAAGGAGGCTCAACATTATATTATTTTTTTTCCTAGATAATAAAAGGCATTTTAAGGTTAGGGACCAAAATATCTTTCCTAAAATCTGATATGGTCTACTTGAACAGTATTCATGGAAGTCAAGCTTTTCCATTTAAAAAGACAGAGGGAAAAAAATATCTGCAAAATACCTTTCAATGTTTGCTGTGCTTGCCATGAGGAATCTGAGATTTGAAGACACATTTGTACCATTTTATCTTTTACTGTCCTGCTAGTGCGGTAGTATAACAGCATCAAAGTAACATGATACCAGAGAATGACCATTTGAAATGAGCCAGTTTCTCCAACTTACATTTCTCAGGAAACACCATTGCCTCACTTTTATACCTTGTGTGTGAGGATGGGCGGGGAAGCATTGGCCAAGGAACAGGTTCACTTTGTTCTCTCGTGTTATGAGCCAACTGGGACAGAAGGGTCAATTTGAATCTCCTCTCCTTCGAAGTCAAAATGGCGCCCTCAGCTGAAAATATGCACCGCTCTTTTTATTCATGCTGCTAGTGAAATCTAGTGAAATGAGAGAAAATTGAATAAAGGTACACAGGGCAGTTACCATACTTCTGTAATTTCCCCTGAATTGCTCACAAAGTGACTATTATTCTCCTCCCATTAAACATGGGGCCATCTGGGGCATAGATATGCAAGAAAGATTACAATCTGACTGCATGGAACCTATTCTTTAACATGGATTCATGCTTTTGTATTGTGTGGAAAACAGAAAGATTTTCTGAACTTCTATGGGAGCATCCCAGCATCTTTATCTCTTTCACATCTGCCACTGCGTGGAATTGATGGTAATCGTGGTTATTATTATGGTGTCTTCCTCCACTTAAAACAAGGCCATCTGGGGTTTGTGTGGTAGGGGATGGATTAGCATTTTTTTTTCAAGTGCTCCTCTCCTTTAGTAAATATATTTTACGGAAATTATTTCAGAGAAAGGATTATGATAATAATGATTATAACACTAATAATAGGGTTATTTTGTGAGATCTCCTTTAAAAAAAAAAAGCCTCTAGTAAGCATAATCTGCAGCAGGCAAGGCCAGGAGTTGAACACCTGGGCTGGCCTCTGGGAGCAGCCTCGAGCAGTTTCCTTGGTGTTGCAGGCTGTCTGAGCAAACCGGCGAAGAGGGCACTGACTCGGAAATCTGGCAGCGGAGGATGGTGGAGAGACCACTGGACGTGTCAAGTGGCTGGTCCAAATTCCAGCTCTGTCAGCTCCTGGCTCTTGGTCCGTGGGAGAGCTTGAAATAATCTCAATTTTCCTGTTTGTAAGAAAATAAAATAAGGAACTAGTACATCCGTTTAAGGGTTGTTGGGAGAACTAAATCAAATAATGTGTGCGAGAGCATTTCACATAGAGCTTCGTATGTAGTCTTAATAAATATTGAAGTTTAAAACTCTAGTGTCAGGCCTCTGAGCCCAAGCCTGCACATATTCATCCAGATGGGCTGAAGCAAGTGAAGAATCACAAAAGAAGTGAAAATGGCCGGTTCCTGCCTTAACTGATGACATTACCTTGTGAAATTCCTTCTCCTGGCTCATCCTGGCTCAAAAACTCCCACACTGAGCACCTTGTGACCCCCGCCCCTGCCAGCCAGAGAGCAACCCACTTTGACTGTAATTTTCCTTTACCTACCCACATCCTATAAGACGGCCCCACCCCATCTCCCTTCGCTGACTCTCTTTTCAGACTCAGCCCGCCTGCACCCAGGTGAAATAAGCAGCATTGTTGCTCACACAAAGCCTGTTTGGTGGTCTCTTCACACGGACACATGTGGAATCTAGAATATTAGATAGAGTGCTTTGCAATTTCCAACTGAAGTGGGTTTTCAGTTTCCTTATTTTTGACGAATTAGCACCACAGCAATTAATATTAAAATCGATGTGATCGCATATCTCCTTTAGGGTACACAATTAGCTTAAGCCATCTTAAATGCCAAGAGACTGAGCAAATCTGAAACCTTATTTAAATTAATATTAACACGTGCCTATAAAGTGGTGATGTAGAGTGATAAGGGTAGAATTTGGAGTCACGTAAAACGGGTTTGAATTGCTAACAGCTTGACCTTGCACGAGCCATTAGTTTATCTTCCCAGTGTCCTTATTTACAATGTCTCTGTCAGGAAAGTATGTCACATATTTGTAAAAAGAATTAAGTTACATAATTCAACTAATGTAGAATCTGTTACACAGTAAGCACTTAATAAATGCTAGTTTTCATATATGCATGTAAATGACCAATTAAAAATATACATCGAGAGAGTGTTGTGTATGTGTCCATGTGCATGCGCTTCTCTGTCCCACTTTTATTCAGTTCTCATTTCTACCATTCCAATATAGCTTTGTCTTTTTCTCCCACTGAAATTGTGTGTCCACTGGTGTGACTGCTGTTTAATGGCTTGACGTCATGGAAGGCATAACCTGCTGTGGCATCTCAGCTCTGCCTTTTTCCAAAGGATACCATTTCCTCTGCCTTCCACTCTATTACTCTGCATCCCTATCTGAAATTTCTTCTTCTTTCTGAAATTCCGCCCCACTTTGTCATGCCCGTCTTTAAAAGGTAGATTTAAAATGGTTGTATACATGAGAAACCAGACTTTGGAGGACACTGAACTAAATAAAGGTACATTGTTTCCTAATAACATATGTTAGACTATATTTTTACTTAAGAAAATTTTCTTTTAAGATATAAACCCAAATCTGTTTCTTTATACAAATATTTATTTTCCTCTGTTGTGTAGGCACATGCCTTGGATATTATAGCACTGTCTAGAATAGCATATTTTCATCTCTTTAGCAAACTTATAAAACATAAGAGCCTGGAATCGTATATTCCTGGCATCTCTTCCAAGATGAAAGGCACTTCTCTTACTGAAGCTATGAACTCTGGATCCTGGCTTTGACATAGGTCTGATTAGACACTTCTGAGATATCTGAACTGGAAGGGGCCATGAGTGTCCTGTGGGTGTTGGGCTATTTTCCTGCATATCGTCCTTCACTCTTCCCAAGCTCTGCTGTGAATCTCAGGTGGGCTCACCCCTCTGGGCTACCTTTCCCAGGCTCCCAGGTGAGCTCAGTTTGGACAATGAGAAGCTCTAGAGGGACATTGGAAGGTGGGAGGAAGGGAGAAGCCAAGCTCATTCTCTCTTCCTCCTAAGATGGGAGCCCCCATAGTGACTGCATCTCCTACCAGAGATGCCCTCCATGAACCAAATTTTCACCTGGTGACACTGACCTCTGTGGTCTCACAACTACAGACCTTTCTTTCTCTCCTGCATCCTAGGCTAGGGAGTGGCTTCCTGTGCCTGATTGCTTGGTTCCCTCATCATTCCATGTTTGGATTTTTCAGCTCTCCCATTGCCTATGTAAACCGTTTCCTATATTGATCTCCTCTCTTTGAAACAGAGTGGCTTTCTTTCTTATTTGAAACTTGATTGATACAAGTGTCCTATTGTCTAGGGCTTTGCAAGCTCTTCTCCTCAGTACCATAGGGTTTTTTCAGAGCTCCTTACGGCCTCCTGCTGACTCAAGAGGGGAAAGGGCAAAAAAGCAGCAGTGGTGCGGCCACTGTAGCTGTGCAGATACAGCAACCTGTCAGAAATGGTTCCTGCATGCAAGAAGCTCACAGTTTAGTAGAAATAACTCTCATGCATTTGTGAATCTGTGACGTTTATGTTGGACTGAAATGTGACTTCTGATCTCATTGTCTGAGGAAGGTTTTTTCTTGCTAAAGATATGAATGACTGAATCAATCAATCAATCAATCAACCAGTGGGGAAAGAGCATTGTATCAGTTGCCATGGGATTTTGCCTATGCGTCAGTAGGGATAAAATGCACAGGGAAAGAGCATTGCATGAATGAATGAAGAAATGAACAAACAAACAGAGAAAGAAGGCTGTATCAGTAGCCAAGGGTTCTTGTCTAAACTCCGCTATTAATTTGCAAGTTTCCTTTGGGGAAGTCCCTCCTCCTTCCTGGGCCTGTTTTCTCATCTATATAATGACGAGTTTTTACCAGGAAAATAGGTTTCATTGTGAATGTGAAATGTGACAGTTGATAGTAGTTTCTTGTTTACTCTAATGCGAAGGGTGTGGCTGAGGCCCTGGAGCCTTGGTGGACAAAAGTATCATGCCTGTGTGAGCCCGGGGCGGGGACACTGTATATCCTCGTGGATGGGTACTGTCTAAGGGCAGACTGGTCAGATGTTCTGTTTCTCCATTTTAACTGACTAATTGGCAAATAGCCTCATCTGAGGCTTTCTCCGCATACAGAGGTGAGTGGAAATTACTGTTGCTCAGGATGAAAGAACATGATCTTTACTGAATTGCAGCATGAAGGATTCCTCCCCACTGTAACTGCCCATTTGCCTATCTGTCTTCCACACTAAAGTGAGAGTTTCTTGGAGATAAGGATGATTCATTGGCACTGGTAGATCCTCAATATCTAATACAGGTGTAACTTAGGCTACATAGTGGGAATTGTTCGTTAGATTTGATGTATGTGACGCAAATCGTGGAATGTATCTGCAGATAAGCCAGGGGCCAAGGCTGCACATAAATATGAAGGTCAGTATCAAGTGGCCTCTGTCTTAGCCAGTAGAGCCCAAAAAGCAGAGCTTCAGGCAGGGTGTGGATGCAGGTCACTTATTTTGGAAAGTGGAATCGGAAAAGAGTAATATAAGAAAGGAAGTAGAGGTAAACTAGGGGTGTTTACCAAGCTGATTACTGCCGGTGGTGACTGGGGATACCTGGGGGATCCCCCACAGTGCAAGGGTTGGACAAGGGTATATTTATGAACTATCTTCCATCCTCCTTTGTTTAAGGGTTGCCCCCTGGGGTATGAACTTTCTCGGACTTCTAGATTAGTCCAGGCATCAGGAAGACTGGGGAGTTGCCTTACGACTCCCACTTGGCAGTGACGGAGAAGCCCTAGGGCAGAAAGCAAGAAGTGGCAAAGTGTGCACCTAAGTAGCAAAATGTGCTAAACGTGGTTTCAACAGCAATGAGGGAATTTAACAACATGGACAGAGAGAGAGGGTGAGAAGGATCACAGGAGAGGTCTGACACAAAAGCTTAAGGTGAGTCTTCTTTAGTTCTTTGGAGGTGACCGTAGGGAGTTGAGGACACCAATATCCATTTTTCTTTTGCATTTCATATCACCAGAGCTGCTGCAGCTCAAAGACAGAGTAGATGCACAGAGCCACTGGCATTGCTCTCCAAAGCTGCTGTCTAGTGCCCTTGGCGATAGGCCAGGAGGTCTCCTGGGGCTCAAGCTGTCTGAGCCTGGGCCACATTGCTACAGAGCTTAGATAAGACTCCATGGAGACAGGAACACCCAGGTCCATCTTTACAACTCACATGCACTCAGCTCTTCAGGACTTGAGGCTGCCTCATCTGAACTTGGGTCACCTCTATGGACTCTCATTGGCTCACTGTCATTGGCCAGCCATCCAACATCTCACAAAGCTGTTGCAATGCTGGCAGGGTGGGGTTGGTGCAAGGGCTGAGAGACAGGCCAAAGGAATCAAAACTATGAATGGGTGGGAGCAACAGGACTGTGGCTCACAGCTGTGTTGCACAACCTATATGCTGATGACAAAACCACAACATTAATTTAAAAATGGAAGAGAATGTCTGTGTGATTGAGGGAAGGGGAGAACTTTCAACAATTTCCAGAGCACTAAATATGAGGCAAAGATTGGTTAATTTGATTACCTCAAAATTAAGGTTTTCTGTTCAAAATGAGAAGAGGGAAAATAATTTAAATGTCTGAAATTGGCAAGAGATTAATATCTGTATTACAAAAGGAATTCCTAACAAGCACATGAAGAAACTTTTTAGTCATTAATAATTAGATAAACAAGACATACAGAAAGCTATGACTCCAAGCCTATTAGGCTGCTGAGAAAACCACAAAGGGTGTAAAAGATGATCATATCAAAGGTTGACAGAGATGTGCAATACAGGAATATGTTCTAGGAGGATACAGGTGGGTGCAGTCACTTTGAAAACCAACCTGATAGTAATCAATCAACTGAAGTATAGATACATCTTACAACTCCAGAAATTCTTTCCCCACGTACACAGCCCTCAGAAATCCTTCCACATATCCATGAGAAGACTTGCACAAGGATGTTTATTGAACACAGTTAGTGATGCCAGCCAGCTGCGACTTCCTGGGAGGAGGTGGTTCAATTGTAGACAGACATTGTGGAGGAGTGAGCAGCAGTTTGGGGCACAATTTGGGTGCTTTGGTGTCCTACAATCTCATGAGAGATCTTAAAAATGTGGTACTTAATGAAAATGTAAGAAGAACAGGGAGAAGACTGACACAGTGACAATTATTTCAATACTACCCATTTTAAAAAAGAAAGACACCCGTCATATAATATTAAAATTGTTGATAAGGGGAAGTAGAAATGTATTATGAAGATAAAAGTGAATAAATAATGAAACGAGAATCTCGCATGACCAGTGATAATGATGTACAGTAAACTGAAGAGTGTGTGTGTTTAACTCCATCATTTGCATTTCTGTGTTTGAGGTTAAAAATCAATATATAATTGTATAAAGTTCTCTACTTTTTTTGTTGGTTTTTATCTTTCAAATTTTATTTTTACTATTTTTTTATTTATTGATTTTAAGAGAAAGGATCTCACTATGTTGCCCAGGCTGGTCTCGAACTCCTGGGCTCACATGATACTCTTGCCTAGGCCTATCAAAGTGTTTAGATTACAGGCATAAGCCAATGCACCTGGCCCTATAACTCTCTATTTAACCTAACTATAATATTAAGGAGACATAAAAGGAAACTAATATATAAAATAATAAGTATATGGAGATACATAATGCTCTGACCCAAATTCCGAATTCTTTTGTATTTGAGAGTTACAATTGCAGATGATACAGGAGTTGCAGAGGGCCCTCAAATATCACCAGCAGTGTCTCAGTGAGGTTGTGATTTTTCAGTTTTGTGGCTGTTGGTAAAATCCCCAATAACACAAAGCATATTCTACTTTTGAATTAAAAAGTAGCGGTGTTCTTGGAAAATTAGTAGGTATTAAAGCTGTGCAAAGAAAATTGTGTGTTTCTATTTGTAAACTATAATTAAATTCTAGATTCAAATAATTTTTAAAAGCTTTTCCACTCACATGAATATCAGGTGAGGGATGTGAAAGTTGCATAAAATAAAGAGAAGTTTTTATGGCACATAATTGTCCTATAAATTGGAGGGCATCTGGCATCCAAACAAATGCCAGTAAATCCCACCCCCAAAGGTTGTGACAAAAGGATA
Source organism: Homo sapiens (assembly GCF_000001405.40). Taxonomy (NCBI): domain Eukaryota; kingdom Metazoa; phylum Chordata; class Mammalia; order Primates; family Hominidae; genus Homo; species Homo sapiens. Next base: position 7,691,060 of record NC_000002.12, on the reverse strand, counting down.
CACCCAAATACTGATGATTTCTCCTAGGAGGGGATACAGTCTTCATTGATCTCTATTGGGAATATAAAATTCAGAGTGACTCTAGTGGAAATCCAATTTCTTTTACTCTATATGGTAAAACTTCTATAATCTTCAGGTTTTAGAATTTGACTTTATATGGTATCTTGAAAGCGAAGGTTAGAAAAAAGGTAAAATCTCTTATAAAATGATTTGTAGGAGATGAGAATTTCATTTAAATTGACCTGAATGAGGTAAGCCTTGGTGGTCTCTGGTATGCTACAATCATCGATATAACAACGGAAGCAATGAATACCTGGTTATTTCCCAGGGAAAACCCCCAATCCTGGTTCAGTTGGAAATAACTCACGGCACATGAGAAAAGCTAAAATAATGATTAATTAGAACATGACTATGGGGAAGCTATGAACATGTTGTTATAATAGCAGCAATTTTTGCTTTACTTATTGAAAAGTCACATGGATTATAATAACTACTCTTGGTCTGATATTGGTTTCCTTTCATATTTTCCAAACTTTTAAAAAAGAGGATTCTATTTTCAAATGAGCTATTAGGTATATCTGTAAAATGTAAAGCAGATGAAAGATAAAATCAGTATTTTGTAATGCAAATATATTTTATAAGCTCAAATTTATAACATTTTCTTATTATAATATCAAGTAATTACAAAATGAGGCAGTTTTTTGGCTTAATTGAAATCAGGGTTATGGATGATAGCCCAGTCTGATTGTTAGCATTTGATTTATCCTGGATTTTTGCTGCGACTGTACAAGATTAAAATATCCTGATTCATTATACATAGGTGGTTGCAATTTCTTTTTAAGTTTGCCTTGCATTCTCAAGACTTAATGTATAAATCTGTTGCCAAAGCCTAAAATATAAATGATAAAATTGTCATTTAAAAATTAAACATATCATCAGCAATATGAAACTTCTCTTGTAGCCAAACCATAGTACCTGTTCTTGTAGTGAACACATAAATCCAAAAGCTAGACAGATAGTAAAACCAACTAAACTAAACCAAACCAAACAAAGAGAGAAATCACTTAAGCCCTGAAACTAACTGCATTAGGACACATCACATAGAGGTGTGTCATATTAATATGTTCTCTTTTTTTTTTTTTTTTTTTTTTGGATGGAGTCTTGCTGTGTCTCCCAGGCTGGAGTGCAGTGCAGTGGTGTGATCTCAGCTCACCAGGCAGCCTCTGCCTCCTGGGTTCCAGCATTTCTCCTGCCTCAGCCTCCCAGGTAGCTGGGATTACAGGCATGCACCACCACGCCTGGCTAATTTTTGTATTTTTATTAGAGATGGGGTTTTACCATGTTGGCCAGCCTGGTCTCGAACTCCTGACCTCAGGTGATCCACCTGCCTCAGCCTCCCAAAGTGCTAGGATTACAGGCTTGAGCCACCGTGTCCGGCCCATATGTTCTTTTATTTCACAGATTGTAATGAAACTGGGGCAGGAGCACGAGTCATTCACAGGTGCCTGAGCCTTGCCTGGCACTGATGGAAGAAGACCCATAGCTGTGACAGTACCCAGTACACACTTGGATTTCAGGTAAGCACGGATCCTTGTGGAAGTTTGAGTCTTCTCAAGGTCAATGGAGACCTAGAATCTTTTTCTTCAATCATTTACCTGATATGAATTTAGACATATTCACAGAATACATGAAAAAAGATGTTCAGATCTGTTTTAAAATAGGGTATCCTAGTACTACAAATAAATGCATTGGACCAGTATGTTAAAATCTGATGCAGAACTGCACTGTTTTAAAATTGTTAAATATGAATATTAAACATAAAATTCTGAGATGCCATTTACACAGCTGAAAGCAATCATTTGTAGAATCTGTCCTATTTAAAAGTAACTGCATTTTTAAAGAGATAGTTAGATGTTTCTAGTTAGAAACATATTCTTAGTACCAAAGCACAGAAGAAGCTAGAAACAAACAGACTTCATGGCTATCGATGAGTTTCCACTCCCTGGCTGCCATTCCCCTGATTGTTTTGGTTCTTAATCTTCTTATGCCCTATAATGATATTCATCATCTTTTAATGTACTGAATAAGGTAGTTTTGAGGATCCAGTAATCACTTTTTGTGGGAGTGCTTTGATAAGACATTTCAAGCCTTCTCTGCCTCTTACAGATGTGTAATTTGCCTTGTAAACAAGATCCGGGCTTTGCATGCTCGTTGTAAGACAGTAGGTGTCATTCTAAGATAGACATGTCATTCCAAAAGGAAGTTTAATTATAAGACAGCCATGCTTAAGAAATCTTACAATATTTTATGACCTATTGAATTCTAAAGTATTAACTACTTATAAAAATTCACTTTTTTAATAAGTAAAAGAAGAAAAATCACTCCCACTAACCACACTCACAGACACCCAAAGTAAACAATTTGATTCATTTCCTACCCATCTTTTATTTCCTTATTTATAGCTCTACTTTTGAGCATGCTCATATTTATACTTTTAATTTCACTATTTTGTCTTAATGTTATAAACAAATATTTTCCCATATGAAACTGTAGATTTTTATAACTCCAACTTCAGAGCAAACAATAAGCTGTCTTATTTTACCCAAAGACAACATATCTGACTCCCATCTCTACCTTTACCCTTCTCCGACTGTCTCTGTCTGTTAACATAATTTTTTTAAAGTTTATAAATAAGGAATGGTGAGATTTGGGAAAAGAAAACTTTCAAGAGTAGTCAGTAGGTACTTAGTACTATCTAAAATACAGGCTGAGAATTTCTGGAGCATATTAAGCCTCATTCATTGTTAGACGTATTTCAATATCCATGGATCAATGTTGTTAGTACCAAAGGCCATGTGTGTGAGCCATTAGAGTTGTAGGGGCAAGACTTCACTAGAAGGAAACATAAAAGCAAAACAACAGGACTGTCAATGGAGATAACACAACTGGAGAGGAAGGCTGTCTCCCACAGTGGTTGTTGTGGGCTGAATTCTGTTCTCCAAAAATTCATATGTTGAAGTGCTAACAGTGCCACAGAATGTGACTGTATTTAAGAAGAGTCTTTAAAGGGGTAACTAAGGTAAAATGAGGTGATTGGGATGGTCTCTAATTCAATATGACTTGTATCCTTATAAGAAGAGATCAGGACACAGACACACACAGAGGGAGGACCATGAAAAGTCCCAGGGAGGAGATGGCCCTCTAGGAGACAAAGAGAGAGACATCAGAATGAAATCCAACTGACGGCACCTTGATCTTGAACTTCGACCCTCCAGAACTGTGAGACAAGAAATTTATGTTGTTTTAAGCCACCTGGTTTGTGGGACTTTGTATGTCCTAGCAAATTAATACAGTGGTTGAACACTGGGAAGCCAGAGTTTCCAGGTGGCATCTCAGCTCCATCCTTAATAGCTCTGTTCCTGACTCCATCCACCCTGCCCTCTGGTTTACCATCTGTAATTGGTGTTAAGGATACCTACACCTACCTATTGCTTGGGGTTTCATGAAGATGGAGTGAAGGTATCTAAAGTATTTAGAACCATACCCAACCTATAGTCAATGCTACGTAAGTTTCAGTTTTTGTTATTTTACTAATATCAGTATAATAGAAATAACATGGACTTTGGCTTTGCACACGCCAAAGTTTAAATCTTAACTCTGCTACTAACTACCTATCTCTTACTGAGACTCATCTCATTTGAAAAATGAAAGAATAATTTGCTCATGTGGATGCTGGGAGAATTAAATGTGCAATGGACAGGAAGAGCTGAAGATTTCAGCACAATAAATATCGTCCCTTTACCCAGCCCTCTACTCTATGCCAAGCTGACCAACAGGGCCATATGGTTGAAGAGAGAGGTATGGATGAAAAACAAAAATTTTGCAGCTATCACAGGCATTTCTAAATGATGCGAGTCAGAAAAAACAATTGATGGAGGAAATGGTGGCTGGCCAGGACAATCCCAGCAGCTCAATGCCTGGACACCCCACTTTAGGGGTGAATAAAAGTCACACTCACCTGGATTTCTCACCCTATTTTTCTTATCATTGGTCTCAGGATTCAACATGTATTTTTCCAACAGAAGCCCACAATTGCTCCATAGGCTAAGTGGCAACTCTGCTTCATAGCTGATTGTCCACATGAATAGCCAGTGTCACTGGAGCCCTTGTATTTAAGATTTTTTCCTACACGGTTATGATTTAAGGGTTTATTTCTCTATCTCATGACACAGCCTCTGCTTTAGATATCTTCCATGATAAGTACATAATTCTTTCTTTGTGGCCTAGAAGGAAGAAGATCGAATTACAAACAGAAGCCCTGCTGCCCAGTTGTTACTTCCTTATAATACAATTATTTCTTTTTTGTTTGTTTTTGTTTGAGATGGGATCTCACTTTGTTGCCCAGGCTGGAATGTAGTGGCACCATCATAGCTCACCGCAGCCTGGAACTCGTGGGCTCAAGCAATCTTCCCACCTTTGACTCCCAAGTTGCTGGGACCACAGGTGCATGTCATCATGCCCGGCTAATTTTTAAATTTTTTGTGGAGATGGGGTCTCACTATGTTGCCCAGGCTGGTCTCAAACTCCTGGGCTCAAACATTCCTGCCATCTTGGCCTCCCGAAATGCAGGCACAGGTCACTATACTGGCCCAATTATCTGTCATTATTCTAAAACATTTGTTGAGTACTTCACAAGTGCCAAGCTTATGCAGGCAATTTCACATGTGTGATCGCATTGAATTGTCATGACTTACTAGGACACTGTTACGATAACACATATTAGAAATATAGAGACTGACATGCAGAGAGGTGTTGCTCTCCCAGGACCTGAGAACAGGTATCTGAGGAGCCAGGTGCACACCCACCCTGTCCACCTTCGGCTGCTTTATACCCATCATGTCTCACTCCTTTCATAAGACATACCTTGGCTTATCTCCCTGCTTTATCTGGCCTTAAATCTCCAGTGGAATTCCTATCAAAATGATTCACAAAGAAGTAATTTTCACCCAGTAAAAACTGCACTGAAATTTTGGGGAAATGATGTTATAACCAGACATATTTTGCTTTAATGTCCCTGCCTACAGTTTTAGTTCTGTGTTTTCTTTCTAACCAGCAACCTTGGCCCTTGAGTTTCTTCAGTTTTATTACTCTGAAGTATTTGTCCACGGTCTCTCTCTGCTGGCTCCTGCTCCTCCCACCTCAAGCTTTCTCTCTCCCAAGCTGTAGTAACTTCCCTCCTTGAGGAATGTGCCCTGTCTGTTGAAATCCCTTGCCTGAGTCAATGGTGTGGATTTGCAGTCATCAGTTCCCCCCAGTTGAAGATGGAATATTCTCTGAGCTCCTTCACAGGCTGCACCCAGCTTTTTGTTCTGACACTGATGTGAGTGGTAATGGCTGAGACTCAGAACATTAGTCCACACTTGGGACCCCAAGAATCAGGGGTGTGGCTCTCGGGGCAAGAGAGAAGTGCAGATAGAGTTCCAGCAGGGCCCCAACTGGCATGGTGCAGACTTTGAAAAACAGCTTCCTATCATCTTGAGGGAAAATCAATTCCTAGTGGAGTCATCTGGGGGAGAACGTTTTTCAGGAACTGTTTGGAGACAAAGAGTCCTTTTCTGAGAGCCTGACCTGGGCCTCACACAAAAGCAAACAAAATATTTTTAGGAAGAAAAGCCAAGTCTCCCCCTTCAGCCGCAGACTTCACGCAGGTTCTGCTTCCCTCCAGCTTTGTGACGATGAACACAGTATGCGCCTTCTCTGATCCTCGGCTGCCTCGTCTCCAGGATGGGAAGAATAACGACGACAGCAATGCCAGCCTGTTACGAGCTGAACTGTACCCCACAAAGTTCATCTGCTTAAGTCCTAATCTCTAGTGTTTCAGAATATGACCATATTTGGAGACAATCCAATCAAAATGAGGTTACTAGAGTGGGCCATGGACCAACATGACGGTATCTTGATGAAAAGGGGGAATTTGGAAAAGGCATGCAAAAAGAAAAGAAAATACGAAGACACAGAGAGAAGACAGCCATGTACAAGCCAAGCAGAGAGTCCTGGAACAGATCTTTTCCTCACAGCCCTCAGAAGGAACCAACCTCACCCAACACTTTGATCTTGGGGTTCTATCCTCTAGAACAGCGAGACAGTAAATTTCTATTGTTTACGCCACCCAGTTTGTGATTCTTCTTAGGCCAGCCCTAGCAAACTAGTGCACAAGCAGCCTCAGGGGTTTTTGAAAGATTAAATGACACAATTTATGTAAAGTGCCCAGGAGTTCCACAGTGAGCTCTCAAAAATTCACTATCATCATTGTCATATTCATCACAGTAGCAGTGGCATCATCTTCATTGACATTGAAAAGGAAATGGCATCTTCATTGACATGGACATTGAAAGTTATGCCCTCTGTTGAAGCCCATACCAAAACCTTCACCTGTTCCCATTTTAGAGCAGAATGTCTATATGAATGTGTGTGTGTGTGTATTGCATATTTCCATTTCATGATTGTGTGGTGGGGTAAATAGCAACTCCTTACTTCTCTTACCCATAATTGCTTCTCTTGCTCATAAAATGAGGAGTTGGGGTCTGTGTCTAGCACCTTGTAAAGATTTCTTTCCGTTCTAGCAGCAACATTCCTATAACTGAGTAATGATTGCGTAGTATTTTCTTATCAGTGTAGTACTCAGTTCTCCACTTACAGAGGCAGCAGCAAGGACATGAAATCTGGAGTGAGGAAATCAGCATTTCGGTTCTGGATCTGCTATTAAACATTTGCAGGCCTTTCGACAAGTTAATTACCTTTTCTGGACCATCTGCAAAGAGATGGATGGCAGAACAGAGCTCGAGTGATCAATAAAGTCTTTAAGAACCTATGACAAACTAAGATTCTGATGGTCACCTAATTGAGGCAATAACATTCCTTCCATCTGTGGGGAGCCCAATCTTGCTGAACAATGCAGTACATCTCTTACTGAAAAAGTTTTTTTTAATGTAGTTTAATCATCCTCCTGCCATACGATTAGCATTTTCAAGTGGATCTGAGTTAGTTGAAGCAGATGGTTTATCTTCTCTCATAGTGCTTCGACTTGGACATTATATCATTTCTACATCTAACTCCGTCCTTGCAGTGCTCAAGGAATCCTTCCAAATTTTGCGCACTGTGTTTTGACTTATTTAATGCAGACGTACTTTACCCGCAGTAAACATGATTACCAAAATACTTTAACTTGAGAGCTTCTGCTTTCCTCTCTGGTGTAATTAGTCACACTGCACTCTCTCTGCATTTAGGGGAAAAGGGAGGAAAAGAAAACACCACACACAGCATCTTACAAATGTGTCTTTACTTCTCTCCAGCTGCTGGCTCCACTCTTTTGAGTTTTCAGAGTGTCAGACCCTTGGAACAAGGGTAAAAAAGTAGAAAGTTCCCAGAGTTGTCACCTGATTACACACCTTTGAACGCAAGGGATGGAAGCTGCACGTGGGTCGGGTGAGAACTCACCAAGAGAGGAAGCTTTGAAACGGAGACGTCCCCACCCAAGCAATTGGCTTTTGTGCTGCTCTAAGTGTCTCAACATTGGGCCCAAATGTTTTGTCTTCATGACTTGGAAAGAGAAAAGTCCCTTTGAGTAGTAATAGCAACATGAAATCCTAGAACGTCTTACCAGTTTATAACACACCTCACTTTTCAACTTGATCTTCCCAACAGGGAGGTGGCCACAGTAGACATAACTATGCGACCTGTGGAACCAGACATATCTAGATCCCATTCTGGATCTTGGCCAAGACAAATAATACACCTTTCTTTGGGGGATGACCGTGAGTTTTAGAGCTGTAAAGCTGCTAAGAGAGGGTCTTACACGAGGCAGGTTTTCAGTAAGTAGTGCCCATTATGTTTTCACATGAGGAATCTAAGGCCCAGAGCAATTTCATAAACTTGTGAACATCATTTAATATCAAACAGATTCAGGTTTCAATCTTGATTTTTTTCTTTGGAGTCGGCTAGAATTTACATAGAGTGAAACGCAAACATTTACAGCATACTTTTGAGCCTAACCTCTCTGGCAGCACCAAACCCTATTCCCCAGACACCTCAAGCCACAAAGACTGCGGCTTTCCACCTGAGACCCAGCTCGTGTGCTGCACAAACTTGAGTGCTCCAGGGGGACACAGCATCCCTGTGGACACTCTGTGTCTCCTGCACCTGGTTCTCATGCAGTGAGCGCTTCCCTGCTCTCAAGGGGGAGAGCCTCCCATTTCTGCCTGCTGTTGGCCGCTCTGCAGTGGCTTCAAATACACACTCACACTCACACACGCACCACCCACCCACCCACATGCAGGTTTATTATCTGATAATAAGCTGCTCCACAATGACCACATTCCCAAAACCCAATCTAATTTTTTTAATGTTCTTTTGACTAACACTCATTTTCCAAGGGATGAGAAATTCAGAAGAAATACACACATACACACACGCACACACACACACATCTGCATAGAAATATAAAGATAGATACATGCACATTACCTGGCATTATTTGGAAAAATTGTAGCCATCCCCAACCAGGAACAGATTAGGAAATTTTTTGAGTTCTGTCTTTTTTTCCAAAGATGCTGACTTTCTCGTAATTATGCCAGATAGCAAAGGAATATTCTAAGTCTCCCAAATGCTTGTAACAGAGAGAGAGTCAAGAAGTATGAGGGGGTCTTAGAGATTTCCTTAGCATTCTAAAAGCGCTTATGAGTGCAGCCAATTTTCTCTTCTGCTGAATACACATTTCAAAGAAGTCATCTCATCCAGTCTCTGGCCTGTAAGTCCAGTGCTGTAATTTTCCCAGAGAAAATAAGGACCCATTTGAACTGGGAGATTTCACACAGCAACAGCCAAATCACTCAAAGATTATGAGAGGTGTCATTTCACATCAGAGAAGCCAAAGGCTGAGAAGGAATGGGGGGCCTTTCAGTGCTGTCTGCCACCATGTGTTCTTTGTGACGACTATGACTTGAGTATGAGTTAATTAGTAACTAATGTGATCTTACAGAAAGGAAAAGAATTCAGCCAGATGCAGTGGCTCTCACCTGTAATCTCAGCCCCTTTGGGAGGCCAAGGAGGGCAGATCACTTGAGGTCAGAGGTTTGAGACCAGCCTGGCCCACATAGTAAAACCCTGTCTCTACTAAAACTACAAAAACTAGCCTGGCATGGTGGCACATGCCTGCAGTCCCAGCTACTCGGGAGGCTGAGGCAGGAGAATCACTTGAACCCGGGAAGTGGAGGTTGCAGTGAGCCAAGATCACACCACTGCACTCCAGCCTGGGTGACAGAGCAAGACAAAAACCAAGAATTTTACTATTAATCTTTTATCGTGAGTGATGTCTGTTACACAATAGGATGTACAAGATTGACTTGACTATTTTTGGATATAGTTTTTGTGACTCTAAAATTATATTTATCCTTTACTACCCCTTCCCCAATTGAAGAAAAAAACAACTGTGTATGCATATATACATATGTATACTTATGTCTATATATAATTGTACCTATATTGAAGGAAGGAACAATGAGAAATCAGCATGTCTGTGATCAGCTAATTTAACCCCCTTATCCTACAGAGAAATTCACTCGGACTATTGTGGCGTAAGATGTCAGCTGTGCTGGCAGAGCTGAGCTACATGCAGCCTTGCCGAGTAACTTTTAACTTTGCTGGGCTTCTCGCCTGTCCTGATAGCACCACCAATCACCTGAAACCATAGAAGTCATCTGAACTCATAGTTTTTTTTTTTTTTTTTGCTTTAATTTCAAAATCTCTCGTGTTTTTATTGTCTTTTTTGCATTTCACCTGTCAATAACCACGTTCAGGTCATGAACCTTAGTCTTCTCATTACAACTTATGAATAATTTTTCTCTACTCCTAATTCTGTACTTTCAACCTATCCTGTACTTTATTGGTAATTCTAGAGATGATTATTTTTAATAATTATTAAATATGTTAGAAATTAATATGTAATTAGAACGTAAAACCTAGGCATTTATGGATAGTTTTGCTTAGGATGGGTCTAAAATCAAGAAAGTGAGTCGATTTAAGTTTAGTTTAAAAGGAATAATAAAATAAAGAATAGTATAAATAAAGTATAGCAGAAACTTAACATTTAAAATACACTGGTGGCAACAAGAACACGGAGTGTGGTGAGACAAATTCTCTTGGCTGCTTGGTTCTGCCATATAAAAATTCTGGGTGAGTCACCTTGCCTCTGTGAGCCTTAGACTTGTCATTAGCAAAATGAAATAATGCTATGCACAAGAATTTATATATATATATATATAAAAAATACGTATACACACACTATATTATATATAATACTATACATATATGTGTATACACACACCATATAATATATAATACTATATATACACATATGTGGTGCCTTTATATCAGTTATGAATGTATTTTACTTTTTAATGGAGTGTCACCTGTCTCTGAGCCTGTTTTCACCTGGGAGATGAGGAAAATCTCCTGTAGGTTTTGACTGATTGTTGCTCCTTCTCTCTGATGTGAGCTAAGAATCTAGGACTTCAGTGGTGCTCAGATAATGAGAAGCAGGCCGGGCACAGTGACTCACACCTGTAATCCCAGCACTTTAGAAGGCCAACATGGGCAGATCGCTTGTGCTCAGGAATTTGAGACCAGCCTGGGCAACATGGCGAAACCCCATCTGACCAAAAATACAAAAACTTAGCTGGGCGTGGCGTGGTGGTGTGTGTCTGTGGGAGGCTGAGTTGGGAGGATCCCTTGAGCCCAGGGGTTGGAGGTTGCAGTGAGCCAACTGTGCTGCTACACACCAGCCAGGGGACAGAGTGAGACAAAAAGAAAAAAAGGAGAGAGAGAGAGAAGGAGAGAAAGAAAGAAAGAGAAGAGAAGAGAAGAGAAGAGAAGAGAAGAGAAGAGAAGAGAAGAGAAGAGAAGAGAGGAGAGGAGAGGAGAGGAGAGGAGAGGAGAAGAGAAGAGAAGGGAAGAGAAGAGATAGAAGGGAAGGGAAGGGAGGGAGGGAGGGAGGGAGGAAGGAAAGAAAGAAAGAAAGAAAGAAAGAAAGAAAGAAAGAAAGAAAGAAAGAAAGAAAGAGAAAGAAAATAAAAAAAGGAAAAAGACTTACTTCACAGAGATTGTTGTAACCTCATCCCACAAGATGCTGCTGTGGAGGGTTCTTCTCAGGGTGCCTCAGACTTTCATTTTCCACTTTGAAACACATCTGAAGACATTTATGACAGATTCAGAACATGAAGTCCTGGCAATATTCTTAGGATGACAAGAAATTTTATTTTTTCCTTAATACTCTCATAGTAGCAAGAACCACATCCACGTGAATCTCAATAGTTTCCTGCAACACGGGTAACAATATCTGGAAAGAGCACACTGGATACATATCAGCTATTCCGAACATCGGCAGCAGTATTATATAATGCACACTTCTCTCCTCATTCCATTCCATCTTCTGAATCCTTGATGACTCCTCTCACTCCCTGGGTTAAGCCTAATCTCCCTGTCTAGGCATTTAACCCAATCTGCTTTAAACACAGCCTACTTCATCAGCCATATCTCATGAAGCCCTCTACAAAAGGACCACCTGAACAGGGCCAGAACCACAAATATATGTTGTCTGAATTCATACCCATCTGTATCAAACCTGGTGACATTTGAGCGATCATGGGTGTGCTCAACTCTATCTCCTCATGCCTACTCAAATCATTCCTAGGTAATTTCCTCCTGTTTTTCCCATATCATAATTTGCTCCCTTCCTATGAGTCTTTCTCCTAGATATACAGTCTGTAGCTATTTTAAAAAGTTACTGACCCCCTAACTACAGATTTATGCCTCTACTCTCCTTGAATGCCAAATTCCTTGGAAGTCTCATGCCCATCCACTGTTTCCACTTCTACAATTTTCTCTCGAAGGATTGGCCACACACTACACCAAACAACCCTTACAAGGTGGTAAACATGGTGACATCCAATGTTCAATTGTCATTCCTCGTCCTACTTGACTTTGCAACAATATTTACTGTATTTAATATTTCTTCATTTTTAAAATATTTTTTTCTACCTGGATTCAAGATAATACAGATCGTTTGCTTTCTTCCTTCTCACTGGCCTTCCTCCTAAGTGTTCTTTGCTGGTTCCTCCTCCTTTCCCTGACTCCTGAACACTGTGGCATCCCTGGTCTTAGCACCCAGACTACTCCTGTCCTCTGTACTCATGTGTGACATCCCAGGTGTGACATCATCCAGCCTTCCTCCTTTAAACATATCTCAGCACTGACAGTCCTAAATGTCTATCTCTAACAAGACCCCTTTCCTTCTGAACCACAGGCTCATATATTCAGCTACTTCTTGACATCACCTCTCTGATGTGTAATAGGCACCTCAAGCATCTCAAACACAGCATGTCTGAAGTGAACTCCTCCTTGGCCCCACTCACCAAACTTGTGTGTCTCACTGTTCAGCTATCTCAGTCAATGGCAGCCCCATCCTACCATTTGTTTAGTTTCTGGCAGCATGGTTGACTCTGCTCTCTCTAATGCCCCACGTTCACTCCCTAGCAAGATTCGACTTTCAAAACACATCCAAGTCTGGGTGCAGTGGCTCACACCTGTAATCCCAGCTACTCCAGAGGCTGAGTAGAATCACTTCAACTCTGGAGGCGGAGGTTGCAGTGAGCCGAGATCACACCACTGCACTCTAGCCTGGATGATGGAGTGAGATTCTGTCTCAAAAAAAGAAAAAAAATCCAATCTTGGATCGTTTGTCTCTGCTCCCCTGATACTCCTATGGTTTGGGTCACTGTCATCACTAACCTGATTATTGAAATAGCATCTCACACAGTCTCTCTCTGTACATTTCTGATTTCCTACAGTCTATGCTCACCAGCAGTCAGAATGATTCTTTTTATTTTTATTTATTTATTTATTTATTTATTTTGTTTATTTGTTTTGTTTTGTTGTGAGATGGAGTCTCGCTCTGTCACCCAGGCTGGAGTGCAGTGGCGTGATCTCTGCTCACCGAAATCTTCGTGTCCCACGTTCAAGCCATTCTCCTGCCTCAGCCTCCCGAGTAGTTATTTCAAAACAACTTAACATGACCATTATGTAGGTGATTAACTCAATTTAAGGAATGCTGTCTTGTTGGGAAAAATGTCTATTACATAGTAGTCTCATAATATGTTGGAAATACATGTTAAACAATGCATTTATACCTTAAGAAAAAGAAACATCACACTGCATAGCAAGAAAAAATGTATTCAAAAAGCAAAGAAAGTTTATTCTATTATTTAATTATGATAACATTAAAGTTATATAGTTATTTAAAAATCAAAATACTATCTTAACAAGCCCATCAGAAACAGGCAATCCAAAATTCCTCTTTGTGGCTAATCTAACTAAATCAGGTGTTCCCTCTTTTAATAAAACTTTCTTTGTTTTGAAGATATTTCCCTCAAGTGTAGAGGCTGATGCAACAAATAAAGAAATTTAGCCTCTGACCTCCAAACTGAAATGCAGAAAGTAAGGCGGTGTCAAGGTGTCAAGGCAGTAATTAGAAGCCACAGAAGAAGATTAACAAGGGAGACTGTGGCCGGGCATGGTGGCTCATGCCTGTAATCCCAGCACTTTGGGAGGCTGAGGCAGGTGGATCACGAAATCAGGAGTTCGAGACCAGCCTGACCAGAATGGTGAAACTCCATCTCTACTAAAAATACAAAAATTAGCCAGGTGTGGTGGCATGCACGTGTAGTCCCAGCTACTCAGGAGGCTGAGGTAGGAGAATTGCTTGAACCTGGGAGGTGGAGGTTGCAGTGAGCTGAGATTGTGCCACTGCACTCTGGCCTGGGCAACAGAGCCAGACTCCCCCTCAAAAAGCAAAAAACAAAAAAAAAAACAAGGGAGATTATGAAACCACGAGTCAGCCTAGTTGAATATTCCATATTTGTTTATTTCAACATCAACACTGTTGTGTATTAAACATTGCAATAGGAAATAATGCTATGGAGATGAACAAGACACATATCTGCCCTCCGGGAGCTCAGAGCTTGGTGAGATGGGAGTGTGAGCAGCTGATGATTCCCCAGCAAGCTCTCCGATGGAAGGAAATGCACACAGAGGCTGTGGATGACCACAGCTGGGGAGTGGTGATGTCTCAGTGAAAAGGACAGCTGAAGTGAGTCCCGAGGGAATGGTGGCATTTAGGGATCAGTGTGTGCTGAGTTGTCCTCTGAAGGACATACACTATCTGTGGAACTAGGAGTGATAAGAGATGAGCCAGGAAGATTCAGTGGAAATCCCTTCAAGGGCCCTGTGGCCATACCAAGGCCTTTGGGTTTATCCTATAGCAGAGTGTGAGGCTGGGAGAACCATGTGGGTGGATGGCTAAAGGCCACCTCTCATTCTGAAAAGGCAAAGAAGACTTCTAAGAGGTTACCCTGTTTGACACATGGAAAATGTTCAGAGATCCTATGGGAGTGTAGAGACCTGAGAACAGAAAGTCACACGGCAGGATCAAGAGAGGGAGGGGAGGATTCCTAGCAGGTGATTCTCCAAGTTCTTACCTCCTCACCTCACTCTCACAGATATCCTATGAGGTGGGATTTTTTTTTTTTTTTTTTTTTTTTTTGAGACAGAGTCTTGCTCTGTCACTCACGCTGGAGTGCAGTGGTGTGATATCGGCTCACTGCAACCTCTGCCTCCCGGGTTCAAGTGGTTCTTTTGCCTCAGTCTCCTGAGTAGCTGGGATAACAGGTGTGCACCACCATACCTGGCTAAGTTTTTTGTATTTTCAGTAGAGACGAGGTTTCACCATTTTGATCAGGCTGGTCTCAAACTCCTGATCCACCCGCCTCGGCCTCCCAAAGTGCTGAGATTACAGGCGTGAGCCACCATGCCCGGCCCAGGAGGGGATTTTTATTCCCATTTGACCAGTGAGAAAATCAGGACTCAAAGAGAATAAGTAACTTGTGAGAGGTGGGGAAGGGATTTGGGCGTGAGTCCCTCTGACCTCAGAGTCTGTACTCTTGTCTTTTATGTTAGGGGAATTTACAGCGTCTGGAAGGATCTAAGCAGCTTTGTTCCTACTGTAGACATCATGTCTCTGCCATTTAACCTCACAGAACTTTCCTTTCCATTTGAGCATGATGGTTTGGATAACGTTGAAAGAACATACTCGATTCTGTCCATGTGAAAAGGAAACAGTCAAATAATTTCTGTCAAAACCCAATCAAGGAAAAGAGAGAGAAAAAAGAGAAACACAAGTTTAATTCCAGTTTCCATTGTGCATCCCCCATAAGATCCATAAAAACCTCCTCTGCCAACAAAGGCATGGTCCAGTGTCAAAGCTTAATGGGAAAAGTGAGTTCAGGGAGGCCAGGCCTGGGCATGAGAATCACATTTTCCCACTTCTCTCTCCAGGTCCAAGGCAGGAGACTCATTAAAGCCAACAGAACTGGCAGCAAATGACCTCTCATAGCTAAAGATGCACGCTGAAATGTACAGGGAACCACAAAAGAGCTCGGTCCATTTCCAGGACCCAAATGGAGGTGGCAGGATGGGTTCATTAGATAGACGTGGCCATCTTAGTCTTCAGAAGAGCCATGTGGAAGTCGATTTGTTTCAGGAAGAGACACGCTGTCTGGGCATCTGCAGCAGAGCTGACCTGTGGTT
Organism: Homo sapiens; assembly: GCF_000001405.40. Lineage (NCBI taxonomy): Eukaryota > Metazoa > Chordata > Mammalia > Primates > Hominidae > Homo > Homo sapiens. The sequence continues at coordinate 7,675,364 of NC_000002.12, read as the reverse complement.
CCCAGGACCATGCTGGAAGGTCAGCCTGTATTGCTACCGCCACCTACATGTCTCGGTCACTCTAGAGAAAGTCTGAATTTTTGCTTAAAGAGTCATCTTTTCCAGGAGAATCACCTTAAGAAAACCCTCTTCAGCATTAGAATTTCTTAGGTTTAACAGAAGAAGAAAAAAGGAGAGAAAGAAAGAAGTGAGAGAGGGAGAAAGACTGTGTGTGCCGAGCTACGAAATCCAAGGGTGATAAATGGAAGAAAAGTTCACGGGGTGATAATTGGGGTGAAGGGATGATCAAATTTTGTCAAATTGCCTTTCTATGTGGAGTTTTAGAATGGAATTCAAGTAGCGTTTAGCCAGTGATGACTGAGCCAGCCACTTCCATGTACGCTGCCTTAATTCCTCTTCCTCAATCCCTGTGTGGTATATAACCTTGGCTCAACACTGCAAAGGAGACAACAGAGGTTCAGAGACACTTTATAGTTCATTCAAGGGCATACTGATGATGGCAAGTATCTGTATCTGAGTCAGGCCTGAAACTTGTTCCTCCCAATTCCAAACTGGTGCATTTCCCATACCATCTGCTCTCATGATGGGACCCTCCCTTGCTGCAGAAGCTCAAGGGCTAGCTCATTTCTCAACCATCTGCTCACATAGTGCCTAGGAGAAGTACTCCAATCCCTTCCCACGGGGGAGAAGACTTCTTTGTGGAAGAATAGCCCTCCAGTGTAAAGACAGTCCACTCTGCTGCAACTGGGAAGCCCTATCTGGTATCTTTCTTATCTTTGGATGGCAATGGATTTGTGGGATGGGGAGAGAATGGCAAAAGCTGGGGTGGAAAGATGAGTAGGTGATCTGTGGGGGGACTTGTGTGCCAATGGTGATCCTGTTCATTCATCCATGAGCCACTGAAGAGCTTACAGCAGGAGTGGTACAAATCTTGATTTTTATTTATTTAAGAAAAGCCATTGTTGGCCACGAGAAGGGTGGGCCACAGGTAGGACTGCTGGCATGAGACTTGGTCACATCAGTTTATTATTGTTTCATCATCCTGTCAAGGGATTGAAGCTCCTTCTCTTTAGCAAATGGAGGGGTGAGATTTCCAGGGGAGACGTTTCCCTGCCATCACCCCTTGATCTGTTTGAAAAACCAGACAGGTGAGCTTAAAAGGAACCACCTGCATACTCTTTAAAGAAAGTTCCTCTTATATTCCTCTAGAGTAGAAGCCCAAAACTCTAGTTACTTCATGGAAATGTCTTTCCTTGTGGTTTTCCAGACAGTTTTGGCTGATGCCCAGCCTTCTGAGTAGGTAAAATAATTTTCTGGAAAGTATCCGAATGATTCAGCACATCCACTGAGTTTCTAGTCAGGAGTCTGGCCCTGTCCCTGGTGATGGAGCTTCTGTTTTTGATTCTCCCCTTTTACTGGTCGGCACCAAATTCCCCCTGGTTGACACCTTAAATGCCAGTTCAAATGCTGCCCTCTGATACTTTCTTTTCAGAATCAAGGCTCAATTCCAAACAAGTTCCTGTTTAAAGAACAGACAAGAAAGAGCATATTGAGGCAAAGAGGTTAGAACTGAGATGTGGAGAGGGGAAAGAATGAAAAATAAATAAATAAAAAGAGGAAAAAGGGAGGTGAAAGAGGCTGAGATCCGGCTACCAGCCCAGACCCCAGACTTGCATGGCTGGGCGCCCAAGGACACCGCACCTGTAGACTCCGGAGGCAAATCCAAAGTGACTCTCTCCTCAAAGCATTGTGCACCCTGGATTTTCCATTCATAAATGCTAAAATGGCCATTGCCTACCCTGCACCTAGGATTTCAACCTGGAACTTTTCACACCCTCTGTGCATTTCCTGGAGACCCTTCCCATCATCCACATGATCTGTAGGAGCACCACGGTCCTTCAGTTCTGCCAGCTAAGCTGCTCTTGAATTCGCCTTCATCCAGATGGACTTTTTCAGAAGGCCTCCTTGGCCTGGGCAGCCGCAGCCTCCAGCATTGCTCCTTTCTCTCTGCAGCAGGAGTGATCTTTCCAGGATGTTTATCTGTATCTGTCAGGTGGCTGTTCCGCCCCTGCTTAAAATTCTCCAGCAGGACTTCAGAGTTGCCAGGGTGAAATGCAGAGCCACTGGCTCACCCTCCCTGGTCTGATCCTGTGCATGTCTTCTAAACTTATCTCTGGCACCATGGCCATGTGAAATAGTCGTTCCAGCATTTCCTTAAGCATATATTTTTAATCTTCTTTTGCCTCCTATTCCCTCTATTTGAAATGTCACCCACACCACTTCCCCATTAATAGCTGCTTTTCTGTCTTGCTAGCTCCTACACATTTGCACATCACCTGGACATTATCGGCACCTCAAAGCCTCTCCTGGCGTTGTTCCTTCCAGAGTGAGGTGCCCCTGTCGGTTCTCCCATAAAACCATGGGTTGCACTGCATGTAGCTCTCTGGACTCTGATCATTGATTTACTTTCCTTTCTCCCTTAGTCACCTTTGAGTTCCACGTGCTGTCGGCCCATCTCAAACTCATGACACAATTGTTGACACATAGATGGTAGCCAGTGCTTGTCAACTAAAGAAGAGAATGGGAAAGGAAGAAGACAAAAGTGACCAAAGAAAAAAAACAGGTAAACTCAGTGCTGATGTTAAAAAATCAAAAGATGTTGTGCTGCCTTGAGAAGGTTTTTGCACACTTAAATATGGGTCAAATATTAGCATGTCAAAAAAGGAGAGGCACACAATGTTACCAGACCCCTTTCCTCCCTGGGCTGCGTAGGAACAGTGGTAACCTCAGCCTTCACAGAGAGAGACATCTTCCTGGAATAACCTGCATGTCAGGGCGGTATGCGGTATCCTACCCACGCCTGGGTGCTGCGTTAGCCTCCTGTTTCCTGTCTGCCCACTCACATTTGATTTGACCTCTTTCTCACCAGAAAAGCTATATTCTCTCACAACATATGTTTTTTTTTTTAATTCTACCCATCCTTCTAAGATGTTCGCATCTCTCTTTAACATTTGTCAAAATGGCTTCACCTCATGACTTTATTTTGCAAATTCACTTATTTAGAGGCTTGTTAAAACAGACCTGCCCTTGCAATTTAGGGATGCAGCCACCAGGTGGCAGGATGGTGCTCAAACTGCAGGATGCAGGCTTTCCCTGAATTCCTCAGGATTCAGGTTTCCAGTCAATGCAAGAAGCCCTTCTTCCGTCCCTTCAGGATCAGCCTGCTCTCTGCAGGGCGCTTCCAGGGACAAGGCCTCATGAGGACAGCCCACTCCATAAACAGGTAAATCTTGGGAGTAGAGATACTCTGGAGCAGGTCAACAATATTTACTGTGCAAATGCCAGGGACCCAGCATTTGATAAGAGCTGCAGATAAAAAAGATGCTGAAGAGGTTCTCTTAAGAGGAAATCTCATTTTAAGAGCTCACATCACCTAAAATGTTTTCCTTTAACTCAGGTGGAATGCTGCCTTGATCAAGTGCAGTCTCCTTCCCAGCTCTGCAATGCAAGCGCACCCTGGACCCTGACTTCCCCATCCTCCTTTTATGCAGTCTCAAACTGATGTGTCATCGCTCCACAGTCCCTCAAGCCCCCAAGCTTCTCCCTCCTGCCTAGCTCCTTCCCTGGCCCCCAAAGAAGGCTGACAGGAGAAACTAAACTGAAATAAAGAGGCCATGGTAGCTCTGTTTCCTAAGATGTTTTGTTCTTTTTCTACCCATAAGGGAATGATTCAAAATGTCCCTCCACCTGGGTCCAACCGGTTTGCCTGAAGTTAATTCACTCACCAGCTGTTAAGGCTGCTTCTGTCCTTGGGTGAAATTTGGCTGGCTCACCCACTCTTCGGAGCTACAACTGGGCCTGGCCTCATTAGAAGCCATGTGGCCTCTGTAGCTGGCACCGTGGCTGTCCCCCGAGTCAGCCGGGATTGCATCAGCTCCTCTGATGGCCAGAAGCAGATTTCACATTTTTTCCTCTCTCGAATGTGTGCTGTCTTCTTGCTGCGTTCTGATTTAGCTTCCTATCTCTGAGACACATATTTAGCTCTCGTCTCATTTGCAGAGGTACTGTCATGCTTTTGAACGATGTGGTCTTACTTTTCCAGCTGTTCCATGTCACCAAACCAACATTCTTTGGGGTTACACTTGTGGGGAATTGTCTTCCAAAAGACTATCTTTCTATTTCAAGTTTTGCCTAAGCATCTCCAGCAGACATTATCAATGAGGTAATTTTTGGCAAACTTAAGAGCGTGATCCTGCGTAACAGATGCTTAGGAGAGCACTGACAACTCACACAAGATGATTACCATTCCACTGGCTTGACCCTCCTAGGTTGAGAGCACAAGGGGGAGGGTTTTTTTGATAGAATTGATGAGACTCAAAAAGATCTGATTTTGGTCTTTCAATGTCAGTGGATACCACTCAGGATGTGTTGAACTGGGGAGGGGAGCTGGCCTGCACTAAACACATACCACACGTCCAGCACTCCGTAAGGTAGGCTCAGCTATTTTCAAGGTAAACCTGTAAGCATTCTGTTATTATGCCTTTTAAAAGATGTGAAACTGAAGATCTGAGTCTAAGAAATGTTTAGCCAATGCTGCACAGATCGTAGAGGTTCAAAGCAGGCTATAATTCAAGGTCTTTCTGTATCCAAAGCTTGTGCTCCTCAAAAGCAGTACAATTCCTTTCTAAATTAACTTTGATTTCTTTTTTCTGATTATAAAAGCAAAAGTTGCTAATGTAAAAAAAAAAATGGAAAAATACATAAAAATGTAAACAGAGACCTCAAATCACTTTTAATTCATTAACATTTTGTTATTTTTTTCTTTCCGTACTGGTTTTTCTAGATAACTAATTAGACAGATGAGACAGACAGACAGACAGATGGCCCATAGTATCTTTAACCATTTCTCTATTGTGGTTCTAGTTACATATGTCAAACTGACTTCTAAAAATAAATGAGCAGCAATTCATAGCAGTATATGAGTATATCTATCTCATATCAGAAGAGGCAATAATGTAGTAACTTCTATGGCTTTGGTTTCCCTTCTAAGAGAAATTGACATCTTATTCCTTTAATTACATTACTAACCAGATTGAACAATTTTCAATTTGGTTATTTTTCGTATTTATTTCCATATTTACTTTTCAATAAAAAGTAAATTTTTTAAATTTTCCCTATTAGAGGTTAGATATTTCTTTATTCAGAATTACAGATCTCTTTTCTCATTTTATGGCAAACACATCCATGTTTGTTTTATACAGATCTATAATTCTTTCTTCCTGGCTTTAGAAATGAAAGCTAACTTTTCTTACTTTGGGAAATAATGCCTAACTAACTTCAGGCTAGTCTTTGGGCTAATAGGGAATTCCTACAAGTGCCAGTCTGCAAATGAAAATGAATTCTAGCCAAGTTATTATCATTTTGACCTTTAATTACATGTGTCCTTCTTCTCCCTCCTTTGAAGACCAAATTAAAAAACAAAGCAAAACAAAACAAAACACTTGGTTTTTGTATATCTCCTAAATCTGACAAGCAATTTTTGGCTTCCTCATAAGTTTCTGTTGCTGTTATTCTCCACAGAATTTTTAAAGATATAGTATATAAGGAAAACAATTTTTGTTTGCTTTTAGACACTGTGGTTAATTTTTAAAATTTAGACATTTAAAACTCCTTAAGTAACTGATTTTTGACATTTATTTGTGTCCCGCCAGTTGCTTAGAAGATTAAAACATTCTTTGGAGAAACTCTGTACCCTTTTAAAGATTGTTAATGATATAAAATTTAATATTTATGGTTACTAGTAATCAATCAATACATATTCTTTGAGTTAATGACTGAACTATTCTTTTTTTCCCTCTTCACCTACCCAAATCTTAACCACTTTTCTAGGCTCAGGCTAACCTCCTTGCCCACCCCTACTAGGCTATACAGAAAGTCCTCACCCTTCTTAGAAGCCATATTGTCCTGTTAAATCTCCCTTGGCACAAAGCGAAACTCACTCCAAATATTACTAAACTTTCCATGTGTTTATATTTTATTTTTTCAACTAGCTTCATTAAGTGTGCATCCATTCAATTCAATTTATTGAATGCTTTATTAAGCTTCACTTAAATAAGATTTTGTAAAATTATGTAATTTTTACATACTTGTAAACATACACACATGATATCTTTATTCCAAAAGAGATGATAAGTGGAGGAAATGGGGAGAGTGGGTGCCCTGGTGGTGTGTTTGAGTTGACTTGCACCAGCCTGCAAGAGCCTAGGGTTAAATTTTCAGCAATTTTGTAATTTGGTTGTTAAACACAGTCATTATTAAAAATCAAGTGTACTATTATAACTTCTCTGTCCAACTTTGCCTTCAGTGACATCATGTTGGTAGCTTGAAATTGAGCATGGTAGAAATATTTATAAAACAGAAATTGGCAAACACTGTAAAACAAAACTTGATTTAATGCTCTGTTGATTGACTAGACTTAAGAAAGTATTGCAGAAAATGTCAGTAATGCAGATTAAACCTAATAGTGTGCTGTGCATGTAGCTACTACATTGTGTATAGCAAAAGATATTGAAGAAATATTCTTCCTGTATTTGAATACCATTATCCAATTAGACAAAAAGTTCCTCACATCATTGAACAAAGGGTGAAATTCCGATATACATAGCAATGAACCAGAAACAGACTTTGATTTACTAAATGTATAATAGTTTGTATGAGAATGAGAACTAGTTTAACAATAGATCACATATTGGACTTAATGATAACAAATTTAATGAGGAAAGAGCAGAAAGGGATTCAGTTTCAATTATCAAATCATAACTGAATTGTAACCATAGGTTGGCTACAGATACTGCAGCTTGGCAAAAATCAGTGAAAGTATTCTGTAAGAATTAATTGCTTATGTAAAATTTGCAATAAAGAGTATTGTGTATTTTATTATTTGTAAATTGTGTGATATACATCCTTTATATGAGTAAAGTTTATAATGACATTATATACATGTATATATATTCTAGCAATTTTTATTTGGCGAGCTTGTTGTTAAATATTTACCTGCAAATCACTGTGTGCGTTCTTCATTGTAAAATGCAATCATAGTTGATTTTGAACAAGGGAATGTAGAGCCCTAGCTACGTTATGGGCATTATCTCCCCACTTTTCCTAGAGATGTATCCTCTCCTATTACTTTATAAAATATATGTAGCTTAACTTTTGTTTTCTGGGGGGTAAGGGCATTCAGAATATCCCCATCTCTGCTCTGCCTGTAAAATACCTATACATGCTTTATCTTTTTTTATATCATAAAGCATACAACTAACATATGCTTCTTAAAAAGACACCAGGAAAAAACACTTAAGCTTCATAACTATCAGTGAGACCCCCAAAATAGCATCTTTCAATTTTCCCTACTGCAGTTCTCTAGCTTAGAAATTCCCATACCTCCAGTGCTGACTCTGGTAACTGTCCTCTCCACTAGAAATCCCATAGTGTAGAGTCCCATTCCAAAACAAAAGATACCTAAGGAAAAAAATAAATTTAGATTTTTAAATAAATAAATCAGGACTCATGAAAGCTGCTTCTCAATTTTACATACCCATAACGTTGCCCACTTTGCCCTCAAAGGATGATGATTATTTTGTCTTCAGGAAGATGATCCTTCTGTCTGAAGCTCTTTTGCCTGTTTGTGGTATTTAATGTTGACCCCGCCGTCTACATCTCTGGGTTAAGTCATGGAGGAAGGAAGCCCTGTGTGTGGACAAGGTGCCTGGCTCTGGTGACCTTCTCCATCATCACGTGATCTCACCTATAAACACAGCATCCCAAAGAAGATGACAAATTAAAAAAAAGAAAAAAAGCTTATCTGAATGACCTTCAATCAAAGTCTTCCTCAAGATCTCACTTCCTCTTCTCTACTCTCAAAACCTGAGCCCTAATTTTTTCCTCTAAACCTAAAAAGATACCCAGTTTTGATTGCTAAAATGTTTCCAACACAAGTAAAATAATTCGACTTAATGGATAGAGGATGACTACTGAAATTCATTTATCTCGATTTGGTATATTTAAATACCAAGAAAGATCAAGGAATTCATATTGGCTACATATGCGCTAATGAGATAATCAGGGTTTAATGAAAACCAACAGTTATTAGCTAATCAGTTCAGCTTGGTGACTATTGGTCTGTTATGGCAGGACAAGAATAATTAAGTGATACTTAGAGGTATGAGAAGAATGTTAGTCAGAAACTGATGTATCTACAGAAGGCTCCAAATGGCCGACGTTTAATGGTCCTCTCTACGTTGCCATGACAACTCACTTGGTAACTCGTGTATCCTCAGTTTAGGAAAACAAGGGGCAGAGTGTTCTTAGGAAGGTGCCATCCCCTTTAAGCGGATCTATAAGCATCACAGATGAACAGAACTTTAAACATTCCGCCATGAATATTCATGAAGTAAGTTGTTTTTTGTTGCCTGCCTAGTCAGCAGTCACAAAACACATGGTGTGTGTTGGCAGCATCTTGCCTAGGTAGAGGGCTAGGGACTGAGGCAATGGCAGGAACCAGGACCTGTGAGGCTGACTGACATTTCCATCTGTAGCAAAGGCTGGTAATTAACAGGAAGGAGTATGCCTGCAGCATTGCACCATCTGCTAGGGAAACGGCTCAATAAGAAAGGAACTGGATGGAATCTCAGCAGTGGCGCGATCTGGTTCCGACATGAGGCTGGGCATCTGTTAGCTGAGGAGATAGACTATTAGGAAATTCAACTGGGAATGAACAACATGGAAAGAGAGCACTCTGACCTAGCCCATAAAAGCAACTCTTCAGAAATGGTGTCTTTTTATCTTACTTACCCAAGTCTTCTGAAAATGGTTTGCTCAGGGACCATTACAGATCTGTTTGAAATAACACAATGGTTTCAAAAATGCTGTTTTATTCCAACATGAAATTCTTGAAATCAGGATACAGCTGTCATCTTTTGACAATAGAGCTAATTTCAGAGCGAGGATATGAGGTTAAATTCCTTCTTTTGTTGTTTAGATTGGGGAGCAGCGGAGAGAAACAAAAATGATCATTTAAATGCTATGCTGTTCAAAATTGAGAAGGCAAAAAACCCTGGGATGCCCTGATGGAAACTGAGCAGGTCAGAAATCACCCCAAAATTCTTACAATGTCTTCATATTTCTGTTTTGCTTTTTCTATCTGACATCTGCTTCACAATGCAAATCTTCCTCACTGTGGAAAACCACACTTCTGGGCTTCAGGCATAGTCGTACTTGACTACTTTCGGCACTGTGGTTTCAGGTACCAGATCTAGAAATGGGAGTAAGTGCATGAAACAGATAGTGTCTGTTACTGTCACTGGCCCTGTTTGAGGGCAGGATGAGTAGGGAACACATTTCTGAGGCTTCCCTTTGGCTTGCACCTGCCCTCGCCCCATACTCTTAGGAGGTACATAAACCCCTTCCGCAGTGGAATGCATCTTTGAGAGGAACCAACACACAGAAAACTTGATTTTTCCCATCAGCTTATGGTTGATGCCACTTTTAAGAATATAAATGTGTTATTAATCTTTCAACAATCAGGAAGAAGTTATTGACTCAAACTATCTCAATCAGGTTAGAGGTTCGTGTCTATGAGCACCATTCCATTGACTGAAACTACCGACTCTCACATGAAGTCCAGCAGATGGCAGATGACTCGTGTGTGTGTGTGTGTGTGTGTGTGTGTGTGTGTGTGTGTGTGGCAGTGTTACTAAATTGGAGCCATTGAGTGATATTTACTGAGACCTCATGGTACCATATGGAATTGAAGAATATATAGGCCTTGGAATTTAAATTCCTCTAAGAAAGATGGACACAGGCTTCAGATTTAGAGCCTTTTTTTTTTTTCTCATTCTCTCTCCTCTTGTGAATGCTGATTATTTTGCTAATCCAGGGAAATGCTGGTGTCTGAAAGGGCTAGTGTGAAACAAATAGAAAAAAATCTTATCCTTGTCAGATATGAGAAAGATTAACTGGAAAAAACAGACACTTCATCCAGTCTTGTGTTGGTAAGGTTTAACAACCTCTCCCAGCGGAGAATGAAGAGGTCCTGATTTGTAGCATTTTCCAAATTCTATGCTGTAAATATTCTCACTGTGGCCAATGGCAAACTACCCTCATCTGATCACTGAAGGCAGATTTGGGAGAAGATGGATACCGTCAGCTCTCTGGAACTGGTGGGGGCTGGCTTGAACGCTCCTCTGATTTTATTCCTGCATGCTTCATATATAACAAATTGGTAACACCAGTTTTTGTTATGTTGGTGAAAGTGGTCCTCCTTCCACATATTGAGAGCATAATAGATTTGAATATTGTTTTACTGCCAACAAAATCCATTCATATGCATTAATTCATTTGATATTCATAGCCCTAATGATATAGTCAGAAACGGAGGCTCAGTGACATGCCACAGGCCACATAATTTAGCAAGTGGAGATGTGACTACATTTCTAAGGTAGGTCTTTTCTTATTTAAGAGTTTGCTTCTAGACAGACACCTGTTCATCCCTTGGCATGGAACTGAGCAGCCAACCGGATGAATCCACGCCTTTGTCTCCCTTCCTTTGTATTTCTGTTCTGCGCTCTGTTACTTAGCTGTATTTTGACCTCAACCTTCACCCTTTACCTCATCTCAGCTGAAGTACTTGAAGTTGTCTTAGAGTATGGATAGCAGTGACATGGCGGCACAACTTCACTATTTCTCCTGGCAGACTGGAGTGGCTCAGAGTGCAGCCCTCACATTGCCTTCCCTTGTCCAGCCCACAGGGCCTGGGCAACACTGGGCATCCTCAAATCAGGAACCTAGGTGCCAGGCTGTATTCTAGGGGCTCATTCAATGTTACTTATTGTAAGTTGCAACAATAAAGAATTTAAGAGTCATTAAATAAAGAATTTAAAGAGTCATTAAAAAGTGGAAAATGAGAAGTGCCATTGCGCGTAGGAAGCTGGACAACATCACAGCACTGCAGATGTAAAATGCAAACTTCATGGCTGGAACCCTCAATCAGCTATACAGGATTTTTTAGCAAACACACCAGTATCATTGAGTAGAATTCTATGTGGCAAGTATTTTGCCACTTATAGGTGACACAGACATTAACAAAATAGTCTCTGCTCTCAAACATCTCACCTTATATTGTTCTTCCAGGGGAAATAACTCTGACTGTAAATTCTCTAGGCAGCCATACCACTTAAAGTCACTGTAGTGAGTTAATAGTAAACCAATAATATCATTGTATCTTTGGGGAGTCACTTAAGGGTTACTTGTCGCAAAGTGAGTGCTTCAGCTTCATCATGGAGAAGACCCCCATAATTTGGGAGGTTTCTACCATGATAGGTTACATTGGAAAAATTGATGGCTCAAGATTGAAAAGAGCTCCATTAACTCCAAGGTTGCTGGAGAGCTGAAACCAACTGTCTTACATGGGCCTGTTCCCCCATGTGTGAAGATGACAACTCTGATCCAAAAAAAACCATGAATTTAAATGACTTGGTGGTTGTATGGGTGACTTTTCTCCCTCTCTCTCTCTCTCTGCCTTTTTTTTTTTTTTTAGATGGAGTTTCATTCTTGTTGCCCAGGCTGGAGTGCAATGGTGCGATCTCGACTCACTGCACGCTCCGCGTCCCGGATTCAAGTGATTCTCCTGCCTTAGCCTCCCGAGTAGCTGGGATTACAGGCACTTGCCACCATGCCCAGTAATTTTTGTATTTTTCGTAAAGACAAGATTTCACCATGTTGGCCAGGCTGTTCTTGAATCTGAAACTATTAAACATGAGGAAATGGAACACGGGTTCAGAGATATCTCCATGATATTGACTTTAAGAAACTGATGCTCTTAGAAAATTTGGTTTCTCACCCTTTGCTTCCTTGTTCTCTGTTCTGGTTCTCAGAATCATGAGTGCTTGGAGAGCAGAACTGATCAATTCTCCTTTGAACCTTCCACTCTGCCTGCCCATATAGGGCCTGGTAGGTAGTAGCTAAGTAGTTTTTCATTATTAAATTACATGTAATTTATGGAGGCCTTTTTATTTTTTACTATTTTTTCATTACTTTCTTATTACATGAGTAATGAGCATTCATTTTAGAATAAATGCAAAATTTAAATACAAAGAAATATTTTAAAAACATCTCTTGCTTTATTCCAAAAACTGATGTTAACATTTTAAAAAGATTAATATACTTGCAGAATATTTGTGTATGCTTATGTTTTATCAAAAATATTCTATATTGAACATGCCATTTAGATATTTGTCTTACTTTTTTCACCAAACTTTTTAACATGTATTTTCATGTGGTTAAATGTTCTTCTACAATATCATTTTTAAGTCTACATAGTGTTGCACTACATGGCTGATCAGTTTTATTCAACTAGGCCTTTGGTACTAAACATTCTGGGTTGTTTAAAGTTTTCTCTCATTTTAGCACTTTGGGAGGCTGAGGTGGACGGATCATGAGGTCAAGAGATCAAGATCATCCTGGCCAATATGCTGAAACCCCGTCTCTACTAAAAATACAAAAATTAGTTTGGCATGGTGGCACGCGCCTGTAGTCCCAGCTACTCGGGAGGCTGAGGCGGGAGAATCACTTGAACCCGGGAGGTAGAGGTTGCAGCGAGCTGAGATAGAGCCACTGCACTCCAGCCTGGCAAAAGAGCAAGAACCCATCTCAAAAAAAAAAAACAAATTTTTTTTTGTAAAAGGTTTGTTGAGCATAATTTCACCTAAATTGAATAACCAACCACACATTTACTTTATGATATATTCCTAAAAGTAGAATCGATAGATTACAGGCCTTTGTCCTATTGATATCTCTCCAGAAAAGTTGTATCCTTTTGTGAAGTTATTAATCCAACAAACATTTATCGGTAGTATTATTTGGTTCTATGTTCCTATAGTGTACAAAGAGGGGGCTCAATCATTAAGAGTTATCTATGAAATTTTTCACATTTACCAACAAAGGATCTTACAATATCATTACCCTACACATTTTTATTTAATATTGCCTTACAAAAACTCTACAAGATGTCAGAAAAACAAAGACTTATATCTAGTTCTTTTTATATCAGTCATATTGATTACTACCATACTAATTATGAGATGAAGACTATGAAATACTCAATTTTTTGCAGTGACAGCATTGTGTCTAGCCCTCTTACCTTTAACAATGTGTGGGACAGGGTGTTTTACAGGATGGCTTTCAAAAATCTTGTCTTTAATCAAGCAGTAGTTTTCACATAAATTGATGCTTCACATTCTCATCCCCAAAGATGGAAAGTTCTCCCCATAGCTCCTTGGACTCCCTTTGCCTCTCAGGATCCCTGTTGTTGGCTCCCTCTTGGTGTCTGCTTGGGGTTAGAAGGTGGACAATGCTTCGATTTAAGGCGTGGCTCAATGCCCTGGATCTTAACCGCTTTGTTCTGTGTTCTGTGGAAATGCAGTCAGTGATCCAGCAGATGCTAATTCTAGTAAGAGGACACCATTGTGCTGGATGATAAGCGTGAGTCCTCTTAGGGTAAACATATCTGGCTCAGATCACAGTGGAGCCTCCTTCAATCAAGTCATCTAGAATATTTCTCAGAAAAGCATCCTCCTTGGGCAGTGATGATTGGTGAGTAACTGAACTCTGCAGAGAGGAATCCTCAGAACAATCACATTTAAAACCACTGGCTGTACAACGCTGGGAAGTAAGAGAAAGCTCCGTCCCTGGCTGGCAGGGAGCCAGATCTCCCACAGGAATAAATGATAAAATCACTGCTAGTGTTTCCAAGAAGACAACCAAGTTACATCTTCGATGGCCACTGGATTATAAAGCCCCAAGCCTGCGTTCAAAAGCTGTAAATATGCATTCTCTTCCTGCCCTACCCTTCTGGGGCCTTCAGGCAAAGTTGGAAAGGATGGGAACCAGTTAGGAAAGCAAAGGTTTGAACAGTTCTTAGCATTGGAAAGTCCCAAGGCAAACTATGGTAAGATCCCTAGCGATTTTGGGGCCTGGATTTCTGGTAGACAGCATGACATCTCACTCCATGTGATGCTCATTGTGGGTGGACAAACAGAGCTTTCTCCACAGCTGCTCAAGTGGGCAAACCTATTTTTCCCTGCTCCCCTTTTCCCTTCCCCTCTCCCTTTCTCATCTATTTTTCTGCCAGCAGGTTTCCTTCAGCATTCAATCAAGGGCAATATGTCCTCAATCAACATTTTTCATTTTTTATGCAACACTGTCCTTTAAAGCTTTTTGCAGCTGGTTGGCAACTGAATTGCTGCCAATATCCTCTGAGAGCTTCCCCCGTGGTGTGCACATCACAGCCTTCTCAGAGCTCTCCAAGTGCCCTTGAGGCAGTTTGACGTGGAGTGTGTCTAAGTTGCTCACAAGGTTATGTGGGCTCAAGGTGGACAACTTCCCAGGGCCCTCCCTGGTGGTGAGGAGAAACACAGGGAACTTGGTACTTACTAGAATGTAACTGACAAATGGAGAACAATTCACACACAAAAAAGAGAAATCTAATGTTTAATGTGGGGAACAGTAAGTCTATCAGTAAAATGATAAGGAAGCATTCTGATGGCAAAAAAGAGCTGGGCAGGGGGTCAGGGGACCTTTATGTTCTTGGCCCTGCACTAACTGGCTGTGTGGCCAGACTGACTCAGCCTCGTCATTCTCAGGTCTTAAACAGTCAGCTTATTTTTGTAAGGACATTTTAAAAATGGGATTATTAATCTGTCTCATGCTGCTAATAAAGACATACCCAAGACTGAGTAATATATAAAGGAAGAGTTTTAATGGACTCACAGTTTCACGTGGCTGGGGAGGCCTCACAATCATGGCAGAAGGCAAAGGAAGAGCAAAGGCACATCTTACATGGTAGCAGGCTAGAGAGCGTGTGCAGGGGAACTGCCCTTTATAAAACCATCAGATCTTGTGAGACGTATTTACTATCACGAGAACAGCCTGGGAAAGACCCACCCCCATGATTCAATTACCTCCCACTGGGTCACTCCATGGCACGTGGCAATTACAGGAGCAACAATTCAAGATGAGATTTGGGTGGGGACACAGCTAAACCACATCACAGGACAATATTAGACTAATTATCTCCACTTGCATTTTCTACTCCAATATTCCAAAAGTCTCTTCCTCCTGCTTAGGAGTTGTGGTGACAGTATAAAGATTCCAGGAAGCAGCTGCTGTCCAAGGCAACACTGTGTGGATCTCTGCAGTGTTTTGAGAGGATGGAGTCCTAACTAATGAGCTGTTTAACTTCTGTGCTTCAGAAGTGCTTCTTTGGGTACTCAAAATTTTAAGCACTCTTAAAGTCCTCATTTTCTACTCAACTTTTGAGCATGAGCCCCTCTGGGAAATCAACGCAGACATGAGCCAGCACCAATGCACCTGTGCATTTTATCTGTGAGATGATTACTCTGCAGGAGGGACCATGAATCTCCCAACTATGCATTTTCTAAGTGAAGAGCTTTGGGTCCAGCAATCACCATGGAACTCAGCGTGTTTTTCCTCACTGCGATCTGTGAGTGTTTGCATCATAGCCTGACCATTAGAAGAGGATGGAGAAGACAGAGGAGAGGACTTGGCCACTGGGGGGGGCCTCAGACCCAGGCTAGGCCCTCAGGTATACATTTCCTAATTTTGTGTTTGATATGGTTAGGCTTCGTGTCCCCACTCAAATCTCATCTTGAATTATAATCCCTATAATCCTCAGGTGTCAAGGGAGAGATTAAGTGGAGGTAATCGGATCATGGGGGCGGTTTTCCTCATGCTGTTCTCATCATAATGAGTGAGTTCTCACAAGATCTGATGGTTTTATAAGTATTTGGTAGTTCCTCCTGCATTCATTCTCCTTCCTGCTGCTTTTTGTAGAAGGTTCCTTGCTCTCCCTTTGCCTTCCACCATGAATGTAAGTTTCCTGAGGCCTCCTCAGCCATGCTGAACTGTAAGTCAATTACACCTCTTTCCTTTGTAAATTACCCAGCCTCAGGAAGTTCTTTATAGCAGTGTGGAAATGGACTAGTACAGTGTTCATGGGAAAGTTGCAGTTATTTTCTCTAGGTCTCACTAAACATTTGATAAAATAGAGATATAAATGTTTCTATCTCAGAGATTTGTTGCAGAGGTTTAGTAAAATAATTTTCATCTTTACTAGGATGTTTCAGAGGTGTCTTACACATACTGTGGGAAAAAAGACCCTTAAAAACAAAAAACACAAAAACTTAACCCTATTCTACCTTAATCCATGTTTTTTCCTGGCCCAGTATTTTACCATCTTTGTACGTAAGTGAAACTGATATGAGAGTGCTGGGAAGGGAAGAGCGTGGTCCCTTTCAGTCATACAGAAGCGGGGACAGGGAGTGCTGGGTAGAGAAAGGGGGGTCCCTGGCTAGAGCTGCACCCGCATAGACCTAGGTGAGGACAGGCACTCCTGCTTTTGCACCCAAATATTGCATTTTCCAAGATCACCCTGCCTTATCACGCCCCTATCCTGTGCGTGTAAGAACCTGAGACCCTAGCGGGCGGACACACAGGCAGCCGGAAGTCAAGAGGATCGGATCAGAGGAAGAAGACACAAGTGGCTGGATGTTGAGAGGACGTTAAGGGGA
This sequence comes from Homo sapiens, assembly GCF_000001405.40. Lineage (NCBI taxonomy): Eukaryota > Metazoa > Chordata > Mammalia > Primates > Hominidae > Homo > Homo sapiens. Next base: position 7,658,721 of record NC_000002.12, on the reverse strand, counting down.
GCACTCTGGCCGAAGAGCACACTGGCAGATGCCAGCCCGCCATCAGGCTATTGACCAGCAGGAGGAGGCAGAGTTTGCCCAGGCCAGTCGGAAGAAAGCTGGGGCCGCCACATAACCCAACTCCAGGGGAAAACCATCTCCCTTCTGGCTCCGCCATCTGCTGAGAACTACTTCCACTCAATAAAACTTTGCACTCATTCTCCAAGCCCACATGTGATCTGATTCTTCCAGTACACCAAGGCAAGAACCCTGGACACAGAAAGTCTTCTGTCCTTGTGAGAAGGTAGAGGGTCTAACTGAGCTGGTTTACACAAGTTGCCTACAGACAGCTAAACTAAAAGAGCACTCTGTAATACATGCCCACTGGGGCTTCAGCTGTAAACATTCAACCCTAGACACTGCTGTGGGGTTGGAGCCCCACAGCCTGCCCATCTATATGTTCCCAGAGAGGTTTTAGCAGCAGGGCATTGAAGACGCAATCCACAACCCCATTGCATGCCCTGTGAGGGGGACAAGGGAACTTCTCCTGTCTCAAAAGCAAAGGCTTAAGAATGAGCTGGTTTTAGGCTGGTGTCTCCTAGCCACCCCTATTGCTGCTGGCTGCATAAAATTGGAAAAAATTACTTACTCTCTGTATTAGGGTTCTCTAGAGAGACAGGACTAATAGGACAGATGTATATATGAAAGGAGTTTATTAAAAAGTATTCACTTACACAGTCACAAAGTGAAGTACTACAATAGGCCATCTGCAAGCTGAGGAGCAAGGAAGCCAGTCCGAGTCTCAAACCTCAGAAGTAGGGAAGCTGACAGCGCAGCCTTCAGTCTGTGGCTGAAGGCCCAAGAGCCCCTGGCAAACCACTGGTGTAAGTTCAAGAGTCCAAAAGCTGAAAAACTTGGAGTCCGATGTTTGAGGGCAGGAAGCATCCACCATAGGAGAAAGATGGAGGCTGGAAGAGTCAGCCAGTCTAGTCCTTCCACATTCCTCTGCCTGCTTTATCCTAGCCATGCTGGCAGCTGATTAGCTGGTGCCTACCTAGATTGAGGGTGAGTCTGCCTCTTCCAGTCCACTGACTCAAATGTTAATCTCCTTTGGCAGCACCCTCAGAGACACACCCAGGAAGAATACTTTGCATCCTTCAATCCAATCAAGTTGACACTGAATATTAACCATTACACTCTCTAAAATACAGTTTTTCTTATTTATAAAATGAAGATAAAATCAGTAACTGCTTTGTAAGTTCATGTTGTGTTCCAATGATAAATATGTGTACAATTTTTAGCAAAGTCCCTGATATGTTATGAATAAATACTTTTTAGCCCCTTCTACATTTTCTTCTTTTTGTTCAATCAGCTAATTGTTGAGTTTATTTGCTATTGCTAAAAGAGCAGAATTTGGTAAAAGTTTCTGGTATTTTTGTCATTTATTAAATATCTTTTCAAAAATCTCTCTGGTGCACTGTGGCATGCAAATTTGAGAAAAAAAATAGTCCCTGTGGTGTCAGAGTATCTAGGTCAAAGAATTTGATCTTCAGCACACAATCCTCATCTGTAAAATAAAGATAATGCAAACTACCGCACAGGGCTGGCTGGATGAATGAGTAGGAAGCACACAAAACTCTTGGCCGCTCATGAATGCTAATGCCCTTTCCTCCTTCAGTTTATTTTCAATCTACTCTCACACATTCAAAATTCTTTTTAATAATAAGTCCAATAACTTAAATGTGCCACCAATTACTGATTGCATCTAAAGTCACCTTGGATTTACTAAGACAGATAATGTTGAGAGAATCTTGTAAGTCTTTTCTGCTGGTTGAGTAAGTAGATCACCAACGAGTACAAGACAGGAAGTGCTCCCTTTACAATAGACCATCAGTTCAAGTCTGACTATATCCAAGGAGTTTAAAGTTGCTTATAACTTGTAAGTTAGATATGTGTTTTAGAAAAGTTTAGGAAGTTTAATGTCAGTTTCTTACCTTCTTGTGACCTTGCACCTTGCTCCATAGAATAGATTGAAATAAACTAAACTTGGCATTGATGGAAATAATAGTGAATTGAGAGCCAAAGTTCTAGCTAACCAACTGTGAGAACTGAAATATGTTTTAACTCTCTGATTTCCATGTTCTCTACCCATAAATTGGACAAATAGTACCAATTCCACTTTATGTCCAGTTTTTAGTGAAGATTAATTGTACAATAGTTTAAAATTTTTAAAGTAATTTGCAAATGATGTAAACTAAGTAATAATATTAAGAATTAGATGTATTTGTTTAAAATCAGAGTAAAATTAGGACACAGAGCTTCAGGAAGGAAAATTTTGGCTCATGATAAGGAAAAACTTCATAGCAAGGTTAATTGTTTGACAAAATTAGCTATAGTGAGCTCTGTCACTAAAAGTATTAAACATAATTAGATAACTGTTTTGGGACATTTCATTTGATCTTTCTATGAATCTTTAAATTGTGTAAGGGTCTATTAAATAATAGGTATGTGATAGTAGCAATGGAAGCACATTACAATGTTTAGAAATTACATATAAAACAAAGAACTATTAATGGAAATTTAAATAAATGGAGAGATATGCCCAACGTAATATTGTGAAGATGTCATTATCTCCAAATTGGTTGATAGGTTTAACACAATCCCAGCAAAATCCTAAAAGTCTTTCCGGGGCACTCATTAACATGATTATATATTTTATAAAGAAGGGTGAAGGGCTGGAGAAGCAGGGTAGTCAAAGATGTTTTAACTGGCACTGGATTTATTCTCTCTTTGTATACAACCATTACAACCATAATATTGGAAAAACTATGTGAAGCAAACTATGTAATATTATTTCCAAGCATTACGCAATAGAAGGATCAGAATGGTGAGCTCTGCATTTTTTCCGGCTTCCTCATTAGGACCTTCCAAGGCAGGTAGGTACTTTTCCCTACTAAGTTGCAGACAGGTGGAGCCCACAGTGGGCAGTGATGTCACTGAGCTGAAGGGGTGAAGACTGGAGTTCCAGGGTGTTAATGTGTCTGGAACTTGTGGACTAAGGTATCAAAGAAGAGAGAGCTACATATGGTGTTGGGAGTGGGGCAGAATTCTGCATGGGGGTTCACTTCAGGTCCTGATCAGGTGTAGACAAAGTATAACAAGGCCGGAAAGAAATTGGCTACTCTATTGCTTACAGCTAATTTTACAGCTGTGTGTTGTGAAATAATGGAAGACGTGGAGCTCCAACCTGGCCTGAGCAGAGAGACTTTGCTGGGAACCTCAGGCATTCAGTGGAGATTTAATAAAACCATTTCTTAAGATAAAATTCTATACCATATTCTAAAGAAAGAACCATATCCTCAAATACAGAGCATAACCAAAATAAGCTATCCCCAAAAAGATAAAACAATACTTGAATAGAACAAAATTTAGTCACAAGATTGAAAGCAAAACAAATTTTCACCTTCCTTGAAGAAACACAACACAATCTAGATTTTTGACTATGTATCATCTACACAGTGTGCAATAAAAAGAAAAGTTACATGCCAAAAGCAGAAAAATGAGGCTTGTATTAAGGAGAAAAAAAACAATTAATAAAACTAACCCTAAGATGAAACTTCATGCTGTCACTTAAGAATCCAGAACAAGAATAATTTAAACCCCCAAAAGGCAGAAATAGTACAACAAAAAGAAAGATCAGTGAAATAGCAAATTAATAATTGTTTAAAATTAATAAAATCTAAAGTTGTTTTTTGAAAAACCATAATAGTAAAATTTATAAACCTTTAACTAGACTGACCAAGAAAATAGAATACTCAAAATACTTATAATAGGATGAAAAGTTGAAATAATGCTGTAAATCCTGCAGATATTAAAAAATAATATCATATTACTTATACTTTCTGCCAATAAGTTTGACAAATTGATGAAATAGATACATTTCTTGAAAGACTTAAATTATCAAAACTAGAAAAAAATAAGACAGAGAAAATCTGAAAATCTGAAAAACCCTGTTTCTTGCAATTAAACCTTCCCATCCAATCTCTATGCCCAGATGGTTTCACTGGTGAATTTGGTCATATGTTTAAAGAAATAGTACCAATAGCAAAATAGTCTTTTGCAGTAATTGGAGTATAGGATACTCATCTCACTTTATGAGGTCAGGTTATTTTTAATACCAAAGCCAGACAAAGACTGTAATGAGTCTTACTTCAGTTTTTAATGTTTGCGACAGCATTTAAATCCAACCTCTTGACTTTCTCTTTGTGCCCCTCATTTTGACAAACTGAAAAGAAAACCTGGGTGTTTTTTCCTTTGGCACGAGATCTACATTGAAGGTCTTCCCTGCTCACCTCAGATAAATCTATCATGTACATAATAAGCCTTTCCGTAATGTCTTGGTGTGTGTGTGGCGCCATCAGTCTTGACATCCAGTGATGTTTTGGGTGAGGAGTCCATCTGTTTCTGTAGGTGACTATAAAAATGGCATTACAAAGCACAATCTATAGATGAACAACTTTCATGTACGTAGACATAATAACCTCAACAAAATATTAGGAAATAAAAATGAACACTATAAAAATATACCATGGCCAAGTGAGAATTATCCCAAAAATGCAAGGTTGGCTTTACATTTGAAAACCAATTAATTCACTTCACCATATTAACAGAATAAAGAGAAAAAAATTACACTATCATCTAGTTACCAGTAGTGAATTCATATGGGTCCGTGGCAAATTCAATCCTTGTCTACTCAGAGAAAAGAATTCAGCTAAGGGGCAGAAGTGGGTTTAAGGCAGAGAGAGAGACTGCAAGTTTCAGAGCAGGAGACAAGAGTTCATTACAAAGTTTTAGAGCAGGAATGAAAGGAAGCAAAGTACACTTGGAAGAGGGCCAAGTGGGTGACTTGAAAGATTCAAGAGTCTCATTCAGCACTGGACTTGGGGTTTTATATACTGGCATGGTTCTGGGGTTTGTGTTTCTACTCCCTTTTTTTCCTTGGGGCAGGCTGTCCGCATGCTTAGTGGCCTGCCAGCCCTTGGGAGGGGCTGCATGTGCAGTGTGTTTACTGAAGTTGTGTGTATGCTCACTTGAGGCAATTTTCCCTTACCAGTTGAGCATTCTTAGAGGAATATCAGACACCAATTAAAATTCACCATTTTGCCTCTTAGTGTGCATGCTTGAACCCACTTACCCAACTCCTGAGAGCTTATCTGGAAGCTGCTGATCACCAGCTTCAGGTGTTTTCTCTCTATTGGAAGACTGTCTTCCCCTGGCATTGGCTGTAACTAATTATCATTTTAGAGAGATAATTTAGCAATCACCTGACCATCACTTGATGGTTGCCTGACATTCCTGGGTAGGGAAGCTCTCCTGCCCTGTTCATGTCTGCCTAACTACTTACTCGAACAATCTACAGAGATGTAAAATAATACATATTTAACAAATTCCAACATCAATTTATTATAAAAACTCTCAGAAAACTAGGAATAGAAAGGCACTGTCTCAACCTAACAAAAATTTCTAGAAATAACAATGGCAAACTACAGCTAGAATCATTCTTAATGATGAAAGACTGAACATGTTTTCACTAAAATTGATAAAATAGCAACAATTTTATTCCCATCACGTTTATTCAACATTGCACTTGGAGTTCTAGCCCATGTACTAAGACAAGAAAAGAAATTAAGGTATGCATATTAGATAGGAAAAAGTAAAAATATCTTTATTTATAATTGATATAATCATCTATGTAAAACAAAAAGAAAACAACCCATGAGGAATCTCTAAGAAAGTTACTAGAACTAATCAGTTAACTCTTCAGATTACAGAAAATCTACAAGAAACTAGTAGATTTTATCTGCTGCTAGATCTAGTAAATGAATTAGTGAGAATACACAATATGGAGACAATATACAGAAATCAATTGTCATTACAGGTATTAACAACAAATAATTGGAAACGGAATTTTAGAAAAGCAGTACCATTTACAATAGAATAAAAATATGAAATGGTTAGGCATACATTTTTAAAATTCATGCAAGTTTCATACTTTAAAACATTACTGAAGAAATTAAGAACATGTTAAATGAATAGAAAGATGTACTGTATTCATCTGTCTAAAACTTCAATACTGCTCAAGTCAGTTCTCACATTGAGCTACATATTCAGTGCAATCCCAGTCTAAAGCTCTTCAAAGTTTGCCTTTTTCAGACACTGAAGAGCAAATTTTAAAATTAATATGGAAATGTATATGTACATATGGTGATGGCAATTTGACCAATGGATCAAGTAGACAACCCACATATTTATGGAAGTTTATATGGAACTGGTATCTGAGATTGGGAAATAAGTATATGTTCAATATATGAAGTTGAAAAAATGATTATCCTATGAAAAGATAAAAGGAGAGATTTGCATCTTCACAAAATGAAAAAAATTTAACTCCAAATTAAACGCCATTTTAATTAAGTGTTTTAAATGTTTAGAAACAATTTAAAATTAATGGTAAAATATATAGATTGATATTATTTAGATTTACTGATCTAAATCAAAGCAAAATGGCTTGCTTATTGAAAAAAGATGAATTCAGTTTATCATACTAAAATTAACTTTGTTTTTCAATATAAAGTAAAATAGTGATATGGTTTGGCTTTGTCCCCCGTCCAAATCTCACGTCGAATTATAATCCCCAATGTTGGAGGAGGGGCCTATTGGGAGGTAATTGGATCATGAACAGATTGATTTAGCCCTTGCTGTTCTTGTGATGGTGAGTGAGTTCTCATAAGATCTTGTTGTTTAAAAGTGTGCAGCACCTGCCCATTCTCTCTCTTCCTCCTACTCCAGGCATGTAGGACGTGCCTGCATCTCTTTCACCTTCTGCCGTGATTGCATGTTTCCTGAGGCCTTCCCAGCCATGCTTCCTGTGGTGCCTGCAGAACCATGAGCCAATTCAACCTCTTTTCTTGATAAATTACCCAGTCTCAGGTAGTTCTTTATCAGTCTCAGGTAGTTCTTTATAGCAATGTAAGAATGGACCAATACAAATAGTAAAATGACAAATTACCAAATGACAGAAGGAATTTATAAAATACAAAACTAACGAAGATCAGTAGCAAGTATAGTATATAAAAGGAGCACTTCAAAATTAATAAAGCACAGATAATTTTTGACTTTTGAGGAAAATGGGCAAAAAAGATGAATAGCCATTTCATAAAAGAGAAAATAAATGTGCCAAATATCATTAAAACTAGAGAAATGCAAATTAAAATGAAAATGGTATCTCCTTCTATTCCTATTTGTTTAGGAAAAAAATTTGAAAATACCAAATATTGGAGTGATTATGGATTCACAGAATCCCCTTCAAATTGCCTGTAAATTGGAGCAACCATTTTGGAAAACAGTTTGGCATTTTCATGTAAAGTTAAACATTTGTTAACCTATGTTTTAGCTATTGTTGTCCCAGACACATACTCAAGATAAACTTTTCCATATGAACTACAGAATACATATGTAAGGATATTCATTTAGGTACTATTCACAATAGCAAAAGCCCAGATAGAACTCATGAACAGAAAGTGCAGAGCATCAATAAACTCTGGTATATTCACACAGTGAAATACAGTAAGACATTATGGATCAATCTAAGCAAAATAATATTCAGTGCAAAAAATAAGTTTTGAAGGATTACATCTGTCATAATGCCCTTTTATAAAGTTAAAAAACAACCATGATTTTTAAAACAATGCATTGTAGCAGTACTTAGAGATGCAATAGATTGACATCAAAAGGAAGGAAGGGAGGAAGGAAAGGAAAGAAGGACAAAAGAAAAGAAAGATTAACCTGAGATGCAAGTAGATAATTACCTAATGATGAAGACAAGGGAATGGGATGGGGCCATATAATTAAATGGAGGTTATTGGTTAGGTTCTAATGTTTTGTTTTGGCTAATGGAGGATTAGATGTATTTTAAATTATTCGAATAAACAAAACAAATAAACAAGAGCCATGCGTGAGCCAATGAGGATGCCATAAATCAATAACTTCAAGTAATTCTGCTCTATGCCTCTGAGAACCAGAAAAAATTTAAATAAAAATAAGAGGACAATACCATTTAAAAATGTTTACAAAAAAAGTTAATTTCTCTAATAAAACCATAATGCCACTATAAGCTTACTGTTTCTTTCCAAAATTATCACCTACATCAAAGTTTTTCTTTGCAATATTTTAATTATGCTGCATCTACACATTTGTATATAATGTTTTCATTCAATTTCATTTCAGAAGATTATAGTTTTGGGGGTTTATTTATTCTTACTATTTTTGATGCTTCTAAGGCAGAAAGTAAATTAGGAAGGTTTCCATATTCCTAAGTGCCTGAAAGACTTGTTGCCAAGCAGTGACATAAAGCCTTTGCAGCTCAATGATGGTGTGGTTTTCAGATTTGTGCTTCGGACACGATAGCCATGAAATAATGGAATTCCATCTGTGACCTACATTTTAATGTTTCTGCTTTCTTGCCGAAGTCATCTAACTAGTCATGGTAACTTGCCCGTTTTCTTCTTTGGTAGATTGGACATGGTGAGTGAGCCATTTTTGGGTATCTTGTTGATTCTTTCTCATTCTTCTGACACAGAATGTGTTTTGTATAACCTCAAACACACCAAACTGCAGAAGAATCTGTACCTGTATTTCCTCCTACAGGAAATGATCGTCACCATCACCACCGCCACTTCTGTCTGGCTCTTTCTCTCCCTCAAACTTTCATCTCTGCCAAAATGGTGTCTTCAGAAGTCTGACCCTGACCACCCTCTCTCAATTTGTTCCACCCTCCTTTCTGGCTCCCACATGACCTGTTCTATCCTCGTGAAATATTTCTAACATACAAGCCTCTGAATTGTTTGTTTAGCTTTTTTGTCCCTCTTGACTTGAAGCTCCATGAAGGCAGAAGCCACAGGTATCCTGTTCTCTCCAGCCTTCTCAGGCTTGCAGGGGCCACTTCACATGCCCATTGTAGGCTGTCAGTCAATAGTTGAATTACTGTGGACAAAGAGCATGCCAGCTGGCTTGGAAATTGTCTGGCATTAGTTTGATAACTGTGGTCATCTGTAGCCTGAATAGAACAACTCCCCTGATTCTTGTTAATGAGAAGAATGACTCTGGGTCACTGTGGTTGGCTCTCGTGCCTTTGCTTGCATGGATTTTGATGGGAGCAATGAACTTGAAATCCATAAGAAAACTCATGTTTTTCAATCTAGTCCCATAGCATTATTTATTTTTCTTTTTTAAAAGCTTTTATTTAAACACTGAATTTTTTACAACAGTATTTAGAATACAGTTCATCTGTATGTAGCTAGCAGGTTTTGAAATGGGGTTAACTTTTATCTTACACACAGACACAGATACACACACACACACAGAAATACACACACACAAGCATTTGGAAATGGATAAAGTTTTTCTTGCGTTTATTTTAACACAGCCGAGAACATATTTCTCCTCATCTTTGAGTAGGTGAAGGGCCTTCTTCATTTTTGAGGGGGTCTAAGCAAATTTGGTTTCATTAAGTAATCGTGTCTTTTCATCCATGTGACTCTGATCTCTGTCACATTTTTCTCTCCTTGTTGACCATGCATATTCCTTATCTTGCCTACATTCTAGCAGTATCCTTTTAGCAGAGATTTTGTAAATTCTGCTATTCTCATTGCATGATCCTTTTTGGATATAAGCATTTTATTGAGGTGTCAGAGATCCTATGTATCTGCTTTGCTCTTGGGTAGAAAGCGTTGTATTCAGATCTGCATTTGATTCCAAAGACTGTGTTCATTCTGCAAAAATCTCCGTGGAGGGAAGAATCAAGTTTATCTGGATTGCTGCTGAACCACCAACAATGTGCACAGTGCCTGGCTTGCAGTGGAAGATATAAATAATGTTAGACGAAGTAAAGATTAAGAAAATCGTTCCTGCCTATCCGTGAGAGGGAAGAGGGCCATGCTTGAGAGTAGGCCAAGCCCCACAGAGGGGGACATGGGTGCTCCTTCTGATCGGAACTCAGCCAGGTGTGGTTTTCAGATTTCTGCTTAGGACACCATAGCCATGAAATAATGGAATTCCATCTGTGACCTACATTTCCATGCTTCCGCTTTCTTGGCAAAGGCATCTGACTAGCAATGGTAACTTGTCTGTTTTCTTCCTTGGTAGATATCTCTGAGAGCTGCCATCTGAGGACTGTTATTGAATTCTGCACTTAAGGTTTCAAATCTAAAAGTCACAAGCTCATTATAGACATATTTATTCCCTACAAGTGTTTTTTGGACCTAAACAGATGGTTTGGACACCACCCAGGCTAGTTTAGTCAGATCTTTTTTATATCCAAACAATATTTTATTATCATGACGAAATTGTAGAGCACAACAAATAATGTAAATGCTATTTATTGGCACTTACAAAATTTCCGTTTCAAAAAGTCACCAGAATTAAATTCTTCCAAGCATGCAAATATCGACTACTTTTTCTTAATTTGTCTCAGTGAATATAAAAATTAATAACTTGTTGAGATATGTCTAAGTTAACAGATTATACCTTTCTAGCACTGGTGACATCATTTATATTGTTCATTTATTCATTCAATCTATAAATAATTATTCAGAGTTCATTATATGAACACTGTGTTAGACACACTAAAAAGGATACAAATGCAATTCACACCACTGTTCTTTCATCAAAGATTACTAAAGAGAGTTGGAGAGAGAAGCCATATTTGTGCATGGCTAAGATACAAAACATAAAGTGTATAAAGACCATCAAGAGAGGTATGAAGAAGCGGGTGTTGCGGTATGGAGAGAAAGTAATACAATCATTACCATCCAGGAACAGCATCTCACACCTGTGCTCCCAGCACTTTGGAAAGCTGAGGCGGGAGAATCACTTGAGCTTAGGAGTTCAAGACTAGCCTGGGAAACATGGGGAGACCCCTGACTCTACAAAAAATAAAAAAATTAGGTGGACATGGTGGCACATGCCAGTAGTCCAAGCTACTCAAGAGGCTGGGGTGGGAAGATAGGTTGAGCTTGGGAGGTTGAGCCTGCAGTGAGCTGTATTTGTGCCACTGCATTCTAGTCTGAGTGACAAAGTAAGACCTGTCTCAAAAAAAAAAAAAAAAAAAAGTATTACCAAGGACTGGACCTCTGCTGAGCCAATAATCAGAAGAGCTCTTAATCCCTACAAGTCTTTGAAGAGCGCTTAGATCTCACTTTGAATAAAACATATCATCACACCTTAATATTAATGAAAAGATGTAAATAAGGAAGTGCAGACAATTCAAAGCATCCATTCATCGATTTAATATTATTTCCCCTCCCAAATGTTAAGAGCTCAACTCCATGCCAAGTCAGTCACAGGGCACTGTAACACCATTTCCAAAGTGTATTTGAAAGCAATTTGCAGCTGGAGATGGAGAATGTGTTGTCAAAAATATTGACAGTATTTTATTTCTCCTCCTTAGTTAGACTCAGTATGGGGTTTTTAAGTTTTTGATGACTTGTGCTTTTGCAGAGAAGAAAGGAATCTTGGAGGTAACCATGGCGATGTGGGTCTCTTACCACTAACCTTCAGGGTATCTTTCCTGCTGCATCAAGAGAACACAATGCCTTGTGGAATGAGAGAGAAATCAGCACATGCCCTATTTAAAGTAAACATAATTCTGACTTTTTTTTTAATGCTAAGAATCCATGAAATGAGCTGCTTCCAAAAAGTCGCCGTGGTGAATGTCACATGTCACCCTCTCCCGTGTAGATCTGGAAAAGGCATCCATCCATCCCATGGTCCATGTGCTGTGGCCGCCTTCCAGTGCTCCCCCCTGCACTTCACACCTCTAACCCTGAGTCAGTGCAGCCCTCTCCTGATTCAAGCTGTTATCTTGGTTTGTGGAGACAATCTGTTTGAAAATATGCAGTTTCAGCTTCTACGCAGTTCATAAATGGAGCCACTTTCGCTAGCTCTCCCCAGACCTTATTCAGAGTATTGTTTCTTGCCAATGTATCTCTGGATATGTGCACTACTGGAAACATTTCTCTCTTTCTTATTTTTTTTCCTTTTAAGCCTTTGCCCTTTCAAAAAAGGTGTCCCTAAAATCAAAACAAAACAAAAAATACAGATATGAGCAAAAGCTTAATGTCTGTGAGGCTCACTCCCTAATTTTCCATGTGTTGTATTTTCAGTTAATGTGTTCGTGAAACTGGGGAAATGTTTATTTTCATAGCAAATACAGCTTTGGGGTAAAAATAATAGGGACAGTGTTCAAATTCTGTAATACTTCTTAGATTAACATACTTCTTTGCTTCACAGGATAAAGCATAATTGAAAATTTTCTTCTTTTTAAAAATTACCTTTAAGGGCTAGGAGAGGTGGCTGATAGGGTTTGGCTATTTCCCCACCAAAATCTCAACTTGAATTGTATCTCCCGGAATTCCCATGTGTTATGGGAGGGAACCAGGGGGAGGTAATTGAATCACAGGAGCTGCTGTTTCTCATGATAGTGAATTAAGTCTTACAAGATTTGACGGGTTTATTGGGAGTTTCTGCTTTAGCTTCTTCCTTATTTTTTCTTGCCACCACCATGTAAGAAGTGCCTTTAGCCTCCCACCACGATTCTGAGGCCTCCCCAGGCATGTGGAACTGTAGTTCCAATTAAACCTCTTTTTCTTCCCTGTCTCAGGTATGTCTTTATCAGCAGCGTAAAAACAGACTAATACAGAAAATTTGTATGAGTAGAGTGGGGCGTTGCTGAAAAGATACCCAAAAATGTGGAAGTGACTTTGGAACTGGGTAACAGGCAGAGATTGGAACAGTTTGAAGGGCTCAGAAGAAGACAGGAAAATGGGAAAGTTTGCAACCTCCTAGAGACTTGTTGAATGGCTTTGCCCAAAATGCTGATAATGATAAGGACAATAAGATCCAGGCTGAGGTGGTCTCAGATAGAGATGAAGAACTTGTTGGGAACTGGAGTAAAAGTGACTCTTGCTATGTTTTAGCAAAGAGACTGGTGGCATTTTGTCCCTGCCCTAGAGATTTGTGGAACTTTGAACTTGAGAGAGATGATTTAGGGTATCTGGCAGAATAAATTTCTAAGCAGCAAAGCATTCAAAAAGCTACTAGGGTGCTGTTAAAGGCATTCAGCTTTATAAGGGAAGCAAACCATAAAAGTCTGGAAAATTTGCAGCATGACAATGTGATAGAAAATTCCATTTACTGAGGAGAAATCCAAGTGGCTGCAGAAATTATATAAATTACAAGGAGCCAAATGTTAATCCCTAAGACCATGGGGTAAATGTCTCCAGAGCATGTCAGAGGTCTTCATGGCAGCCCCTCCCAACACAGGACTAGAGGCCCAGGAAGAAAAAGTGGTTTTGTGAGCCAGGCCCAGGGTCCCCAAGCTGTGTTCAGCCTAGGGACTTGGTGTCCTGCATCCCAGCTGCTCCAACCATGGCTGAAAGGGCCCAATGTAGAGGTCAGGCCAGGGCTTTAGATGACGCTAGCTCCAAGCCTTGGCAGCTTCCATCTGGTGTTGAGCCTGCAGGTTCACAGAAGTCAAGAATTGAAGTTTGGGAACCTCTGCCTAGATTTCAGAAGATGTATGGAAACGGCTGGAGGCAGAAGTTTGCTGCAGGGGAGAGGCTCTCATGGTGAACCAATGCTAGGGCAGTGCAGAAGGGAAATGTGGGGTCAGAACCCCCACACAGAATCCCTACTGGGGCACTGCCTAGTGGAGCTGTGAAAAGAGGGCCACCATCCTCCAGACCCGAGAATGGTAGATCCACCAACAGCTTGCACTGTGCTCCTGCAAAAGCTGCAGACACTCAATGCTAGCCTGTGAAAGCAGCCAGGAGGGAGGCTGTACCCTGCAAAGCCACAGGGGTGGAGCTGCCCAAGACCATGGGAACCCACCTCTTGCATCATCATGACCTGGATGTGAGACATGGAGTGTAAGGAGATCATTTTGGAGTTTTAAGGTTTGACTGCCCCACTGGATTTTAGACCTGAATGGGCCCTATAACCCCTTTGTTTTGGACAATTTTTAACATTTGGAATGGTTGAATTTTTACCTAATGTCTGTACTCCCATTGTATCTAGGAAAAAACTAACTTGCTTTTGATTTTACAGGCTCATAGGTGGAAGGGACTTGCCTTGTCTCAGATGAGACTTTGGACTGTGGACTTTTGAGTTAATGCTGAAATGAGTTAAGACTTTTGGGGACTGTTGGGGAGGCATGATTAGTTTTGAAATGTGAGGACATAAGTCTTGGGGGGGCCAGGGGTGGAATGATCTGGTTAGGTTGTGTCCCCACCCAAATCTCATCTTTAATTTTACCTCCCAGAATTCCCATGTGTTGTGGGAGGGACCCAGTGGGAGGTAATTGAATCATGGGGGCTGGTCTTTACTGTGCTATTCTCATGACAGTGAATACGTCTCAGAAGATCTGATGGGTTTATCAGGGGTTTCTGCTTTAGCTCCTTCCTTATTTTCTTTTGCCCCCACCATGTAAGAAGTGACTTTTCCTCCTGCCATGATTCTGAGGCCTTCCCAACCATGTGGAATGGTAAGTCCAATTAAACCTGCTTTTCTTCCCAGTCTCATGTATGTCTTTATCAGCAGTGTGAAAATGGACTAATACAGTGTCTCACACTTGTGATCTCAGCACTTTGGGAGGTGGATTGCTTGAGCCTAGGAGTTGAAGACCAGCCTGGGCAACATGGCAAAATCCCATGTCTACAAAAAAATACAAAAAATAGCTAGACTTGGTGGCATGTGCTGGTATTCCCAGCTACTGAGGAGGCTGAGGCTGAAGGTTCACTTTTGCCCGGGAGGTCAAGACTGCAGTGAGCCAAGATGACCCCATGGTACTTAGCCTAGGTGACAGAGACAGAGACCTTGCCTCAAAAAACTAATTACCTTTAAGATTGTTAGTTTAGCTCTTTGCTGTAAAGGGGAGCCAGTGATCACTGCAAACCTGCCGTTAGCTCTTATATGAGCCCTTTGGCTGGAAGCCAAATTTGACACCAGGCAGATTAACAAACAAGAGAAAAGTATAACAATTTTATTAGTTTTCTATGTACCTGGGGATCTTCACAAGAGGGTGAAGTTTGAAGAAGTGGCCAAAGCAAGATGCTTTTATACTTTTTAGTCAAAGAACAATGAATTTGAGAAGAAATGATAAGACAAAGGGGATCTGGGTAGGGGCAGTAAATTTCTAGGGGAATCATGGGGAGATGTATGGATGTGTGTAAAACTAGCAGCAGATAAGGGTTACATCAGGAAGTGGATTTATTCAGGTTTGTTGTAGCCCCCAATTCCAAGTCCCTGGTGATGAGGTTGATTTTCTCACCCTGGTACAGGGAGGGTGTCCCTCCCAGAGTCATCTTTATGGCTTTCTGAATGCAGAAAGAAACAGGTCTGCTAGCCCTATCTGAAACTACAATTTCTCGGATGTTTTCAACTGACAATAATCATGCTTCATGTAATCATATGCTAATCTGGCATAATTTGAGATGGCACATCCTTCAATCCTTCAGCTGCCTTACTTTCTGATGTCACACATCTCATTGATTTTCAAAGATCACTGTAAAAGTGATTGTAAAACTTCATTCTGAAATGTAATCTTTACGAAGCTAAAATGAGCATCACCAAACCATGAAGTGCACTGCTGTGTGAAGAGGGAAAGAACCCATGCTTGTGTGATGCACACTCGGTTTCATTCTTTAAACAAAGTGCAGAAAAATGAAAAGTACTGATTAGCAAAAATGGTTTCATTTTCCAATGATTTTAAGATCTATCATACCTAAGAAAAACTTCTTACTCCTATGAAATTGGCAGCTCTTTGTGGCTGTTCAGAAAAAAATAATAATAGGAGTATGTCAGTAGCCAATTTATCTTCCAAGCATGTGAACATTAATCTATTCCTGAGTAAATGCCCTTGGCAAGATTGTATTATTTCAAGGGCATTAATGGTAAAAGAAAGATGATTTGATTCCTACATTTCTCAGTTTTCCTTGAAAGTCTGTAACAATGCTAAATACTAGTACATACTTAAGCAATTGACTCTACACTAACTGAGTATTACCTTCTAGTTTTTCTGTAGAATTTCTTCTGTTTTCCCCTCTCCGTTGAGAAATAAAACCATAAAGTCCTTAATAAAAGCTATGGCTGATATTTGCATCTGTTCTTAGCATGGAGGCCAGTGACAGTCACACCCAAGTCCTCTGTGTTTCTCCACATGTATGATTCTGATATGGTTTGGCTGTATCCCCACCCAAATCTTAAATTGAATCGAATGTCCATGTATTGTGGGAAGGACCCAGGGGGAGGTAATTGAATCATGGGGGCCAGTCTTTCCCATGCTATTCTCATGATAGTGAATTAAGTCTCAAAAGACCTCATAGGTTTATCAGAGGTTTCTGTTTTGCTTCTTCTTCATTTTCTCTTGCCCCCCACCACACAGGAAGTGCCCTTCACATCCCACCATGATTCTGAGGCCTCGCCAGCCATGAGGAATTGTAAGTTCAATTAAACCTCTTTTTCTTCTCCGTCTCAGGTATGTCTTTACCAGCAGAGTAAAAATGGACTAATACCGTAAATTGGTACCAGTACATTGGGGCGTTGCTGAGAAGATATCCAAAAATGTGGAAATGACTTTGGAACTAGGTAACTGGCAGAGGCTGGAACAGTTTGGAGGACTTAGAAGAAGACAGAAAAATGTGGGAAAGTTTGCAACTTCCTACAGACTTGTTGAATGGCTTTGCCCAAAATGCAGATGATGATATGGACAATAAGATCCAGGCTGAGGTGGTCTCAGATGGAGATGAGAAACTTGTTGGGAACTGGAGTAACGATGACTCTTGTTATGCTTTAGCAAAGAGACTGGTGACATTTTGCTCCTGTCCTGGAGATCTGTGGAACTTTGAACTTGAGAAAGATGATTTGGGATATCTGGCAGAAGAAATTTCTAAGCAGCAAGAGGTGACTTGGGTGCTGTTAAAGGCATTTGGTTTTATAAGGGAAGCACAGCATAAAAGTTTGGAAATTTGCAGTATGACTATGAAATATAAAAAAGAAACTAGATTTCTGGGGAGAAGTTCGAGCTGGCTGAAGAAATCTGCATAAGTAGCAAGGAGCCTAATGTTAACCTCCAAGACCATGAGGTAAATATCTCCAGGCCATATCAGAGACCATCATGGCAGCCTCTCCCATCACAGGCCTGGAGGCCCAGGAGGAAAAAGTGGTTTCATGGGCCAGGCTTCTTGTGCTGTGTGCAGCCTAGAGACTTGGTGCCCTGTGTCGCAGCCACTCCAGCCATGGCTGAAAGGGGCCAATGTACAGCTTGGGCTGTGGCTTCAGAGAGTGGAAGCCCCAAGCCTTGGCATCTCCCACATGGCGTTGAGCCTGCCAGTACACAGAAGTCAAGAATTGAGGTTTGGGAATCTCCGCCTAGATTTCACAAGATGTATGGAAACGTCTGGATGCCCAGGCAAAAGTTTGCTGAAGGGGTGGGGCCCTCATGGAGAACCTCTGCTAGGGCAGTGTGGAAGGAAAATGTGGGGTCAGAGCCCCCACACAGAGTCCCTACTGGGCCACTGCCTAGTGGAGCTGTGAGAAGAGAGCCACCGTCCTCCAGACCCCAGAATGGTAGATCCACCGACAGCTTGCACCATGCACCTGGAAAAGCCACAGACACCCAACACCAGCCCGGGAAAGAAGCTGGGAGGGAGGCTGTACCCTGAAAAGCCACAAGGGCTGAGCTGCCCAAGACCATGGTAACCTACCTCCTGCATCAGCGTGACCTGGATGTGATACATGGAGCTAAAGTTGATCATTTTGGAGCTTTAAGATTTGACTGCCCTGCTTGATTACAGACTTGCATGGGCTCTGTAATCCCTTTGTTTTGGCCAATTTCTCCCATTTGGAATGGCTGTATTTACCCAATACTTGTACTCCATTTGTATCTAGGAAGTAATTAGCTTGCTTTCGATTTTAGATGCACATAGGCAGCATGTACTTGCCTTGTCTCAGATGAGACTTTGGACTGTGGACTTTTAGGTTAATGCTGAAATGAGTTAAGACTTTGGGGGACTTTTGGGAAGGCCTGATTGGTTTTGAATTGTGAGGACATGAGATTTGGGTGGACCAGGGCAGAATGATATGGTTTGGCTATGTCCCCACCCAAATCTCAACTTGAATTATATCTCTCACAATTCCCACATGTTGTGGGAGGGACCTACGGGAGGTAATTGAATCATGGGGATTATGATTCAATTAAGAGTGAATTAAGTTTCACAAGATCTGATGGATTTATCAGGGGTTTATACTTTTGCTTCTTCCAAATTTTCTCTTGCTGCTGCCATGTAAGAAGTGCCTTTTTCCTCCTGCCATGATTGTGAGTCTTTCCTAGCCATGTAGGGCCACAAGCTGAATTCACCCTCTTTTTCTTCCCAGTCTTGTGTATGGCTTTAACAGCAGCTTGAGAATGGACTAACACAGGCTCCATGCCTCCAAACAGCATCATGTGTTGGATATTCTTATGACCACGCTCAGGTCTAATGATTTTCTAGAAAGAGTCATAAATTCTGAAAAGCTGTCCTTCTCATGCTTACAATTCATTAGCGTGAAAGGATACCAATTAAAATAAGCCAATAGAAAAGGAGCATAAGTTGAAATCTAGGAGAGAACACACATGAGCTTCCAGTTGTCTTCTCACAGTGGAGTTGTATGGATGGCACTTAATTTTCCCAGAAATTATGTGTGACAACACTTGCAAAGTTGTCAACCAGGGAAGCTCCCTTGAGACTTGGTATGCAGGGTTTTTACTGGGGGTCATTCATGTAGGTAAGCAATGCCAATAACTAACCTTAGCTACTCACCCCCAGACTCTCTGGAAGCCAAATTGACACAGCATGACTGAAAGCCACCACTTACAAAGCATATACAAATAAGCATTCACCATAAACTCCACTGTTAGCAAAAACTATCTGGCATGGCCCCAATCATAGGTACACAAAGAAACTCTTATCAGTGAGTTTATTTCAAAGGCTCAAGGCAACTGCTGGAAGCTAGTCAAGGGCCAGTCTTGAAGACCTTTGGAATGTGGAAGGTTTGGGCAACCCAGGGCTGCCACGTTAACCCTTACTACACTTATTAGATATCTGGATCTTTAAAGTCTCTTTTCTAGTTACTAATTCTGGCATTCAAGGGAAGAATACAGACTGAAAAATCAACCTGAAATTGGGAGAAAGTATGTCTCTTTTAAATCAAGGTAATGATGTTACTTAGTGTTGATTTTGATGATGAAGATGGTATCAGGGCAAATTTAAGAGTGATATAATAATTAGAAACAAACAAACTAAAATAGTTACACAGTTTTTAGTACCATTTCTACCTTATCATTTCTGTGATTTGAGGAAAATTCTTCAGTTCTCAAATCTTTCCTTTTCTAATCTATAAAATAAATCCAACAAAGATGCTTTAAGAATTAAGTCAAATAATGTAAACAAAAACATTGCGTTTTTGGTAGGCTTGGTAGGCTACATTCTCCAAAAAGTGTTCAGATTAAGACGACAACATCATTGAAAGGAAGAGAAAATCATTGAGAGAGAGAACAAGTTAATAGCATTTAGTCTATCATAAAATTTCACATTCTGGTACATATAGAAAATGATTATCTGTTTACAGCACCCTGGAGTAAGGAGAGCCTACAGGTAGAATTGGACAAAGGATCTGGAGTTGTGGATGTACTAGGTCTCTGCCCTGCCATATCCTACCTGGCCTATTAGAAAGCTAAAGGGATCAATATCTTGTCATATATGTTACCAATCATTGACAATTGAGTGAGAAGCTCTGCATTAGACAGCTGAGAGATTTATCGGACCTAGATGTGATGTATAGGGTCAATTTGGGAAGGAGAGAGAGATTATATCATAGCATAAACAACTTGTTTGATTCAGCAACTTCTATTTATTCTGTTGTCCACAAGAAGCCAACTCTGTTCTGATGTCTTCTTCATAGTTTAGGGAGAGGAAAACAAGAGGGAAGCAGAACGGGAAAATTGAGGTACAGTATGGATATGAGTTGAAATGGACAGATAGATGGACAGCTCCATTTAAAAATTTTCATGAAAGATTAGGGGATCAGACAGTTTAGTTTCTTGATTTCCTTTTTTCCCCCTAAACATTGCTGCTGGCAATCTGTAGAAATCTAAGATGAGATAGTTAACTTCTGTTAGACAAAGTCAGTTTGTTTGTTGTTGTTTTTTAATTAATGAGTTGAGTCATATTAGTATTTATCAACTCTTGCTACATGTTAGAATCACTAACAGAGCTTAAAAAACAAAGCACAATAAAAACAAACAACAAAAACAAAAGATGAAATTAGGGCCCCATCTTTATCCCCAGAGATTCTGATTTAATTAATTAGAGATGAGCCGTGGGATGGGACTTTGGAAAGTTTGCCAAGCCATTCTAATATCTGGCTACTGAGCTAGTAAATCAGAGTCATTTTACTCTATTATCACTAAGAGAATTTGTAGCAATAATGACAAATGACACAAAAGAAACAATAAAAAGGAATGCAAATGCTAACCTTTGAGTGAGTGACAAAGTTATGAGGGCTTTTCAACATTCTGAGGACAATTTCAATATAATTTTGGAAGATAGTGAAAGGGAGAAAGTCTTCATGGAAAAGGAGGCATTGGAGCTTTGTAGTAGATGTGGGGATTCAGCAATATGTCTATGGAGAATATATCAGTATAAAGACTTGTTTCTCATACCTAGGGAGATCAACTATCTCAGTTCACCTGGGACTTCCCTGGTTTAATAACAGAAATTCTCACATTTCAGGAAACACCTCTTCCCTGGGTAAACTGATAGGATTTGTCATCCAATGCACACAATTTTACCTTTTCAAAACTGGATATAACTTTTGGCTAAACTGATGCAGGTGTAGGAGCAACAAGGAACACACTCACAACCAGCGGCTCTTTCATTGGCAGCTGTTTAGAGCTGTCTTAAAACTAACCAATGGATTTCTTAAACGTAATAAATACATAGATGAATAAATGCAGAGAGAAAGAAAGAACGAGAGCTCTCCATGTAGTTGGTATTTACAGTCTGAATTGATTACTGTCTCTAAGCTACAGATGAATTAATGTCAGTGACTGCACTAAAATTTTACCTGACTATTTAAGAAGCAATCACATATCTATGTATCTCTGAAGGTCCTGCCTGTGCCTCTGCTACACACTGAGGCTTTCTTGGTGAATAATCTTTTTATGCTTTCTTGAGTAGAGATTACAAAAGGTTTGGAAGACCACTAAATACTTAGCGGTATGACTGAGGCAAGCACAAAAAAGCAGGAGGTGGGGGAGGAAATCCTTCCTTTTCATTCTACAGAAGGAAATCAGAAATTACACTGACTTTAGTGCGTCCTGAATGTTGGGAGGCATCCCTGCAGCACCTCTGTGAGCCGTATTCTGTGCTGTGGGCTTCTTCTGCCTACCCTTTGGCAGTCCCCGTGGATATGTGCTCTTCATCTCCAGATAGTGTCCATTCGTCCAAAATAAAAAATATTTATATTCAGGCTGGGCGCGGTGGCTCACGCCTGTAATCCCATCACTTTGGGAGGCCGAGGCGGATGGATCTTGAGGTCAGGAGTTCAAGATCAACCTGGCCAACATGGTGAAGCCCCATCTTTACTAAAAATACAAAAATTAGCTGGGTGTAGTGGCAGGCGCCTGTAGTCCCTGCTACTCGGGAGGCTGAGGCAGAGAATGCTTGAACCTGGGAGGCAGAGGTTGCAGTGAGCCGAGATCGCACCACTGCACCCCAGCCTGGGTGGCAGAGTGAGACTCTGTCTCAAAAAAAGAAATTTATATTAAATAAAATTATTGATCCTGAATCAAGGATTTATCTACTGTATGCAGCTCAGGGATTTATCCACTGTAAAATCCAACAAAGCCTTTATCTTATTTTGTACTCTTTTTGACTGGTGACAATATGTAGCTGTATTTTTGAATAGACCACAAGTAATCAGAACTTCATGGGTACTTTGAATAGTGTCAGTGCAGAAGCAGCCACTTTTGTGGAGACTGTAAGCAAGTGTGTTATGCAGCTTTTGCTGGGTTTGTTGGGTTAAACAACAAGGACTTCCATCAGTGATGTACACATACACAAAAAGTTGTATTTTATGCTCTGGTTGTCTAATGGCCACTGTGGTTTGCCTGTAGTTCCACTCTGCCTGTCTTTTCACTGGGGGACCCAGGCTCAAGGAGAAGCCTCATAGGAGGCACAGCCTTCTCTTGGCAGAGACAAAGTACGAGAGAACTGGCAGGCACGCAAAAAGGATTTACGCTACTCCTTTGGTGAGAACCATGCGCCTTGGCTCACTTTCCATTTGCCACAGGAGGTCATATGGCCACGTGCCCCATGAGTAGGGCAGGGACACCTCTACCCCCACACAGGAGGTGCTGCAAGTCACACAGTAAGGAGCTAGGACCCAAACATCATCTCACAGGAAGAACAAGAGAATAATCAGAAACAATAGTGCAATCCATCACAGAAAGCTCTTTCACCTGCCTCAGCCTATGCCTCTTGCTGTGAAGTGTGGATTATAAACCCCACTTGGTATGGTGGTTGTGAGAATTAAGTTATATCTGCATGGATGGCATCTAGGAATGATGGCTGGCTCCTAGAATATTGTGCAAAATACACATGCCCTTTCTCTTTCAGGAGATTTTCTGACACATTTAGGGGCTCATAAGTTTTCATGAATGTTGGGAAACACCTAGGTAAGAGGACCACTCAGCATTGATGAGTGAAATACTGATTACCTGAAAGAGATAACAGTGAATGTGCGGTGCAGAGCGAGAGTGGCTGGGGTCGGAGGCTTCATAGCTCCAGGGTTTTCGGTAGACCAAATTGACAGTATCCTAGGAATTCAACTAGAGTGGCTCCCTGAAAGCTACTAAAGACATTGCTCAGAAGGATTAGAGGATCTGTTGAGTTCTACCTTCTAAATTGGACACATTACTGAAGCTGGCCAAGCCTCAGTTTCTTCGCATGTAAAAAGGGAATAATTATGCCCACTGTGAAGGGTGATAAGGAAGATCACAGATCATGTAAGTATACCACCAACATATTATGGTACTCAACAAAATAATTACTGTTAAAAATAAGACTCAGGTCTGGAAGCAATTTAGCACTTTATTCTCAATGCGTCCTGGGTGTGAGACAAAGAAACTCTGGCTAGAACTGTATTGGCAAAACTTTTGAACCGATTTCCAAATGGTTCTTAGAAATCCTGCTCAGTGTACTTAGCTAACTAAAAGATTCCAGAAGCCATGTCTTTTAATCCATTCATTTTGCAGAATAAGAAAATTGAGACTCGGACGACAGAAGTTGTTTTCCACATTTTATGTGGCTAAATGGTAAAAAGAATTGGAAAAACTAGAACACAGATATCCTTAGCTGGTGCTGTGTCCACCCTGTGACTGTTCTCCATCAACCTGGTCTATGTTCCCCATCAACCTTATCTAAAGAGGCTTGCAACGTAAGAAGGGGAAGAGAACTCTGTGAGATGACTTGAAGATGTTTAAAGCAGTCTTAACTCAGCAAAACATTTGGGAAAAATATTTTTTTATTTTGGGCGAATGGACACTATCTGGAGATGAAGAGCACACACCCACGGGGACTGCTGAAAATACCAGGGAAGGCAGAAGAAGCCCACAGCACAGAATATGGCTCACAAAGGGTGCTGCACGGATGCCTCCCAACATTTAGGACACACTAAAGTCAGTGTAATTTCTGATTTTCTTCTGTAGAACGAAAAAGAGGGATTCTTCCCCCCCTTTTTTTTGCTTGCCTCAGTCATACCACTAATTATTTAGTGGTCTTTCAAACCTTTTGTAATCTCTACTCGAGAAAGCCCTGAAAGATATTAATTCTTAGCCATGTGCCTCATAAATGAAGGCCATTCTGCTATACTTAATGACAAGGCTGAGGCAGCAAGATGTCATTTGCTTTTTTCTCGGTTTTTAAATTGCTTTCTAAATGAACTACAGCTGTGAGGGCCAGGTGCTGTGATCCCTTTAGAAAGATCAGGAAATGATGAAATCCAAAATTTCAAAGTGTGATGGATGTCAGCTCCCGATTTGGTGTGTGTGAGGTCACCCCGTGCACCTGGTGCCATCTCCACAACAGAATTACTTTTCTGTGGAGAAAAAAAAAAAAAGGACAGCGAGCGAGGGAGAGGGAGAGAGAGATGCACATGTCTAATGCGAGTGCAACAATAAGAGAAACAGTTTATAATTATCTCTTTGTTTGCTCCTCATCTAGATGGAAATGGTGAAATGTGCGGCCTCCCCACCCCCACCCCTTCCCCATTATAGGTGTCGTTGCTGTATTAAATGCAAGATTTTTGTGGATCACAGAGTTGGTGTGGTGGCAACTCAGAAGCCACTATGAAGCAAATGACATGTTATAGTGATGGGTGAGGGATTGAGAGAGATTGAGAGAGAGAGAGAGAAATATCATTAAGAGTCTTTTTTCACTTAATTAATTAAAACCAGCACTCTTCCTACCAAGAGCACTGTTTGCTCTGGGTAGCCTCGGCTGAATCTGAAACTCAGTGGGTGCTATCTTTGAAGGTGGACAGCTGGGGTCAGCCATCCCCCCGGGCCCCAAGGAGAGTAAAGACTGCTTCACACCCAACTCGAGCATTACTAGTTACTCATTCTTCTTGCCCAGCTTGAGACTCTAGGTGAAACCTGTTTATGAGACCTTGTTCTTGCAGTCATCCAACAGAGGAAATAAGGAATGATTGTGCTTATTATCTCTAAGCACTGACCCCCCCCAGGATGTGTATTTGTCAGAGCTGGATGGCTTCCAGGTCAACCCCATTTTCTCTGGGACATCTGCCCAGTCTGCCCCCAGGAGGAGTGGGGACTCCTTGAACTCCCGTAGCCCTTCTGCTCAGAATCGCTGCTGGGGCGTTGAACTTGACTGCCTCATGGGCAGATGGCACAGGCCAAAGCATGGGGCAGGGCTGGGGTTGGCTCTCGACCCTAATCTCACTATGTGCTCTTGGGAGAGTTGTTTAGCCCTCTTGAGTCTTAATTCCTCTCTTCTCTAAAATGGGGACAGAAATAGCACATGTTTTGGTGAGGACTCACTGAACACTGCATATGTAAAGCACCCAGTATAATGCTCTGCACAAAGTTAATGATATAGAAACATTAATCTCTGCAATATCAATGTCTCTTATTCTCTGCACTTAATGCTGTAAAGAGGAGCAGAAAGCACAAGATAGTTAAGACACAGGAGACAACATGCAACTTCTAGTTCCTGCATTTTCGGAATATCCAGCATTACTTTGCTACCGTAGCCTCTGTGGGCCTTAGTTTCCACATCTGTACAATGGAGTCAATATTCAACTTCATTTATCTTTACAAGGGCAGAATGAGATAATTGATGTCAAAGTTCTTTGACTTTTGTGAAGAGAGAAATGATGGGCTGAAGGAAGTTGACAGGAACTTGGTGTAATCCCCCAAATGAATGGTGACTATTCCCTTTCCTTTCACAGCATCTAGCTGATGTCTGGATCTATTTCCTCCATCAATACTCATGACCACCCCACATGTAATTATGAGAATTAGGCAGAGCTAAGTGTGCCCTGGGGAGGTGTGACAGTGGAGAGCATGAAGAAGAAGATACAGCTCTAATGGATGTCAAAGACTTAGGATAGAGCATGATCCCAGCCAAAAGGTAAAGCTCTCAAAACCTAAATAGAGGAACCAAATACTGATTCCTCATTTGAGTGGTTTCAGACAAAATAAAATAAAATGTTATCATAAAGCTGTAGCCTGAATGAGAGGAAATTGAGATGTATTTGAATAGCGGAAGGTCTAAATATCTCAACTGCTCCTTTGAGAAGTCTTTGTGTTCAATAGCCATAAATGTAGAATTATGTCCTGTGTCATATCCAGAGCTATCCCTGTGGCATTCCAGATTCCAGAGAAGAGGTCTGGAGATACGAGGCTCGCCTCCACCCCCCACAAGATGACATCATGTGGTTGATACTGATGATGTCATCAGGGAAATGGGCTACAATGGGCATTCCGAATTTGGGAAGAGGCTTGTGCTAAGGAGGTAGCTGTGCCTCACTACCACTCATCCCAGAGTTGTACCAAGATGCTTGGAAGAATCAGAAGCAATGATTCAACCAGTGGGAGGCAGAACCTGTCCCCTGAGCTCCAGCCCCATGTTTCCTCTGGACATTGTACCCTTCACCTCAGCATTCCCAAAACTGATGTCATTGTTTCTCCAAGAACATCCTCTCAAGATCTGTTAGACCATCTTCAGTTCCAGCCACTTTCTACTTCAATGAGCACCTCCCCTCTCTTTATCAGAACTCAAGCCCCGGTTCAGAACACAGTTTAAAAGGGTGATCTTCAAGTTCATTAATGTTTAAACATACTTATTCTCTTCCTTCTCTTCCATATACCAAATAGTCAGACCGAGACCACTGTCTCCATGGCAGAAAGCAGAGTTGCTCCAGTACCACATGGAGGCATGGCTGCCGAGTCACTGATTTGAGAAGTGCTGAGTTTGCCTCCTATGTGGCCACCCCCTTTTTCTTCTACACTGATTAAAGGTGACAAAGTGACCCTGGCTGAGGATGGAACTCATGATTTGATTTTTGAATCCTAGATGAAAAGACAGATAGAAATGGTCTTTAAAATTTGCTGGCACGTTTATGCTTCTTACCAGGTAGAGGCCTATATTTATCTCTCATGCAGACTGTTTTTTGTTCTGGGAAAATCACCCAAAGGACCTTTAGATATGCAAATGTAGATCAAAAACCCTCTTCTGGAATAGATTTAAACTGCTGTGAATAACAATTTGGAAGTTTCTCCTCATAAGGGACAAAGCTACATTTCTATGGGTTACCTTCTATTAAAAAACAAACAAATGAACAAACAAAAAAACCTTTTTTTCCAGATCCAGGTTAAGATGCACCTTTAAAAAACATCGCTAATTTTAGAAGAGGAGTGTGTGTGTGTGTTAATGTTCAAATACATGATCTTGGAAAATCAAGAGTAGTGGACCCCAAAGCTTGCTTAGAAGATGTGAATACCTGAAGAGGAGAGCTTAGCAAGGAGACTGGGCATGGGTGGGCACTGTTGACCCTAAGAGGCTGGGCATGGATGGGCACTGTTGACCCTAAGAGGCTGGGCATGGATGGGCACTGTTGAACCTAAGAGGCTGGGCATGGATGGGCACTGTTGACCCTAAGGCTGGGCATGGATGGGCATTGTTGAACCTAAGAGGCTGGGCATGGGTGGGCACTGTTGAACCTAAGAGGCTGGGCATGGATGGGGACTGTTGAACCTAAGAGGCTGGGCATGTATGGGCACTGTTGAACCTAAGAGGCTGGGCATGGATGGGCACTGTTGAACCTAGATTTGGAGACCAAGCCATAGTGCTCTTGCAATTTCTAAGTCTTTGGGGTGTTCTTTGGGGGTAAATAATTTCCCTAACCCCATCGTTCATGCAAGCGGTTTCAGGTTTACCTTGTGCTGCTTTTCTCAGTGTCTGCTCATATCAGTCATATTGGTCAAAACTCCCTTTAAAATTGAGATGCCCAGGAGTGAATATGCAGCCTAGCCAGTACAGAGGGGAACTCAACTATGGTTGCTTTATTTATTTATTTATTTATTTATTTATTTATTTTTACTTTTTTAGAAAGAGTCTTGTTCTGTCACCAGACTGGAATGCAGTGGCACGATCTCAGCTCACTACAACCTCCTCCTCCCAGGTTCAAGCGATCCACCTGCTTCAGCCTCTCAAGTAGCTGGGATTACAGGCTCCCACCACCATGCCCAGCTAATTTTTTGTATTTTTAGTAGAGACAAAGTTTCACCATGTTGGCCGGCATGGTCTCAATCTCTTGACCTTGTGATCGGCCTGCCTTGGCCTCCCAAAGTGCTGGGATTACAGGCGTGAGCCACCGAGCCTGGCTGGTAGTTTTATTTTTTAAGAAGCTATGCCTCTATCAGTGTAGCCTAAGAAGACATTCTCCTTCTTGGGTACCACATTGCAATGTTGACTCACACTCAACTGACTAAATTTATGACAGATTAAACTCTTAAATATAGTCTTCACATTTCAGAGTTTAAGTTGCTTTCTTAGAATCCAGTATAAGACCAAATTTCCCACCCATATTAAACTTAACTTTGTTAGATTACTTCCATCTGTTTTGATCTTTTTATGACCCATAGCAGGGCTTGAGGACACAGCTCTGTCATCAAACAATTTTATCTAGGTTGGCATTGATCTATCAATCAGCATCATTTGGGGCAGAACCCTTCATCCAGTGATAAATCCGTCTGGGTTTACCATCACCCAGATGTATCCCTGTATTTAGACCAAAATGTCACTAGAGGTCTTGCAAAGGTCCTTTTTGAAATTCAGATCTGTCTTCTTATTTTCTGGAATACCTGTTTAAAACTCTAACGCAATTAGAAATACAGTAATCCTTACATACATATGTGAAACTTAGTCTCTGGGTATAATGTCTACTCTATGAAGGCTCATATACACATGTGAGCTTACTTGGGATTTCCAGCAACTCCATGAAGAGAAGGAAGACATCCCCACCCTCCCCCATTTCTATTTTACATGTGAGAAAGTTGAGAATCACATTGATCAGTTTTGACCAGAATCAGAATCACAGACCCACACACAGTTCACCTCTGGTCCCTTTTTGGTGTATCTAATTGGGATTGGACCCTTTACCTACACTCCAGCCCAAGCTTTCACAAGCCATGGGCCAATCATCAACTTGGCCTGTTCTAAACAGTCCCACAAAAATACCCAGAATTGTAGTATTCCAATGCTGTCAGCCCCCGAGGGTTCACCTCACTCAGCCTCTACTACACTCCAGAAATCCCTACTACAACTCTTCAGGACAGGGTCAGTCCCCTCTGAATTTACACTGACTCTGGAAGGGGGCTCGTGTTTTCAGGAGGCTGTCCAATTCACAAGTCTGGCCTGTTGGCAGCACCTTCTTCCACAACAGACAGGGCAGTGGGCTCTTCTACCTTCTGTTGGGTTCTGATTCTTTCCCTGATAACTGCCCAGATTATGTCTTCTTGATTTTTAGGTATTTAAAAAATTGCTTTCACATCTCTTCTCCAGACAACACAGTCCCAAATTATCTAACCAAGCCACCAGTGGACCAGTTCTCAAGCCACCTCTCAGCTCTCCCCCTTCCTCTCAGTGAGCTCCAGCTTTTCAGCATCGTAAAATGTGACACCCATCATTAAACAGAAGGCTCCAGATGTGCTTTGACTGGCACAGAATTATTTTATCTTTTGTTCTGGTCCATGTTGCTCCCTAATGTTGTTTACTGCTTTTTCTGTAATCGTTATTTCATACTGGAGATACTTCTGATCTTGAAATCCCTAAAGCCAGGGACCTTTTTTTTTTTCCCTTCATGGAGCTAACAGCTCTGGTTTCCCCTGATCTGTATGCCTGTACTATTGATTGCTGGGTCTTCAATGCTGGCTTTCATATTTGTCCTTGTTAGATTTTATCCCTAGGTTTGCCTCATAATTCAATCTACTGAACTCTCTGAACTTCAGTACATTTGCTCTTTAATATTTATGTGTCTGATTAACATATCTTTTATATTTCAGCAAAATTCTGGATAAAAATACAGGAATGAGTCCTTGAGGCCATGTTTATCTTTCTTGTTATTCATTGTTTCCTTTCACTACTCTTACCTATCCCTATATCTTTTGATGCAGGACGTAAAAGAGATTTATACCAGTCAGGACTGTTTAAGACACCTTGGGGGATAGGGAAAAACTCTAAGAGCTTAGTTTCTAATTGATGAAACAACTCTAGCACAATTAAAGGCAACCGGTAGAGAAAAATTAGGTAAGACCTTGTTTTAAATAGGCTTCAAACATTTTAAAGACTTAGAGGAGAGGATCGAAAGAACCAGGCGGAGATTTTTTTAATTTTTTTTTTTTGAAGAATAGGTAGAATTTGAACTTAGATTTACATATAATTCAAATACAATGTATTATGTATTAGAAGAAAATTAAGTACTCACTGCCAACTGCTGCAGAGATGGGAATATGGCTCTAGTAAAATTAGTGTAAGTTTGATATGGTTTGGCTCTGTGTCCCCACCCAAATATCATCTTGTAGCTCCTGTAATTCCCATGTGTTGTGGGAGGAACCTGGTGGGAGATAATTGAAACATGGGGATGGGTCTTTCCTGTGCTGTTCTTGTGATGGTGAATAAACCTCATGATATCTGATGGCTTTCAAAACGAGAGTTTGCCTACACAAGCTCTCTCTTTGCCTGCCACCAACCACTTACGATGTGACTTGCTCCCCCTTGCCTTCCATCATGATTGCCTTCCCAAGCCATGTAGAACTATGAGTTTTGCATCATACCTCTTTCCTTTGTAAATTTCCTAGTCCCGGGTATGTCTTTATCAGCAGCATGAAAACGGACTAATACGAAGTTTAAAGAGATGGCTACAAGTCAATAACATATGGGAGAGTGCAGAATCAAGAGCCAGGCAGAGAGGGGACAGCATTTGAGTCTTAAGGATCTAACTTCATACACTTGTTCATTCATTCACTTAGCAAATATTTGTAGAGTTCCTGTTATATGGCAGGCATTGTTTTAGGATGCAGCAAGGCATGAAACAGACAAAATTGCTGCCTGACTGGAGTTTATAGAAATGTACCAGGAAAGAGAAAAAGGAAAATCTATATTTGGTAGGAGAGTGAAAGTACTAAGGAGGAATATGGAGCAGGGGAGGAAGACAGAAGATGTTAGAGTAGGAAGGAGTACTTGAATTTCATTTTAGATACGGTGCCCACGGGAGGCCTTGCTAGGAAGCTGAAGAAGTGGGTGGGGTGTGAGTCATCATATTCCACAGGAAGTACGATTCAGGCAGAGGGAATAGTGAATGTCAAAGCTTTAAGAAGGTAGAATGCCTGTAGTATCTGAGGAATAGCAGGAAGGCCAATGTGGTTGGAATGCATACAGCAGAAACACAGATGGGGGAAAGTGACAGTATTGGAGAGGTAGCAGGTTGGTGGGTGTAGATCAGATTAGCCTTATGGGTCATTTTAACAACTTTGACTTTCATTCTACATAAGAAGAGGAGGCATTTCAGGATTTTGAAGCAACAAATAGAATGATATAACATTTTAATGAAATTAATCTGGTCATTAGGCAAGAAAGGGCAGAAGCAGGAAGATCACTTTGGGTAGGAGGTAGTGGGTTTATTGGCTAGTTATTGCTGCATAACAAACCACCCAAAAACTCACTGGCATAAAACAATAAGCATTCACTATTACTGGACAAGTCAATATGCATTCACTATTACTGTACAAATCAATGGCATAGTTCTTGCTCAGTTGTGCTCACACAGGGGTCTACTGTTAGCTGTAGGTCTGGTGAGCACCTCTGCTAATCTTGGGAGTGGTTCTCACATGTTTGCTGGTTTATTAGGCATAGGCTGGTCTAGAATGGTCTCCACTGGGATAACTGGGTTCTCCTCCAGCAGGCTAAGCTGGGCTTATCCACATGCAATGGCAGGATTTCCAAAACGAAAAAAGTGGAGTAAAGCTTAGGCTCAGAATTGGCAATTATCTACATTTTAAACAAGGTGCAGTCATGGTTTGGGTCCGCATGTGTGTCGCGGGGTACAATTTACCTCTTAATTCGAACAAACGCAAAGAAACATTGCATAGTTGATGGTTACAGAGAGAGTTTAAGATTGTGGTCATTTTTGTAATCATTCTAACACAGGGGATATCCAAGTGAGAGATGAGAGTGGTTTCCATAAGAGTAGGATCAGTGGGATGATGAAAGTTATTGGATTCTAGGCATAATTGGAATATAATGGATTCAAATATGAGAATGAGTGTGATGGAGAGAGGACTCTAGGACAACGTTCAAGTTTGAGGCCTGCAGAACTAGAAAGACAGAGTTGCCATTTACTGAGATGAAGAAAGAAGAGAGGAGTAGTTGGGAAGGACAATTGGGAGTTCAGCTTTGTACACATCAAGTTTGAGAAGCTTATTACATGCCCAAGAGAAACTTCCAGTAGGAAGTCGACGATGTGAATGGAATTCAGTAGTCGGGGGATGGGGTGGGGTCTGCTGATAAGCTTGGGAGGCATTGCATATAGGGTTTAATGCTGCAGCGTTTGAGGAGATCCCCAAGGTAGTGATGTTGATAAAAATGTGAAGAGATACAAAAGTGAAATTCTGGGCTCTCCTACCGGAAATGAGAAGGAACGAGCACAGGAGACAGAATTAGAGACCACAGCGCAGAGCAGCTAGAGATGAACAAGCAGATTGTGCTTGATGAGGCTGGAGTGCAACGTCTGGAGGGAGCAGAAGATGAAGCTAACAGAATAGATTGAGACCATCAGCAGAGCCTTGCATTCCTCTGCATCTCTAGGAAAATGGATTTTGTTGGAGGAAAAACAGTATGATGTTTTAAGCACAACAGGCTTTTTTTTCTGTCCTTACAGACTGATGAAAGAGACACAGATTTAAAACCCCAAAGTCATCTCGGGGGGTTTTCCCCACTGGGAGGCTTCCACGTGCCTTTTGAACCCTAGTTATGACAACTCCAAGGGTCCTACGGTACATCTAAAATACCTGCAATCATCAGCATGTAAGTGACTGGCCAAGGCAATGAACTGAAGTTTGGAGACTTGCTTCGCTCGAACTTGAGTTCCTGTAGGTCACCCCATTTGAAGGGCATATTATTGGGTACGGTATAGGGTGGAGTGGGGCTCCAGGGGCAAGTCTTTTGGTATCCAGTTTTCTATTCTCTCTTTAGGAACACAGGTAATTGATATCTCGAACTTCCAAGCTGAACAGCTAAGGTCTGGAGAAACAAGTTTGCTGAAAAGGACCAACGATTTAATTTTATTCATCCTGTATCAAATTTCTGCATCTCACAGTTTGGGCTCAACAGGAGGTGACACTGTTAACTGTTGCTCTTTTCACTTCCTTTTTTCCCCCTCACTGAACATAAACATATCATTACGCAGTTACACTCCACTATATTTAGAGTTGATTTTTAACTATCTATTAAATCAAACAGGGAAGCTCAACTGTTCTACCTGGAGCAGGAGAACTGGCTGGGGAGGTGGATTGATTCACTGAGGAGGGCAGAATGAGAGTGAAAGCTATTTTGCCAATGACGATGTGTACCCTGGAGCTCACATTCCTCTTTTTGGAGAGGCAAGCACCACTATAACTAGGGCAGGGCCAGCGTCCTGCCCACAGATGGCCCTGAAAACCTCTCATTCACCAATGATCTGGGCTTCAACTCCATCACATTATATAGATGGAAAGGACTTTACAGGTGTCCACAGTCTCTATTCTAAGCAGTTCACTCCTCGAAAACATGATCTAAAGGATCTCAAGATCCCAGGGACATGACACGCTCAGCAAAGTGACAAGTTTTGCTTGCTCAACAAGCATGGAGAGTACTGCCTCCTGTACCTCCTTCTTGGAGCCTTGCAGCTTATATCAGCATCCAGGCAGTAAGGCGCTCTACCATCGAGAACCCTTTCCACCATTGTCCATCCTGCTATTGTTCATTCCATTTCATTGTGGAATCTTCCAGTTTTGATCACACTTGTGAACACTGATAGAACCACCAATGAGAGAACATACTTTAGGAGACATTACTATAATTCAGACCAGTAGAGTAGTTTACAACATGCCAACTGGGCTTTATTTGTAGCCTATATCACAGCATTGTGTGTGAAAAGCTAGGACTATCTCCTCCATCTCATGATTTGAGAAACTGAGAAATGGAGAGTTTGGGTGGTGGCCAGATCAACACTGACAATGGTGGTGGAAGCTCTAAAGAAGAATGCAGCTCCTGTGATTCCCAGTGCAACCTGTTTTCTTTAGACAGAGAAGCAGAGGGGAGAAATGAGTAGAAGCAGGGATTGGAAATGGGCTGATGAGGCAGTGCTGGGAAGGGAGAGCTACTGTTGGGGACAGAATCACTGAGGGGAGAATAAGGACTGGGAAGGTGGGGGTTGAGGTTACCAAGTCACCAGCTGCCACTGTCTACACCTCAGATTCTTCCTTATACCCTTTTATCAAATTGAATTACAATATGAGTAACAGAACTATGGTCAAGTGGTCAGAATTCGTTCTCACTCCTCCAGTTAATATTTGCCATCTATATTATGGGATATTTTGCTGCTTACTAGCTAGACATTTTTTTATTTTAAATCTAATATTCTTTTTTTCTTCTCATCCTGTCATGAATTTCCCTCTTCTAGCCTCAAATTTCTGGCTGGACATGGTGGTTCACATCTGTTTTCCCAGTGCTTTGGGAGGCTGAGGCAGGAGGATCACTTGAGGCCAGAAGTTTGAGACCTATCTGGGCAACATAGTGAGATCTCATCTTTACAATAAAGTAAAATAAATAGCTGAGTGTGGTAGCAGGTGCCTGTAATTTTAGCTACTTGGGAGGCTGAGGTGGGAGGATGGCTTGTGCCCAGGAGTTCAAGGTTACAGTGAGCTATGATTGTGCCAATGTACTCCAGCCTGGGCAAGAGTGAGACCTTGTCTCTCTAAAATATATATATTTTTTATTTAAAAATTTTCACAGATGAAAGACACTATTACGTATTCAAAAAATACATTTAGTAAGTTTTTGCACTAAGCCTTGTATGAAATTGCCTAGTCTGCAATGGAACCATGTCGACTTGGTGAACTAGAAAGTCCTAGGATTCCAAATCCTTCCTGCTTTCTTAGTAACGAGAGAGCACAGCATCTTGTATGAGTGGAGAGGCACAGGGTACCCTGAAGAGTTTCTACAATATGCTAATGCCCTTGTCCTAGGTGGCATCATGACTGCGTATCAATGAAGCCATATCTCCATTTCCATTTGATGATTTGTGTGCCAAAGTTTGTACGGGTTTTACATAATGCATTTTCAAGACATAATGACTTTATTATATTATTCCACATATATTATTGAGTTTTTTGTGCTAGGTGCTGAGGATTTAAAATGAATTGTAGCTCCTCCCATTATGTTGCTCAGTTTCTCAGAGGAGCTCAAAGTCTAGCTCACTTCTAAGACTAAATAAAATAAATGTGTGCTTCAGTTAATACAGTATAAAATAATAGTTGATATAAAACATATATATGTTCTACCTTTAACAAATTACAGATAATCAATAAAACTTACCCCATACCTATTATATAACATAACCTTATGAGATATTTTGGAGAATTAATTCAAAGCATGGGTTCCAGTCTCAAGGTGCTTGCATTTGCATAGGGAGATGATTCATACATTTATAGAACCAAAACAAAAATTTAAAAAACTAAATTAAATAAAATAACAATAGATATGAAAAGTCACAGCAGACTAAAATTTACTGCATCATGTCCCAGCAAATAAGAGGTACAAATCTGATAAGAAACAACATTTTGCGTTGACTTACATGAGAAGTTTCATGCAAGAAGAAAACAATCTTCAAGTATAAATACTTTGGGAATAGAAGGAGAGAAAAGAATGGGGAGAAAACATTGTTTGCAAAGGCTTAGAGTCAAGAATTATCAAGGATTGCTGAGAAACAGTCAGTAGAATGAGGAGTGTACATCCCTTACCACCACATATATAGCCCTGGAACTTTAGGTCTTACTTGGTAACCCTCTTGCCTGCACATTCTGCTCTGCAATGCTGCCATTCTGTCTTCCTCATGCACCAGACTCAGGTCTACTTTTGCACTGGCTGTGCCCTCTGTCAAATATACTCTTCTCTGATGTTTTCCGTACTTGCTTTTCTTGTCATTTATATTATGAGCCCTCTAGAGGGGCCTTCTCTGACCCAACCTTGCAAAATAGCCACCCTGCAATGGCATTCACATTTCAACCTATTTTCTACAACGCATTAAATTCTATTAATAGTACTTATCATAATCTGATACTTTGCCCTCTTTTTTTTTATTCTGAATATTTGTTTCCTACCTGTAAAACTATACTGCCCAATACAGTAAACACTGGCCAAAAATGGCTGCTCATAATTATGAAGGATTATTGAGGGAACAGTCAGTAGAATGAGGAGTGCATATCCCTTATCATGGCATACAAAGCCCTGGAACTTGAGCTTTCATTTGATAACTCTCCCGCCTGCACGCTATGCTCAGCAACACTACCATTCTGTCTTCCTCATGCACCAGACTCTGGTGCTTATTGTCTGGTGCTATTTCATATCTGTTGTCTTAATTATACTTAAAATAATTAAAATTAAATAAAGTTAAACATTTCTATCATCAGTCATAGTAGCCACATTTCATGCACTCGAGAGTCACATATTTGGTGGTGATATCAGACAGTGAAGATAGAAAACACTTATAATCTCAGAAAGTTCTGTTGGACATTGCTGCTCCTGAATATAAGCTCCTTGAAATCCACCCACCTGGTGAGTTCTGCTTACTACTGTGTCTCTAATACCCTAAAGAAAAACTGGAAAATAGATTATTTTTTGAATGAATGAATGGACTGGTTTCCTAGAGCATATGGATCATATGGACTGGAAGAAAGGGATGAGGCTGAATCTATAATTGGAGCCAAATACTGAAAGAACTCACATGCTTACATGAGGAGTTGATACTGATAGCTTGCAAGTCAAATGGGAATCACTAAAAGTTTTTGAAATGAAGACTAACCTGATTAAATCTTTAGACAGAAAGGATTCTCCCAGCAGCATGAACAGAATGAATTAGAATAGAACAGGAGAGACTGATGGCCAGAAATCATCTAGGACATCATGGCCCCTTGTAAAGAAATGAAACGGCAAGGGACTAACGTCAGTTTGAGAAAGAAGAATCAATAAAGTTTGGTGCCCATGTTAGTCAAAAGAGGTTAGATTATACTGAGGTAATAAATAAGCTCAACATTTCTGTGGCTTTATGCAACAGCAATGGCAACGAGAAGTTTGCTTTGGTTTACGTGACATGATTCATGTGGTTTGTCAGATAGTTCTACTCCACACAGTCACTCAGGAACTCAGGCTGATGAAGGCTCCACCATCTTGTGACTATACCATCTGGAACACATGACTTCCTTCGTTACTCTGGCAGAGAAAGAAAGACTGGCAATTGTAGGTGGCTTTTCACTCCCTCACTACAAAAAAATATATTATTTCTATAAAATGTTGCCAACCAAAACTAGTCACATGGCTCTACCTAACTGCAAGGGTTCAGGAAATGAAGAAGAGTAAAGATATTTATTTTTACACTTATTTTGAGACTCTGCCACCTTAGAAATGAAATATGAGGAAATAAGGGGAGAGAGATGAGTCATATATATTTCTGAACTTTCCCATTCATATAAGTAGAATTCACAAAGATATTTGACTGCCCAGAGAGAGGTCTACCCACAACAGTAGTAAGTGGTACCAAGTATAGCATGCTAGCAGATGGCAGATCATGAGATAATGGACACAATGTGGGTCAACACTGGTTATGTGTAAAACACTAAAGGAACTGGAGTGAACAAGGCAGAGAAAAATCCTTGTTCTGGTTGACTGTAGAGTCTAGTGTATGAGACATGCAATAAATAACTCATCCCACTATTTGTTAATGATAATTTTGCATGCCACAAAGATAACATACAGGATTATACAGTAAGAATATTTTGTCATTTGTGAAGCTAATAATCATTTTGCCATTTCTCCCTTTGTTTATTTACTATTTCCTTTTATTCACAGTTTCTCTGAGGATGTAAATCATCCATCTACTGAAAGTAATAAGACAAAGGAATTAATGATATGACTAGGGAACTTTAGTTGACATAATCCCCTGTTCATTTCATAAAAGCTACTCACTGTTATCCTACCACTGAGTTTTACTGAAGCACTTAGGTTTTGTTCATTGAAGTATGTAACTATAGTGTAGGGATCACTACCTTGTCTGTATTTTGCAAAATACTTAGTGTAATGTTAATATTTCAAAATAGGTTACAAGTTGAGGCATAAAACATCAGAAATATGCTAAGAAAAACATAAAGCTATCATATCAACTCAAACTTTTCATGTCTCTGAACTTACCACTCTACAGTGCTTTATAAATGCCCTGCTTGATTACTGAATGAATGCTGTTGTGTAGAAGTAATTGTCAGCTATGCATCTGACTCTAAGGATTAGGCCATGGTGCCCCTCATTGACTAAGAAATGAGTCATTCTTCAGAGGCCAGAGTCATCACAATAAAGGTTTCTTTGGAAGTGGTTAACATAGGGATAACAACATTTTGATAATATCCTGTTGTCATGTTATTCAAAACATGATATCGGATGTCACAAGCCCCAAATTGTTTCTGTTCTCTATTTTCTACTTTTTTTTCAAGTAAAAATAATTTCTGATCAACCCATTTCTGTAAAGTGTCATTAAAGTTCCTTGAAAGATCTTATATTATTTAATAGGCAAGTGTTTAAGATAGCTGGCCCATAAATTACCTACAGAGGAATAGAAGCCAGAATGATATTTGCAACCTCTACAAATATTTCCCAAAGGAAGATGCATAACCTTAATGACCCAGATTCCTTTCATCAAACCTGGTGCCCTTTGCATTCTCTCCTGTCCTGTGCTAAAAAAAACCAACCAAACCACAACAACAACAAAAAACCTCCCCAGTCTTCTATGACCCATAGCAATTGGAAGGGCGGAATGTGCACATTTCTCTTCTATAACTGTGCAGGAGAGATAGCCCCTTACAGCACATTGGCATTTCTGCTTCCCATTCAGCATTGTCTCTCTTCCAGAACAGTCACATTCAAACTCCATGCTGGATTCAGCTTCCAAACGTTCATGAAAGGGTGCGGGGCAGCCAACATACTGCTGAAGCTGCAACAGCAGTTTGATGATGCATAATGTATTACGCAGCAGTGGGGCCATGTTTTGCTTCGACTGGAGTGCCAATGACTCAAAGACGAGTTTTCATTCTTTTATTCTCCCCCTATTTGAAAGGCACAAAATACTGTGGGCACAACATTGTCTGGCCAGGCTGTAGCTGTAGCTTCCTCACCAGTGACTGC
This sequence comes from Homo sapiens, assembly GCF_000001405.40. Taxonomy (NCBI): domain Eukaryota; kingdom Metazoa; phylum Chordata; class Mammalia; order Primates; family Hominidae; genus Homo; species Homo sapiens. The sequence continues at coordinate 7,619,584 of NC_000002.12, read as the reverse complement.
CCACATGATAATGTAACTAACGTAACTCTGTAATAATATTAGGGGTGTGTGGAAAAATCTATGGCCAATTTAGTCACTCAAGCAGTGCTCAAAATCTCTGGGTTAGGGCTGCAATGGGAGATAACTTGCCATAAGATGAGCTGCCTGGAGCTCTGCAAAATACATGCTTCAGTGCCTCCTGGAATGGTCCAGGGCTGTGCATGTACTCACAGGGGAGCAGGAAATGGATGACACAGATGCCAGGAGCCACAGATTTTTGGTTTTCAGCATAATGACTGATCTGATGGCTGCTTTACTTATTTTTCGAAGGTAATTTGGATTTTGTGCTCACAAAAGTCACCACCAAATACCCCTTTCATATGGTAGAAAGCCATTCTTGGCTCAATTGTGTAGAAGAATCCTTGTCTATTTTGCCATAGAGAAGTTAGTTAAAAGTAGAATGCCTTTTATAAAAACTGGGAGTGAAACGTTGATCAGGCACAGGATTTGACAATGGAACTTTGATTCTCAACAGTGATAAGAGTTCCACTGTGGAGCTGCCATGTAATCAATGGTTCCTGGTGTTATATTTGCATATAGGAACACCTGGAGTTTGTGCCAATTAACCTGTATTGCCTCAGAAAAAAAAAAATGACCATCTAATCAGCAAGTCAAATCAGTTCAATCTAGCTGCTAAATAGCAACAGACAAAAAAAATCACAGATTCTCATTTTAAGTCCTTAAGGTCAGGCATCTGAATTATCTAAAATTCTTATAGAGCATGGATTATATTATTCACTTTATATGACAGGGAATTGCAGAATTTTAGAGCTGGATGGGAGTTCTAAATGATTCAAAACAGCAACTCCTATCTCCATGTCCCATCAGAGTTCACACCTAGCTCAATAACATTCATTCCTTCATTGATTTGTTAACAACAGATAAACCAATACTATATCCACCTGCAATAGTAAATGAGACAGGCATGCCCTCTGCTTAGGAAGCAACTGGCCTAGCAGGGGGCATCAGACAAGCAATTACAATACAGTATGATGAACTGTGTGTTTGAGGAAGTGTATGAAATTTTGGGAGTGCGGGGAAGAACACTGAACATAGCCAAGGGGGCAGATGGGCTGCGAGAGTAAAGGCACAGGTTGAGAGCAGCCTTGGCAAAGGAGAGCTGCATTGGAGCTCCTGGTGTCTCCTCTAGCATCAAGTTTCCTTGATGTCAAGAAGAGGGGAGTCTAGAACATGGTAGAGGCTCATGCTTTCTCTTAGGAACGGCCTAATTTTCCTGCTTCCTCCTTCCACCTTTGTGCATTCAGGGTCAGAAGGCAAGGGGAGGAGAAAGGGAGCTAAGTGGCCCCAGAGTTGGGCATGCTTCCAGCTGGCTCTTAGCTTCCTCCCAACAGCAAAGAAGGAAGGACTTTGGGTAGCGAGCCTGTCTAAGCTGCTTTGTGCTCCAGGGTTGGAATCTGATGGCAGGAGTGCTGTCCTACAATTTCATAGGAAGGGGCTCTTTGAAGCTTCTTCATTATTCTTTTACATATTTTTCCGTTATTCATTTATTTGTGTATCATCCTGACAAGGGACAGGCTAAGCAGAAGCTTGAACCACTGGGCCCAAAGGTTGAACCCTCAGCCTATGTGAGGGTTTGGGTGTAACTTTTCTATCTGCCTATAAAGGAAAACACTCAACTCAGTTTTGGTGGGTAGGGAAAGATCCTACTCTTGATAGATGATTGGCTTGTAATAGTAGGGGAAATTTTTCTCCAGGCAAAATGCCCACATCTAATTTAATAAAGTTAGCCAACACTTTATCCTGATAGTAGGTATTTTACTGAAGTAAATTTATCCTGCTTATGCATCCTAACTCTACATACAACATACTGCTTCAGAGTCTCTACTCAGAATCTCCATGCTCAGAAACAAGATTCCCACAATAGTATTGGGCAGACCAGAGTCACTCACCCAGCAGCATATGAAATGAGGGGTGGCAACTGAGGCCTGAGGAGGAAACCCCCATGAAGAAAGTTGGTCCCTCTAAACCATTCCTGCAACAGTCAACAAGTGCACAAAGTCCTGAGAAAGATTGCGGTCACATCCAGAAATAAAATGTGGTCATTTATTATAAGACACATAAGAAGGGAATTGACATATGTAATGAGGAAATAAAACTGATTACATTTGTGTTTTGGGGAGCTCTGTTCTCATTTAATCATCCTACAAATGTAAGAAGGTAATGTTATTCCCATTTTGCAGATGAGAAACTGAGGGTCCCGCTCAAAATTATACAGCTAGGGAGTAACAGATGCAGGAAAAATCAGGTTTTCTCATTTCCAGGCTGCTGCTCACATTCCATTAGCTTCACACACACAAAGCCAAGCTGACTATTTCACTTCCAGTGCATAAACATTTAATAACCTATAGAAAAAGCGCACATCAAGAGCATCTCTCCTGCCTTGTTAATAATGGTAACTGCATGATGTCTTAGTTCATTCCTGCTGCTATAACAAAATACCTGAGACTGGATGATTATAGACAATAGAAATTTATGTTTCATAGTTCTGAATGCTGGGAGTGCAAGACCAAGGTGCTGGCAGAGTCATTGTCTGGTGGGGGCTGCTCTCTGCTTCCAGGATGGTGCCTTGTTGCTGCATTCTCTGGAGGGAGAAACGCTGTGTCCTCACAAAGAGGTGAAAGGGCAAAAAGGGGGTCAAACGTAGCATGAAGCCTCTTTTCTAATGGTCTTAATCCCTCCCGTTCACATGGAGGAGCCCTCATGACCTAATCACCTCTTAAAGATTCCTCCTATTACTATCACACTGGCCATTAAGTTTCAACACATGAATTTTAGAGGGGACACATTCAAACAATAGGAGGTGATAAACTGACGTTGATTTTTTTCCCCTTTGATGACATTGCTATTATCTGTTAATTTAGAGGTCAACAGCCTCGCCACTTTTCAACCATTTTCTATAGAGATTAGGTAATTTTTAAAGCTTTAGGATAATTGCATTAATATACTAGACTATAGAGTATTAGATATAACCCCAAAGAAAAATTTGATCTTTTTCTTTTTTTAAAGTTTGATCATAAATGTAACTTATGGTAAAGAGTTAATAGACATTTCTTTTTGGAGTAACTTTGTTTTGTTGAGGAAAAATCAGTTAAATTTAAAATTCTGTGGAGAAAATTCACTTATTATGGAAAGAAGAAATCTGCTGAACTGCCCAAAAATAACTCAGGCGGTTAACATTCCCCAGCTTGCCTGCACTATTGATACAGTGAGTTTACTACTTTGATTCCATCTGCCAGATATACCTGGTTTCAGATGGGGTGGTATTTGCTAGCTGAGTTAATGAAGAATATAGGATCGTTACAGAGAAAAATACTACATTAGATGCACTATTGAACTGAAGTTGTGTTTATTAGCGTGCCCTTAATGTTGCTTTGAATCATAAAATAGAGATTTAAATACATCAATTAATGCAGAACTCTTAGACAACATAGAGCAGTCCCATACTGCCTTCACATGATCTGATGAAACAAAACTTGAATTTCTGAGAATCATTTTCTTTATAAGATAAATGAGATTCAAGGGCGAAAAGCTTGACTTGATAAAAAAAATTTGCCAGTAAGCAGTGTATTCTTTTATTCACAACACACGGCAATAGGAGAATCACCTGAACCCGTGGCAGCGGAGGTTACAGTGAGCCAAGATCTTGCCACTGCACTCCAGCCTGGGCAACAAAGCCAGACCTGTCTCAAAAAAAAAAAAAAAAAAACCGGAGAAAAAGCTACTAATTTTGAGCACTTCTATAATTTTTAAGAGCATTTACTGTGCAAAATCCCTTTTAAGCCTTTGACTGTTGCCTTTATCTTTCCAGGAGGAGACACGTGGCTGAATGAGACGGCCTTCTTGGACAGTCGTGAGGATGGGCTTTGATTCTGGTGATCTTCGAGCTCAAATCTGAGCTGGGCAGTTGGCAGATGTGAGATCTTGGGTGCAGAAATGAGCTGCTGTGTGAGTATTCTCATCTGCACATGGAGATGGCAATACCTACCTCATAGGATCGTAGTGAAGATGAATTCTGTCCAATGTTTCCAATGCTCCTAGTGCATTTTACTCACACAGATAGTGGCCCACAAAAGTGAGTCTAGAGTAAGAGGCTGGGTATTCGGAGGTGGAAACTAGTTGAGAGGCATAGATTATCTCAAATCTTTACAAATGCAAGACTATTTTTATGCAATTGCAGCAGTGTGGGTCGTGGTGGAGGCTGGGGGCAAGGTGCGGTCAAAGCCCTTCCTGGTCTCTTCCAGGCTCTGCCAGTTATTACAGCTCCCAGGCCCAGAGTTTCACTATGATTTTCTTTACAGAAATTTAAATACCTTTTGGACAGCCTCATCATAGCACATACAATCAGTTATATCCACGTCACCATTTTAGACTGACTGAAAAAATGCAGTTTTGGGGTGAGCAGCCCTGATTCATGAAGTTTACGTGGAATAGATAAAGGATGAAGCAACCCATATTTAATGGGAGGAACATGGATTTGGAGTAAGGTATGGGGGAGATCACAGAGCAGGTGATAACCTGAAAAAACCCGTGAGACCTGATGTGACCTGGGTGCTGCCAAGATGGAACCTAAATGCTTCAACGATGGATGGGAAAATTCTCTCTCTCTTCCCTTGCCCCCAGGACATAGGGATCAGTAATTACAGCAGGAAAAAAAATGGGGCTACAAATCTTATTCATATTCCATTTCAACAATGAATGCCACAGATATTGCTATTAAAATGTGCTGGGTTGTATCAATAGAGGTGGAGGGGGGAGCTGAGACAGATGTAGGAGAGCCCAATTTGTGAGACTGTTCGAGGAAGAATGGGATGGAGAGCAAAGCCATCTATAAACAAAGAACCAAAGCATTTCCTCCTCTTCAAGAAGGCACTAAAACTTGAGTGTGCTTAAGCAACGCCTGGGTCCCAGCCCAGGTCCTGAGTATCAGAATCTCCCTGCCTTGCCAGCCTGACAAGGTGGATGAGGTGATGGAGGGAGTCCACAGAGGCAGCTTATGTGAAACGTCTTGTTAACTCTGCTGCTTCACAGATAGAGGGGTTAGTCCTGGGCTTCTTCAGGACCACGCATAAGAAACTAAATCAGCAGGAATGAAATGCATGTGGAAATCAGGAACTACTCCGGGAGTGATGGATTCATCTCTTTACTTATTCATTTACTTTTTCTTCACTTAAGATTTCCTGGGTGTATTCTGCGTGTCCGACATGATTCTCAATGCTGGGCTCACACAAGGGAACAAAAACGACACAGCTGCTGCCCTTCTAGGACTTACATTTTAGCAGATGGGGCAGCCCACAGACCACCAGATAAACGTATGATGTCACGTGGTGAGAAGGTATGACGGAGATTTCTGAGGAGGGGATATTTGAGCAGAGTCCTGAACGATGGGCACATGATCCCATGTGCATATCCAGGTGGTGGGCACAGCAAGACCAAGTATCTCAGGCAGGGCTTTGCTGGGTTTGCTTGAGGATCAGGAAGAAAATCTGCAGAGCAGCAGCAGGAGGCGTGGTGGGACTCAGGCTGGGGTGCATGGCAGGCTGCAGGAGGGGCTTATGGTACTGGTGAGGCCGTGGGTTTTAACTGAGAGAGGAAGCCATTGTAGGGTGGTCTTCAGTAGAAGAACTTTGTGACCTAATTTAATTGTCAATGGCTCACTCTCACCTGTAGAAGGAGAGACCAGGGCAGCTGAGATGGGGAGGTCAGCAAAGAGCCCATTACAACAGTCCAGGGACCAGCGATGGTGGGACAGGCTAAAGGCTTACTGGCATAGGATGTTCTTTGAAAGAGCTGTTGACCCAGCTCTTGGGGTCTGCTTTGAAAGACTTCACTCCCGTTGAAATCAACATGCCTGCATTGTATGCACAAGGCCCTCGTCGCCACAGCCACTGGGACGTTCTAGGTGGTCTTTGAGGTGTGCACATCACACAAGGATCAAGAGAATATGAAAAATCCAGAACATAGCTTGTGGTCCTCAGAGGAGGAATTTGATAATTTGGACCTCACGTTTTGCTCAAATGTTACTGATTTTCTGTGTTATGCATGCACACGTGTGTGTGATATTGACACATCCTGCTTATGAACAAAACGTAACTCAGAGTTACTCATTTTTATGAATTCATGCTAAATGCAAGCATTGCCCTAAGCTTATTACCTATTATCTCATTTAATTATCACAAGAAACGAAGACTGGTATTATTATACTTTTTCAGAGATAAGGAAACTTGAAGCCCAAAGACTCTAAGACCTTGCCCAAGGTTTCAAAGATAATAACTAAAATAACAGGCATTGTCCTAACAGTTCCGTCTGATGACAGACCTCATGGTCTTTGAACAATACCATGCTGCCTAACTGAAGAATTTCAGATGAGAACTTCAGACAAATATTTGTAGCAGATTACCATAGGGTGACTCACTCAAGCACCCATTCCTGTTCTTCTTTACCCTTGCTTTCTTCTTTTATAAAGTCAGGAAAGCAGCAGCCATAGTAGCTCATGCCTGTAATGCCAGCACTTTGGGAGGCCAAGGAGGAAAGATCGCTTCAGCCCAGGAGTTTGAGACTAGCCTGGACAATATGGTGAGACCTGTCTCTACAAAAAAATATTTTAAAAATAGCCAGAATTGGTGGCACATACCTGTAGTCTCAGCTACCCAGGAGGCTGAGGCAGGAGGATCGCTTGAGCCCAAAGCTGCTGTGAGCTGTGATTGCACCACTGCACTCCAGCCCGAGTGACAGAGAAAGACCCTATCTCAAAAAAAAAAAAAAAAAAAGACAGGAAAGCCACATATCTGATGTTTGATTTTCATTTCCAGTTTTGAGCTAGCAATAGCCACATAGGACAACTGTGTCCTCTGAGACATGAATGGACATCTGCTGAGAAAGGCTTCTTCTCTAAGTAGAATGCAAAGCCTTGCAAGAAGAAGGGTTTTAAATTCTTCTTCCACCTTCAATGCCTGGCGGTATGGCAGCCATCTTGTGACTATGAGGACAAAAGCCACACAGTCAAAAGAGCAAAGCCAAAAAATAGAAGGAATCTGTGGCTTTGTTATTCGATTGTTCACTGTGAACATCATTGTGACGTCTTTACTGGCTGAGTGTTTTGCATGTTAGCTCCTTGATAGTAATCATCCTCTTTTTTTTTTTAGGTGGAGTCTCGCTCTGTCACCCAGGCTGGAATGCAATGGTGCGATCTTGGCTCACTGCAACCTCTGCCTCCCAGGTTCAAGCGATTCTCCTGCCTCAGCCTCTGGAGCAGCTGGAATTACCAGCATGTGCCACCACGCCCAGTTAATTGTTTGTATTTTTAGTAGAGACAGGATTTCACCATGTTGGTCAGGCTGGTCTCAAACTCCTGACCCCCGTGATCCAACTGCCTCGGCCTACCAAAGTGCTGGGATTACAGGCGTGAGCCACCACACCCAGCCGGTACTTTTAACTGATTTATGCTACAATCTGTAAGAATAGTGGGTTTCTTCCACTTTTCTACATGTTATAGTCTTGAGAAGAACCCTAGTGCTCAAAGGTGTCTTGAGGTCACCTAACTTGAGAGCTGAAGACACTCAGGCCCCGAGGGCCCAGGCTTGAGCAAACACAAGAGTCCTTGCATAGGTTATTTGACTCTCAGCCCATAGTTCCTGCCACTAATTCCAGCTGCCACATCAATCTGAGAATTTAGTGTCTGACTGACACTTTCTATTTCCAGAGCAGAAGCCTGCCTATAGGAACAGTTAGAAACACTTTCTTCTTGGCGATGAAGATTGGAAAGCTGGGGCTGGGATCGAGGTAGGGGTGAGCCGGCTTCTAGGAAAGCCAAGCATCTACAAGTGCATCCACCCCGAGGCATCAAAACAGTGCAGTCTGTGTGGTTAGCTGTTCACGGAAAGCAGATTCAGAAAAGGGCATTTCTGTTGCTTTTAAATTCATATGATTAGAAAAAGGATACTGACTTTTTTAAAAAAGTGATTATTTGGATTATTTACAAGATAAAAAAGTGCAGTGGTTTACTTTCACAGGAGCAATGTAGAAATCTGTTAAAGAAAGAATCTCCAAAGCATGCAAAGCGCTAATGCAAGCCCTGGATTCAGCGGGAGGAGGCTCAGTATGAGTGAGTGTGTGTGTGTGTGTGTGTGTGTGTGAGAGAGAGAGAGAGAGGGAGAGGGAGAGAGAGAGAGAGAGCACATACAGGGCTCCAGAACCAGATTAAAACAAGAAGTGAAGGTGGGAAAGAGAGAAAATGCAGAATTGGAAACAAAGCGTGAAACAATTCACAGGAACTGAGAGGCAGCAGCCAGCACAGGGTAGAAGGGCAGTGGCAGTTCAGCTCCCTGTCAGGTGTGTCTGCCGTGTAAAATAATAATACGCCCCCACCCATGGCTGTGTGGCCTGCACACTCCCACATGCATGCCCACACACAGACTGAAGGAATTGTACCCCCTTCCCCAGCAGGTGCCCTTTCTCTCTGCCAGGTGAGCAGAGCAGACAGGGGCTGCTCCTTCATTCCAGGGGTTGGGAGGAGAGAGTGACCAGGAACGGAGCTGGCAGCATGGCTAACCTTGACTCAACCTGCAACTAGAGCAAGGAATGAGCCTTGGTTGCTATAAGTCACAGAGGCATGGTGATCAGGGATTGTTCACTATTGATAATTTAGCCCAAACTCACCAAATTACAGCATATCAAGATCTTTCAGATCCTTCTGTTAATATTGTTCAATAACACAATCCAGAAAAAGTAGAGGTTCAAGAAGATATCCCAGTGGAAATCAATGAGTGTAGTGTAAACAAGCATGCCTTGGCCAGGCACGGTGAAATTAGCTGGGTGTGGTGGCACATGCCTGTTATCCCAGCTACTCGGGAGGCTGAGGCAGGACAATCACTTGAGCTCAGGAGGTGGAGGTTACAGTGAGCCAAGATCATGCCACTGCACTGCAACCTGGGCAGCACAGTAAGACTCCGTCTCAAAAAGACAAAAAAACAAAACAAAACAAAACATGCCAGGAAATCACAGTGACAACTGTGGGCTGAGAATTCCACCCTGGAATCAGCCATCCACAGACAAGAGCGGTGCTGGCCTCATGGAGCCAGAGGGTGACTTCTCAGTGGGTATCTGCTCCTCTCGCTTTTCTGTCTCTGGCATGTTTCTCTCTCTCAATCTGTCCCTAAATCTGAAATGTAATAATATCCCTGAACCAGCAATGCAGAGAAGAGAAAGTAAATCATTCCTGCAAAGCGCGAGGAGCTGCTCAGAAGAAAGTCTGTATAAATACTGGCTCTAATTATAACATTAATATGGCTGGGATCATGAAGGCAGCGACAACCGACATATGGCAAAAGTTGCAGGCCCCAGAACTGCAAATGAGAAATGCTTTCTGAAAGAGAAAGCAGGTTGCCTAGGGAAACAAGCTGCCCTGCACTGCCTGCATCCAGAGCGCTTGCTTCTGAGCCACAGGCGACCTTGTGCTGAAGGTGGTGAGCAGGGCACACCGTGGCGGAGAAAGGTCCCATCTGGGTGGGATGCAGAAGATCCTAGCTGTGTTCATTTATTCATCACATACTATGTGCCAGACACTGTGCTAGGGAAAAGTGAAAAGTAAGACATGTTTGCCCCTCGAGGCATTTAGTGATATTTAAAAAAGAGATGCAGTGAGCCGAAAATCACAGTGATGCGACAGGTCGAGGCAAGAAGGCTGTGCTTCGGGAGCTCCAAGAGGAAGTGGCTCTGTAGACATAAGAGTTCAGAGAAGATGCCCCAGGGGGGTGAACCCCAGCCCGATGGACACATATGGGACACAGGAAGGGGAAGAGAAACTCAAAATCAAGCCTCCTTCTCTCCTGTCTTTGGGCCAGGATGAGCAAGAGGGGAACCACTCTGAGGTGGGGGAGAGAGCGCACAACCCAGGGTCAGTGCTCCTGGCCAAACCAGTGAGTGCCTTTCTTCCCAGGCTCCATAGGCTCTGAAGCTTTTCCTGATCAGGAACCAGCTCTCAGTTTCCCTGTAAAGCCACAAGGCTTCCACTTGCCCAGGGTTCTTGAAGACCTCAGGAAACTTCTTCCTGTGGCTGCCCCCTGGAGAGGCTGCTCCTGCCTGGCACAATCCTGGCGGGGCCTAGGGGGCGCAGGCACAGCAGCTCTGCAGGCACTCTCTGGGGCTTCTCCCTGGAGACCCCTCTTCACCACTTGATCCGTTCATCATCCAGCCCAAAGTCCTGTCCCTGAGAAATACAGGTTCCCATTCAAACAATGAAATACCATTTTGTGCCTTTGAAAATGAAAACATTTTGCTTAAGTTATAATATTCATAATTGGAAAGGCAGTATGAAAAATTGGTGCTTTCATACACTTCAGAAGGGGATAAAAATTGTACGGCTTTTCCAGAAAGCAGGTGGAGTGTGTGTGCATGTGTTTGTGTGCATATTTTGAGACTGAACATTCTTCAACCCCATAATCCCACTTCTAGTAATCAATGACAAAGAAATAGTTAGCATTATTGGCAAAGATGTATATTCTAGGATGAAAAGAGATTCACTCCATGATGTGTATGATAAAATAATGGAGACCATCCATGTTCAACAATAGAGCAATGATTAAACATGTTATGGTACATTTGTAGCAGAGCAGATTATTTAAACTTCATTTTAAATAATTTGGTGGAAATTTATTGCTAAAGTATCCTGTGGGGGGGAAATGCAAACTGCAAAGTCTATGAAAATGTGCATCCAAGATAAACATATCAAGATGTTAATAATCTTTTAGGATTGTAAGATTAAATGTAGTTTCCATCCTTTTTGCATTTTTCTCAATTTTCAAATCTCCTACAGTGAGGCTCTGCTATTAACATCGTGTAAAAAAGCATTATGAAGACAACTGGAATAGAAACTCCCCAAATGTTGTGGCTTGGTCTTGGATGGGGATGTAGAGTCAATGTCTGTGATAGGATTGGGGATGGCCCCTGGTGAGGACCAAGCTCTGTCCTTCTGGATTCCTTCTGGCCTGGTTGCCTCCATAGTTGATATAGTTATGTGTCTCCACCCAAATCTCATCTTGAATTATAATCCCCGTAATCTCTATGTATCAAAGGAGAGACCAGGTGGAGGTAATTGAGTCATGGGGGCAGTTTCTCTCATGCTGTTCTCCTGATAGTGAGTGAGTTCCCACGGCATCCGATGGTTTTTTAAGGGGCACTTTCCCCTTCTCTCAGCACTTCTCCTTCCTGCCACCTTGTGAAGAAGGTGTCTTGCTCCCCCTTTGCATTCTGCCATGATTGTAAGTTTCCTGAGGTCTCCCCCCGACGTGAAGAACTGTGAGTCAATTAAACCTTTTTCCTTTAAAAATTACCCAGCCTTGGGCAGTTCTTTATAGCAGTATGAAAATGGAATAATACAGTAGGCCACTGAGTAGCTCATATATTCTTTCAAGAAGCACTAGAAACCTTCTATTACATGTGTCAACTAACTTATTTCTCACTTTAAACTAAATAAGCCAACATTGTAATGGCCAATGTCACATCTAAAGATAAGACTCATCCATGGGTGAATGTGCCATGCTTTCTTAATCACCGTGGTGGGGAAATCACCTCACATCCTCACTTTGGCTGTGGTCCTGCTTTATACTTCCTTGAAAGCCAGAGCCACCTTTAGGGCAGGCCCCTAGAACTTCTGGAAGGCTGCTCCCACTTGCAGTGTGAGAGACCTCTTCTTCCACAGGTCTCTCTGTCTGTCCAGCCTCCTCTAAATCCCCCCACTCCTGTGCACGCGTGCACACACACACACACACACACACACCCACTCAGGGACAGACATCCTGAGTTGACGGGTTCTCTGGCTAAGCTCCCTCAGCTATCAGCTGCTGTTTATTTCTTCGCCTCCTCATTTGGCTCCTGGGAGGATGTTTCAGCAGACTTTTTAGAGAGAAAGAGAAAAAATACAATAGCTCATTAAGCTAATGACCCTAAGCCAGGCTGGCTGCTAGCGAACACAGGCAGGGACAATTGCAGAGCTTCCCACTGCACAATTTCCTTCACGGAGTGTTCTTTTCTCCCGCTCCTTTTATTTCTCTGGCCCAAGAGCATGGAGAAGGCTCTACCTGCATTTTGGGGAGAAGTTACAGGCTCAGCTTATCTTCAGCTGAGAAGATATCACTCTCTGGAAAACAACCTCAATAAAGAAATTGGTAATAGTAACATGAATGATCCTAATGATGATACCTCCTCTATGTGAATGCTTTTCTGAGTTTAGGAATCACGTCTATGCCCTCCTCTCAATCCTAGTCACTTTTGGATAGGGAGCCCTGGTGTTTAGTATTTTAGAGAACTGGGGCTTAGAAAGTTGTGGTGGGTGAAGGTCTGAATTCTAGGAATGATTTAGGTTAATTTTAGGCTCCAGGTTTTCACCAAATGCATTTCCCCCTGATATTATCATAGCCTAACCCTGCGATTTTTTCACTGTGGTCAGTTTTTATGTAGTATTTCAGAGACAGCGACTTCTTTTCATCCTCAACTCTTCACTCATGCCCCTCACCATCTTGCCTATAGTTGTTGTTTTTGTTTTTTTAACTCTTAACACACATTTTTCACCAAAAACAAGGTTGCTATGGGCCTACAAGAAGACACTGTTTTTGAGCAGCTGGGGTCTGTGTCCCGGGAGTTATTCCGGTGGCTGTCCTCAGTGGGATTTCCTTGTGCATTTTCATCAAGTGGTGGGAAGTGGCTGTGTTATTTACCCAGGCTTTGTTTCTGGGCACTTCCAGCATATAGGAACATACATAAACACACACACAAGTACACACTCTGTTCTAATCCTTTATGTTCAGAAAATGTAAGGGAACTAAAAATAATTTTTTTAATGGAAAACTAAAAGTAAAATCCTCTAAGCAATGCCTTGGAAAATAAAAGGTGCTGGGGAGGCCAGCACATAAACACTCAGGCCATGGAGCCCGTGCAGTGACCAAACCAAAAATAGGTTATATGTTCATTACATTAATCAGTTTCTGTCTAATAGTGCTGGCTATTTATTGAATGGACACTATAAGCTAGGTTCTATTCTAAGCACTTCTCGTGTCCTAACTCATTCAATCCTTAACCATACTCTGTACAAAAAGAGACTGTTAGCAATGCCATTATACAAATGAGGAAACTGAGGCAGAGGGAGTTAAGTAATTTGTTTAAGAGCATGCAACACATAAAAGTTTATGTTGGCAATTCCAAATTATGCACCCTGACTCTAGAGATCAATCCTATGTTTTGCACAGAACAATGAAAGAGAAACAAAAAAAGTTAGTTCTTCAGGAAATACAACACATTTTCTGGCATATGAATTTGAAAAATAAATCAAACATATATCTGTATAGAGAGAAGATGAAATCTCACAGTGAACAATGTCTTCGACACTAGCACTGCAAGTACTAATGTCTTTTACTGAAAGCCGAGGACATATCAGTGTTAACTTACTTTGTTTTGTGGGCACTACTTGATCCACCTGGATATTTCAAATATTACTAGACATGGAGGCTAAAGGATAAATTCTCCAGGAACAAATAGACTTTTAAACATTTCAATAAATTACAAAGCTATCCCATTTTCTAACTTGAAATGTGCTGTTCAAAGTCTTTGGAAAGTCAGACTAAGCAAAAGGACAGTGTGAGGGGCAAGAACAACCCAGTTTCTCCCCCTCTACACACGTGAATGACTGCCACCCAGAGATCCTGCCTCTCAGTGACAAGCTCTGTATCATACCTGAACATCATACTTGACCTGTCAAAGCCAGGCAATGCGATCTACCACACTACCCTAAAACAGAGCGTGAGAGACAAATCAGATTTCTAAACTACTCGCCATCTGCTGTAGCTCAGAGCTAATCAGGAATACTTATTGCTTGGGAGGTATGGCACCAACCCAAGTATCAATAAATACTAAGAATTGGGTTATCAACTCGGAACCCTTAAAGTCATGCAGACAGCTTCCTGATGGCCCCTCTCAAATATTTCTGGTAAGAATTTTCAAAGGATTTGTTTTTCTGTGTTTAGAAATATGTGGAATGAAACTTATAGTAATCATCCTTAGAAATAGAGAAGCTGTTTGTTTTGTTATAAGATAGAATCACTAGTGTCCTATTTCTGCAGAATCTTCTCCACTTAGCTCCTGAACTAGGCAGTCTTACTCATACCGTGGCAGGTCATTTGTGTCCACTGCATGGCCAGCATCGAATACATCTCAGATGAGCCTTTTGCAGGGACCTTTCTCTCAACCAGCAGGCATACAAGCCCACCCGTCCCTTGGGACAGGGGTCCCCAACCCCTGGGCCATGGATTGGTAGTGGTGGATTGGTAGCAGTACATGGCCTGCTAGCAACTGGGCCTCACGGCAGGAGGTGAGCGGCAGGAGGTGAGCATCAGGAGAGCGAAGCTTCCATCTGTATTTACAGCCACTCCCCATCATTCGCATTACCACCTGAGCACTGCCTCCTGCAGATTATCCCCAGTATTAGATTCTCATAGGAGTGCAAATCCAACTGTGAACTGTGCATGCAAGGGATCTGGGTTGCACACTTTTTCTGAGCATCTAATGCCTGATAATCTGTCACTGTCTCCCATCACCCCCAGGTGGGACTGTCTAGTTGCAGGAAAACAAGCTCAGAACTCCCATTGATTCTATGTTATGGTGAGTTGTATAATTATTTTGTATTATAATGTAATAATAATAGAAATAAAGTGCACAATAAGTGTAATGCATTTGAATGCCCCCACCCCACCGTCACACTGACTGCCAGGTCCGTGGGAAAATTGTCTTTCACGAAACCAATCCCTGGTGCCAAAAAGGTTGGGGACTGCTGCTCCAGGGTACAGCTCAGTTTCTCAGGTCCACTCAGCTGGACAGCTGCCTTGCTTTGATGATTAAGCACAGTGGATCTCAGCCACAGCTGAGCTGTGTCCTCAGTCCCTGTATATTTGAAGTGAGCCTGTACTACAGCCCCCACTCTGCCTCCCCTTCTTTCTCTGTGTTTAAAATAAATTATAGAAAATACATAACAAAATGTCATATATGCTATACCAAAATAATAATGCTAATTTTAGCTCAGATTACTTTAATTAGAAATAGAATTTTACAGATAAAGTTGTATTTCACACAATTCCCCATTCGCCTTCCTCTCTCCCCAGATGCAATGTCTATTGAAAATTTGATGTCTGTCTCTCCAGTTCATGTTTTCACACTTCGCCACATCCTTTTGGTTGTCATAAATAAGATGAATTCTTTGCTTAGTTTTAGATTTTGCATACATGGAATCGTACTCTATGTAACGCCCTGCTACTTGCTTGTTCCATAAACTGTTTTCAAGACCTATCAATGTTACTTTATTTCATTCCTTTTAGGTGTGTAGAGTAATATGACAAAGATATTAAAACAATGCATTCTATTATTGAGGGGCATTTACATAGTTGAATCAACAGTGATTCAATGAGTATCCTTGTACATGATTCCTGGCCCACATAGGTGAGAGTTTTTCCCTGAGGTATAAATGTAAAATTGAATGACTGGATCAAGTGATCGAATTACTTCATAGCGGTTTTACAAATTTGTACTTTCATCAACGTCTGTGAGTTTTCTTCTCCCTCATATCTTTACCAGTGTTTCATATTTTTATATATTTAAATAATGGCCAGCCTAATGGTTCTAAAATTGGCATCTTCTTCTTGCTTTAATTTGAATTTTTTTCTGATTACAAATAAGACTGCACATTATTGTATATCTTAATTTAAAATTAATTTCCTACACTTATTCATGTCTTTGGTCATTTTTATTAGTTTCTTTTTCTTATTGATTTATAGGAATTTGTACAATTATATGTTTATTGGTCTTTTGGCTTTTATGGGTTTTGTAGATAACTTCTTCCATGCTTTGGCTTGTTGTATAACTTGTGGTTTCTTTTATTGTATAGACATAATAATGTTTAGTCGTCTGATTGATTAATCATTTCCTTAATGAGTCGTGCATTTTATTTCTTGTTGAGGACTTTTATTTTTTTAAACTCGGGGGTCATAAATGTAGTCTCCTCTGTTTTCTTCTAACACAATCAACATTTTGTCTTCATGTTTACATATTTAATCCATTTGGAATATATATGTGTGGAAGATGTATGCATATAAATTTGGGAGTCTAATTTTCATCTTTTTAGCCAAAAGGAAAGTCAATTTCCCAAAAGTCATTTATTGAATAATATATCCTTTCTCTGGATCTCCAAAACACACCAAGTTCTCACCTTTGCTTTTGGTTAGTTTCCAAAACCTGTTTCGTTTTGCTAATCTATTTGTCTATCACTTCATCAACACAATACTATTTATTTTACTTTAGTTTTATTAAAAATTCTTGAGGAATATTTTATTGAATAATTTATGGCCTTGCTTTTTTTAATTCCTGAGCTTTTTTTGCTAATCTGTACCTTCAGTTTCATCTATGAATTTTAGATTCTGTTACATATTTTTTTTTAATTCCATGAAAACTCTTGTGATGATTATTGGAATGCCATTGGGTTTACAGCGAATTTGGAAAAGAATTGACATTTTCTTGACTCTTGGTATATCACTGTTTATTCAGATCTTTTGTCTTTTTCAATAGCATTTTGTAGTTTTTTCATAAAGTCAACACACATTTTTCTTACATTTATTTTTCATGAATATTAATTGATATTGTAAGACATACTTTTACTTTATTATACATTCTAATTAGTTATGAATTGTGAATTAAAGCACTATTGGGTTTTAGATATGATTATAATCCAATATACTTACTAAACTATCTTTTTGAGTTCTAACAGTTTGTTCATCATCTTGGGTTTTCTATGTAAAAAAATTACCTGTAAATTATTATTCTACTGTCTCTTCTAGTAGTTTTTTTTTCTTGTTTTATTGCATTGGATTAGATTACTGAATGACAATTATGATACCAGGAACATCTCTCTTGCTCCTAATTTAAATACAAATGCTTCTAAAATTTTGCCATTACATATAACATTTTCTTTGTATTTTGAGTAGTTACATTTTATCACACTTGTATTCCTAGATTGCTATCAATGGTTCTTTAAACAAGAACATTTTTTCAAATGTTTTTTCTTCTACCAAGATAGTCATATTGCTTTTATCACTTCATCTATAATATGATTATAATATGCCCTGGAAGTTATTCTAATGTTGAATGATAACTGTATTACTGGGATAAGAGGATAAGAACTCCTATGTCAAAAGATAAAATGTTTGTATATGTTCCTGGATCATACCTTCCAGTATTTTATATGGCATCTTCCTGTCTTTCATTCACTGAGTCACTCATTCGTCCATCTGTTACTTGGCATCCAACCAAATAACAATGTGGATACAGAGGTGAGTGAAAAAGATGCTTGCCACTGAGTTACATTCTAGTGCAGACACAGACACATAAACAGAGAAAACACACAAAATAATGGGTTAAGTACTCTAAAAGAATAATGTATAAGAAGAGAGAGAAATATATAAACATATATAAACACATATGTATATGTATATAAACATATATATGAAATTTTATATTTTCTTCCATTCTTCCTAAATACTAAACACTGGAACACTTCAGAGCTCTTTCTTAAGTACTTTTCTCCTCTAATAGCTTCTGTCCCATGCTTTACAGGTGTGATCTCACATATGCCTTGAGTTTTAAATACCAGATCTAGACTGGAGATTCCAATTAATAGTTCCTGCCTTTGTACTTATAAAGCCAACTGCCTCCTTTATATTTCAGCTTGGGTGTCTCACAGAAATCTCAAACTTTAAATGCCTCAAGTAGAACCCATGACCCCACTCTCTCATCCCCAATCCTGCTTACTTACAGGCCTTCCCATCTTTTTAAAAGTCTTCTCCATTTAGCCAGTTGCTCAAGATGGAAACCTGGTAGTGATAGTTGTTTCCTACCTTTATTCTCATCTCTAAGCTATCCAAGCTATCAACAAAAACATTAAATAGAATTAGTAAATATAACTTTTTACAATCCAAGAAATCAAATTATTTCTTGCAGAGGAACTTACCCAGAAAATAAGCCTAAAGAAAGAAACCTAAAAGAAAATAAAAGCTATTTTAGCTACTGTGAAATTATTAAAAGTAAATAGAAAATACACATAGACATTCAGTGTCTTTCCTCAAATCCACTCAGAAAATATGATGAAAAAATTTGAGGTGTTTTGATAAAAGCAGCAACATTTCACTATATTTAGAACTATACCGTCTAGATTATGAATACCACAGCTTTGTGCCTTGTACATGGTAGATTTCAATATATATGTGTTTGATTGAATAGATAAATATATTATTATAAAATCAGTTCAACCTGCATACTAGTCCAGGGAGAATTTTTAAAAATGTTTTTAATGGCTACATACATAATATTTTACCATGCAGATTTGGACGTTTTGGCTATTTAATTTTAGTTATCACAGGGAACATTGCAATAAATATTTATGCACACCCAGAGTTAATTTGGTATTTTATATCTGCTATTAGTATTCATTCTTGGGACCAAAACTACTGGCTCAAAAAGGGGGACAACACTCTAAAGACTCATTAACCAACATTCTAAGGATTCAGTACAGAGCATCACTCTTCTCCTGTCCCATTGCCCCCAAAGAACACACAGCCCTTTCTTCTTCCAATAGTGTTTATTTGAGGCTGTTGTGACCAGGGTCATCAGCTAAGATCAGAAAATAGAAAGAAGAAAAGAAGCAACAGCTTTGGTTATAATGATCCTAGTTCCTTGTCCTGGACCATTTTATGAATGGACTATACTTTGCAACGTGGAAACCCAAGAGTCCTTAACATAGAAAGTTACAAACAGCTCAGGCAAAATGCATGCTCATTGGTGTGGAATATAAACTGCCAGCTGATATGTGCATGAATGGAACATCTATTATAGGTAAGACACTGTATCGGTTTCTTTGTGGGAAAAACATAAATATAAAACCTCCTCCCTGCTCTTTGTGGGGATTTTTTTGGTAATTATGATCTACCTGGTTAATCAAAATATGCCCATGAGTAACTTATCATTATCCATCTCAATACTTTTCAACTCTAGCAAAACGAAATTTCTTTGGGAGAAAAAAAAAAAAGAAAACAAACAAAACTCCACATCCCACCTAAGGCCAATTAAACCCGAATTGCTGGAGGTGAGGCTGGAACTTCAGGGCCTCTTAGATTTCTCCAGGTGATTCTAATCTTCTGTGTAGACCCGCCCCTGCCATAGATTGCTTGCTGAGCACCAGAAATGGTGGTTATTGAGAATGCCAGGGTCCCTAACCAGTTTAGGCTGCCAAGGAAGGCTTCGCGGTGGCGGTGTGACTTGGATCTCAAAAGAGATTTCAGCTGGACCAGATATGGAAGAAACATTCTACATAACAGGCAAAAAGAATGGTGCTAACAAAAGTAGGTCATAGAGATAAGAGCAGATGTTGCTCTAGGCAGGAGGGCTGGAAAAGGGATGGCTTCAAACTAAGTGAACTGAGAAAAAAATGAGAAAAGACAGTGTGGGGCACAACATCACTTGAAACGGTGGCGTTTTCAAACTGGTGGCCCATGGCCCCCATCAGACCTATAAACATGTTTGTTTATCCCACGCAATCATTTTTCATTTGAGACAACATTTAAAAACCAGGAGCTTTCACATTAAAAAAAAAAAAAAAAAAAGTAAGATCTGCCAACCCCAGGCCGATGTCTTCACGTAGCCATAGCTGGCTGGAGCTGCTTCCTTTGGGTGGGGCGTGTGGATCTCCTCCCTCCCGCTCCCGGTGCGCTCTGGGCACTATGTCACCTACTTGTTCACGGAAACAGCCGAGCTTCTCACTCTTGGCTGTTTGGCATAGTCTGTGTTCGAGGAGGCGGATGTTGCAGGGAAACGACACTGAGCTGCCGACCCACCGCCATCTTTGCAGTCTCCCATCCAAATGACTTTGGCCAGCTCCCTCACCTTCTGGCCTTCGGTCTGGCAATCGCAACAATGAGCGGGTAGAAGCGCACACTCTCCAAGGGCACGCTGAACATTGAGATTCTTTGACTCCAACTGGAGGTAGCTCAATTCCACTAGCAACTTGCCTTTATGTATGTTAGGTTGGTGCAAAGGTCACTGCAGTTTTTGCCATTAAAAGTATGATGAAAGCAGCAATTGCTATTGCACCAACCTAATTGATAGGGCCAGCCCCAAGTGGGAGGGAACAGAGCATCAGAAGGGAGAGCCACAGAAGGCCATTCAACTCAAGTTCCCCACTGTGAAACAAAACCCAGTGCAACACGGCTTTGGGTCAATGTTCAGCCGCACAAACTTCTCCTTTAGTCTGCCATGCCTGGAAGAGCTACTGACCTCATCTAACTGCACCACTCAGGGAATGTGACGGTCCCTTGAGGGTCCTGTAGTAACTGAAGGGATGAGCCTGCAAAGAGCTTGAGCACCATGAGTATTCTGGAATTAACCTGTGTGTCACATCCACCTGAGCACATACTGGATTCCCCCTTCCCACCAAGGCACTTGGAGTTACGGGATGTCATGAGCTTAGCAGGGTGATGTTGTGATTTTTGACCTTATGGTACCAGCTCATTGAATTGCCATATTTTATTTTGTAAATCAAAGCAGCAAACATAATCAGTAAGATTAACTACCAAAAGTCCCCTAAAAATATAGTCAGTGATGAGCACCTATCAGTGTTCTCTGTGAAGGCACATGAAAAGCCGGATAACTCGGCCCTGACTTTATAAGGAAGAAAGGTAAGGATCAATAAGTTCTGCCAACAGAAGGGACAGTTTATTAGCAGTGTTTCATGCTACATTTCTCAAAGTTTAGAGAGCATTTAGACACATCTGTGGGGCTTGTTAAAACCTAGGTTGCTGGCCCCTATCCCTTGAGTTTCTGTTTTGTTTTGAGTAGGGACCTAGAATTTACATTTCTAAGAAATGTCCAGGTGATTCTGATGTTGCTTGTCTGAGAAACTGTGCTGTGTGAGAACCAATGCTTTACACAATGGTGAACCTCGAATTGAGCTAAGTCTTCCCAGGATCTTTGGTGTTTTCAGCCCTCAGCTATTAAAAATTACTAATACGGGCCACTCACAGTGGCTCATACCTGTAATCTCAACACTTTGGGATGTCGAGGTAGGTAGATCACTTGAGGTCAGGAGTTTGAGACCAGCCTGACCAACATGGTGAAACCGGTCTCTACTAAAAGTATGAAAATTAACTGGGTATGGTGGTGCATGCCTGTAGTACCAGCGACTTGGGAGGCTGAGCCCGGAAATCGCTTGAACCCGGGAGGTGGAGGCTGCAGTGAGCGAAGATCACACCACTGCACTCCAGCCTGGGCGACAGAGTGAGACTCTGTCTCAAAAAAAAAAAAATTTACTAAAGCAAGAAGATACAGCAATACAGCAATTATTAACTTTTGCTTCTTTTGTTCTCATCACCTGAAAATCCAAATCTACCTGTCTTGTACATCTCAAGTAGAATACCCCTCCTTCAAGGAAAAATTTCCCAAAATGTTATCTGTCTCGTGCAAAGACTTCCTAAATCTTCCAATTGAGAGGAGTCTTTCCCTCCATAAACAGCCACAGCAGGCATTCTCACAATGCCCATCTCTGTCTATCTGGGAGTATTTGTGTCTGTGTAGACATATTATATGTATCAAATCTCCCACCTTCCATGCCCCAGAAGATGCTGGGTAATCAAGTCTAAGCTGGTAACTAGGCATAAGTCTCTCTACAAAAGCACCAGACAACCTTTGATTTCTATTCCTGAAAAAAGAAACACTGTTTTAAACTATGACTGAATATTGACATCACACACTTAGAAACACAAACACACACACACATCCATCTAAATGAAAAAAATATACTTCTCTGAAGGACCACATCCCAAAAGTCAATCTGACAAAAGAATAATTGGAAGCTTTAAATACAAAATTATTTTTGGAGGAATGTTGATCTCAAAATGGAGGAAGCCTCTTCTTTAAGTTTCTTTCCTGCCTGCCACTGCTCACTTTGTATGTGGCCCCTACATATAGTTTTGTGTTTCCACAGGATCCGAGGTGTGTGTGTGTTCGTGTGTGCCCGTGTGTGCTTGTGTATGTCTTCATGAACTCTGTTTCCCTCTTCGGCTGTAGGTTCTGTTTTGTATTATGTTCATCTGCATTAAGTCTGTTTGGTGTGATTCTTACAGATGGCATAGAAGAGTATTATTGAAATGACGTTTCTAGTAGCCTGGACACCTTCCAGCACATTCAAATCATAGGACCAAATTCTTTCATCTAATTAAGTTTGAAAATAATTTAGCTGATTGATAGTTTGGGTAGAAAGAACTTCTCTAGACCAGGGAGCCAAAAATGGCACATGCTTGAAGTAATCTCACCTCCTGCCATATTCAGAACTTACCATAAATTACTTCTGCTAATATGTTTCCTGAAATACACTCAAATTATCTATAGCAAAAACCTCCTTGGAAAATTCGATCCGTCCCCTCTATTGTGCTTGTTGTGAACTCAACCCTGTGTAACCAACATCTTTCTCTTTCTTTCTTCACGCTTTGGTGAGTACACAATTTGCAAACTTCAGGGACGGAAATTAACAAAGAAACATTTTTATTAGCAGTCCTAATTTCACATTCTATTAGTGGATCAATTACCTAATGCAAAGACATACAACCAACTTAATAAATAATAATTATTATTAGGATCACCTGCATACAATCACAATCAATTCACTATTTACTCTTTTGAAAACCAAGACCTTTCACCACAGGGGAGTAAATGGAAAATAGATGAATACGATCAGGTTGATTGCTGCACTAACTACTCAGAGTTTGTGCCAAATTGAGGTACATCCGTAATAGAACCTTGAGAACACAGAGGAAACCACTCCGGTTCCAGATTGCTTTTTCCTCTACACTCGCTGGGAAACACCTCACCGGTGGAACTGCTTCTCACTCATCTTGTAACTCCAGCACTTCACACATATGTAATAGGCACTTAATATGTGTTTGTAGAGTTGAATATAAAACCTACATATACTCCTTCTAAATTTCTGCTTCGTATTCTATCCAAATAAAAAGTGTGCAAGCTTAAGGCTTGTATACTCTCATATAATTTGAATTCTGGCATTATTTTGTTTATTTAATTATTTAGCCAGTTGGTGATCTAGTTAGTTTTGTGGTTTAGTGTTTTCAAATACTTTGAGTAGAGAAGAAGCCAAGCATGCTTGTTATCAGAGAAAAAAACATTTTTTTTCCAAACCATGGAAATCCTACGTTATTCTAGATTATCTGGATAGTGACATATTTTCTAAATTCACAAGTAATTCTCAAGCAAGACTAGAAATCTCTCTGTTCGAAATGTGTTGTCAAGACTCAGGTACATTATGGAATCCATTTCATCCCCAAAATATAGCTGACAGCATTTTTTAGGTAAATCCTTTACATCTGCGCCAAAGCCACTCAGTTTTCATTATCTTGTATTTTAAGATCAATTATCTTTTAATATGATTCTAAAATTATTCTCAAAGCTAAAGTCAATGTTGGCTGATTTCGCCATTTGATTTCTTCATAGTTATTTAACTAATAGCTGTAAAGCCACAAATGAATACTGGAAAAAAATGGAAGAAAAAGAGTTGTTATCAAAAGCTATGCTTTTCTTTAGTTTCAATTGCCCGCATACAACCATATTAATTTAAAATTATGAGCTAGAGATAGAAATACATGAAAATGTTTCACTGAGCCTTTGTTGGTCTTATAATTCCAATTCCACTTTCTATTTTTTTTTTAAGCAATTAATTCCACAACTAACACTCTGTGGCGGATGTCATTCAAACTGCAGAAGCTTATTGGGTAGTTAAAAGGATAAAATCAAGTAGTCATTCTACTAATCCCTTTACAAGGAAACAGCTTTCTGCATAAAAAGTGGAACTTATGTGGCCATTAGCAGATGCTACATCAAGCGACCAAAAATATACACATTTAAATTCTTAAGCACAATCTATGAACACTACACAGATGGTTTCCAAGAAACTGTACCTAAATTGATTACGATAAAAATGATCTGCTGCAATTGTTTCTGTCAAAAGGGAGAACAGAATTTGTCCCAATGTGTCGCTCTGCCCACTCATGCAGAGAACCCAGCTGCTGGGACAGATGTTGCTCTAAGCACTTTATTTTAGGGTCATTAAAATGGTTACAGGGGTTAGTCATCCCCTGTTTTATAAATTGTGCTTACTAGCTGAGCTCAACAGATGCTAGAAAACTTCTTTGTAGTTGATCAGAAACAAAGTTTCATCTCAGATCCCCTCTACCTTGTGCTTATATGCAGAAATTAGGAACAAATGGAGATGAACAGTGAAACAAAGAAGTGTGTAAAAATCCTGGCACATTTGATCCAGGAAGGTGTCTTTACATAGCTCTGTTAATAATGCTGATGCTGGCCTTGGAGCATCCTTCGGCTGACAATGCAAAGCTGTCTTGAAGGCTTGCATGTGCTCACGTCATTTAAGAACTTTGGGGTCCTCTACTCATATTGTATAAATGCATGTTTCAAATTGATCCTATTCTGTGCTGTCATCCTTGACAAAGTGCTCCACAGAATTTGTCAGACAATAATACAGATATTCCTATTGCTCCTAGAGCACACTTCTTTAGAAGATATTTCTAAGCCTTTATGAGAATGTTGTTCTGCTCTCTCCATTACAAGCCACGGTATCCCTATTGAGCTCTGATTTTCTTTTATCATGATATATTGGACTGACACCTAATACATCAGCAAAAATCCAGGAATATCAGCGAAATCAACCTATACAAAATAAGCATACATACCATTGTGGGAAGGTAGCTATTCATGTATAAATAGATGGGATTCATGTTAACGGTGGCTTAAACTATTACTACTCCTACACTTTAATAATCTAGGCTGCAGAACCGATAACAATGCTGACAAATTAATGGAGGCACAAGGACACAATGTGCTACTATCCTACAGAAAAATCAGGAATTCAGTGGGGACAACTTGCTCAATAACGAAGGCTAGAGGAGAGACGAGAGAACAGCAGGAGAGGGGAGACAGTGGGAGCCAGGCTGCGAGCTATTCTAGAGAAGGGGTGTTCTAAAGTAGATGGGGGCTGAAAGTGTTGTGAAACTGATATGATTCCAAGGAAGGACAGATAGGCAAGGACTTTGGCTACTTTAAAAAACCCAAGGCTCTCCAGAGAGTTAAATTAAATATATATATATTTAATTTATATATAGAAATATATATTTATATTTTATATTTTTATTTATATATTTTATATATTTATATATAAATATATTTATATATTTTATATATTTGTATATAAATATATTTATATATTTTATATATTTATATATAAATATATTTATATATTTTATATATTTATATATAAAGATATTTATATATTTTATATATTTATATATAAAGATATTTATATATTTTATATATTTATATATAAATATATTTATATATTTTATATATTTATATAAATATATTTATATATTTTATATATTTATATAAATATATTTATATATTTTATATATTTATATAAATATATATATTTATATATTTATATAAATATATATAAATATATATATTTATATAAATATATATAAATATATATATTTATATAAAAATATATAAATATATATATTTATATAAAATATATAAATATATATTTATATTAAAATATATTTATATTAAATATATATAAATATATATATTTAATATATATATACACATAAAGAGAGAGAGAGAGAGTTTTGGAGCAAGGGCAGGCCAACAGTATGTGGAGCCTGAAGCTTATACAAATAATTGGTGGTGGGGGCTGGGAAGCAGGGATCTATAAGAAAGAAAACACAATTCTATGAGCTCAAAATTAGGTACAGAGTCTTGGCAGTGGCCCATGCAAATGATGACAGTGGAGCTTAAACTGAGTTTCTTGGGAAATCTGCAACTGCTTTTGAGCCATTAGTAGAATTCCACATACTTCTTTCCCAAGTAAACATTGCTTGGCTTACTTAATATTGCTGGAAAAGTAAAGAATTTGTACTGTAGTGCAGTGTTTCTCAAACTGGGATCTGCAGGCCAGCAGTGTCAGGTTCATTGGGAAACCAGTTAAAAAGGCAAATTCTCAGACGTTGACTTGGAGTCATTGAGTCAGAAACTTCAGGGGTAGGTCCAGCAATTTGTGTGTATGTGTGTGTGTTTGTTGTTGTTGTTTGTTTGTTTTTTAACCAAGCTCTGCAGGGGATGGTGATGCACCCTCAGGTTTGAGAACCATGACTGTAGGGTATCCATCAACCCCAAAGTCTCCAACTAAAAGCTAAACCAATTTAAGTAATTTTTAGAATTCAGGTGAAACCAGTAACTGAAGATTAAGCACATAAATAGGAAGAAGATCTAAAAACAAATAATCTTCAGTTGACATAAAGAAACATGGAAACCACTTTGATTCAGAAATGGAGATTCACTTGCCTTCTGTGCATCCCCCAGAGTGCCCCTGACCTGTCCTCCCACCCAGTCCTTGCTACGGGACTACTTGATTCTGCTTACTCTGTCTTTCCTGTTCTGAGCATCAATCGGTCCCAGAGCCGAGGTGTGTTCTGCTTTGTGCTGCCCCCACGTTTATTTCTTCAGCTCCCCACTGCCAGCTTCTTCTCTTGTTCACTGGCCCATTTGCAGATCTTGATTCACTTACCTGCTCTCTCATTAATGTTGCAAGAACTCTGCTAGGCACTGCAGAAAGAGCAGACTATAAAATTAAAAGAACCCCAGGCTTCACAGTACTATACTTGCAAGCTAACCTGATTTCAAGGCTGCATGAACTCTGAGAGGGCAGTTGAGGTGGACGGGACAGGGGACCTGACCCAGCTGATGCCCTGTGTGTGGGAGTTGAGGAGGATTCAGGCACTGATACCCTAAAATGAGACTTCAAGCCAAGTAACACTCACTTAATTCCTTCAAAGTCTTTCTCATTTGTTTTGTTTTGGTTCAGGTTTTCTTTTGTGTGAGGGAGTGGGACAGAGGGACTCACACTCCATGAAAAGAACTACCCAAAGCCCACAATTGAGGGTCCAGAGCTACTTCCAGTCAGTAGAAGGAAGGGTAGGACTCATGCTGCGTAGCAGGAGATGAAGGAGAGGGGTGGGCTAGAAGCCAAATTTTTAAAAATGTTTGGATTTTATGCGCAGGGTTGAGGACTAAGCTCTGATTTTTTTATCTCGCCCAAATTCCTTTCTAAGGGATCTGGGGAGTCATACCCTAAAAACCATAAATTCTCATCCTATGGGTTTTATTTATCCCTGTATATCCTGACTTACTTTCCATTCTGACTCCAGCATAACAGGGGAAAAAATCAAAATGTTTTACCCCAAAATATATTTCCTTGCCATACCTTGGAATTGCCCTGAAAAGTCTCTTGTGGAACAAAATCCACATTCTATAGACAATCCCCTTTCTCCTTTGTTTTCCTTCCTTCCTTTCCAAATCTAGGAGATAATCAACTCAGAGGCAGGCACCCTTTTAAGTCCCATAAGAAACATTTTACAACCTGCTCTCTCTGAAGTCTGCTATCTGAGAGCTTCCTCTGCATAATAAAACTTGGTCTCCACAATCCCTTATAGTCACCTCAACATTTCCTTTGATCCCAGGTCTTCAGATAAACTCAACCAATTGTCAACCAGAAAATGTTTAGATTTACCTATAGCCTGGAAGCCGCCCCCCCAACCCCCCGACCCCCGCTTTGAGTTGTCCCACCTTTCTGAAAGAAACCAATGTATTTCTTAAATGTATTTGATTGATGTCTCATGCCTCTCTAAAATGTATAAAACCAAGCTGTACCCCAACCACCTTGGGCACATGTTCTCAGGACCTCCTGAGGGCTGGGTCATGGGCCATGGTCATTCATATTTGGCTCAGAATAAATCTCTTAAAATATTTTACAGAGTTTGACTCTTCTTGTCAACAGGGTATTAGAGAGCCATTGATGAATGGTTTTAATCAGGCTAGCGAAGGGATGAGCTTTTCACTCTGGAAGCATCCCTGTGGAGAACTGAAGTGATTCAGGGTTGTGAGGGTTCCATAAAGTAGTGAGACTAAGAGGAGCCATTGAAACTCATCAGGAAGCTGGTGTGGCAATGCAGAACTATGTGAGCAAGACCTACACCAGCTGGGCTGGACAGAGGGGAGTAGATGGTGTCTAGAGGCCCGTGGTGTTGATGTGTGATGAGACTGTCCTGACTTGAAAGGATGATACTCTATGGCCACACTTTTCAATGTTCATTTGCATTAGACCCAACCTGAAACCTTGTTAAAGATGTAAGTCCTGAAACTCAAAATTCCAAGATTTTGGTCATGGAATTTTTAATTGATTATTCCAAGTGACTCTGATAGAGGTGGTCACTAGCACACATTTTGAGAAAGCCCAACCTAACAGGCACAAAACATATAATACTCTATCTTCTGAAGCTAGGTGGAATGTAAAGAAGTGGGGAAAAGAACAACTCTGAAGAGTACATTTGTCTGCATTTTCCTTTGATCTTCTAGTAGGGTACCAGGCTGCGTAAAGACTGCCAGTCCCCAGCCTTTCTGATAAGGAAGGAGAAACTGCCTAAAACCTTGTAGATAATGGTAGTCTCAAAAAGAGGATATTGAGATATAAATTTCATAAACCTACTAACTGTTGCTAGCTCACTCTTTTGAGTCCAAATTATTTTCCAGGCTGAATTACTTATATGCTAACTGAGAGCAATTGAAGTCTCAGAAGTTAATGCAGCTTTTTATCAGAGATTTCTAGAAACAAGGCCGCAGACTCCAATGTTAAGAGCCCAGACCTTAAATGAAATTGAATAAAGGGCCCTAGAATAGGATCATAGAACATGGCAGGAAACGTGGGGAGAATGGATAATGGAGCGGTGATTCCTACTTAACTTCTGAAAGAAAATGAAGCCAAACTTGACAAACATTTTGATTTTTGAATAGAAGCTGGAAATCCAAGTGTAAATGCAGTTTGCCAATCTGTAAATGTTGTCATTTGATGTAAATAAAAACAAATATTGTGTATGCAAAATATTGGAGCCTCAGACAAGCAGCTTTTGGACCTCCGTTCATGAGAAATCCCCTCTGGCTTTGGTGTAAGGTGATTCCAGGGTAAATTGATGTGGAAATTTGTATCCCCTTAGGCTGCTGCAGTGGACAGTTTGTGGAGAACCAGGGCCTCTGGTGCCCTTAGCTCATGTGGCAAGTGTGTTTGAGTCTTAAAGGTATGCAATTCTAAAACTATCCTGGTCTTATATAAGCAGGACAAGACTGGTACTTCTTCCAGACTGAGATGACAAAACAGCTAATGGGGATAAGTAGAAATAACTGAGTCAAGTGAGCAGATTTGGATAGATTGTGGCCGGCTTGGCACAGACATCCTGCTGAATCTGCCCAAGTGTCTCAAGGGTTGGCCACGCTACCAAACACATTCCCAACTCCCCCATTTACCAGGCTTTAGGGGAAAGTCATTTAGCATCTCTGAGTTAGAATTGCCTTCTAATTACCATGGAAGTAATTTTCATCTTTTTCCAAGGTCAGGAGGCCACTATTAACTTATTTAGTGAAGAAATATTTACTGGCCTTGATGTTGGACTTGGTTATAAGTTGGTGAACAAAACAAGTGTGGTCAATGCACTCAGGGATTTTGTAATCAAATGAATGAAATAATAATAAAGAATGGTAAAACCCCTGTCAAATCCACACCGATGCTCATTTTTCATCATTGTGATCATTATTTGACACAATGTTAGTGACAGTACATAATCACTTCCTAGAAGCACCTAACATATGCTTCACATGTTTCTCCAAAGTGACTATGAACAGAGTTAAAAGTAGTCTGTTAATACATCATGAAAAAAAAGTCTTGATGGTTTTCTCAACGGTTTTAAATAAACATTTCTGTAGTCTGATTTAAAACACAGGTTATATGTCCATCATCTGTGAACTTCACTTAGGAAACTTCTGGGTGGCATTGTATAGGCAGTCACTCTCCGGGACAACAGGAAGAGCTGTGGGATCAGTTGCTCATCAGAAGGACCAGTCAGACCTACAGATGTGGAGGACACTAGCAAGGATTTAGTTATTGAACTATGGCTGATGCTCCTCCACCAAAATGCAGCTGGTGGCAATTATTGAAGGACATCTCTCTGGAAAAAAAATTTACCTAAGAACTTCATCTAGCTTACCTGAGGTTTGCACCATATAAATGTCCTGTTTGGGCATCTGTTTATATATCCACAACTGTTTTCCATCCATAGATGCTGCATTTAAGGATATCAAGGTAGGAAAGGAGAGAATGGCTTAACCGCCAGTATTTCCCAGAATCAGCATCTCATGATTGTACTGGTTACTGTGTACATAGTCCAACTTCCAAATTTTATAAACAAATCCAGAAACAGAGAGGTCAAATCCAATTGTGTGCAGCCTCTTTAGTCTTGAGATAGTATACAAAAATGAACTACTGGAATGAGGTTACCACTGTTCAGGAGCAGTGTCTAAATTTGTGTCTTAACCTTGAACTTGGTCTCAGCTGGGCCTTACTGCTCTCTTGTCCACATTTCTCAGCAACACATTTAGACTCTACAGGTAAGTTATTCCAAATGGTTCATGCTGGAGTTGGTAAGATCCATAGGTGAAATCCTCCTATGCATCTATCTTCTACTCCAAAGAGTGATTCCCATTTTCCCATTTTTAAACTCTGCTACGGATGAAATAGTCCAATAAATCTTATCCTACAAGAGGAAAATATTAGCCTAAAGAAGGCTGAAAATACAGTATGAATGATGTCTTTGTGATTATGACACTGAGGACACTATTTCCTGATCCATTTATCTTTGGTTCCACTGGCTTTAAAGAATTGCTTCTGTGCATTGTCATCCTGTTGGCTTATGGACTTTTCACACAGTTGATTTGGTTCTTCACAGTTTACACGACACTTTCATGTGTATGAGTCACTAAACTTGCACAATATTTTAAAAAGAAATTTGGATGAATCGTATGCAAATGTTTTCTCCCATTCTATAGGTTGTCTCTTCGTTCTGTCGATTGTTTCCTGGGCTGTGCAGAAGCTTTTTAGCTTACTATAGTCCCATCTGTCTATTTTTGTTTTTGTTATCTGGGTTTTTGAAGTCTTAGCCATACCATGCCTACTAGATCAACGTCCTGAAGCATTTACCCTCTGTTTTCTTCTAATGGTTTTTTAGTTTCAGATCTTACATTTAAGTCTCTAATCTATTTTGAGTTGAGTTTTGTATATGGTTTAGAGATGGGGGGTCATATACAAATTGTAGACACACATTGAAATATCACTGTGTATCTCATCAATATGTGCAATTATTATGTGCCACCTAAAATGAAAGGAAAAAATTCAAAAAAAATAATAAATGCTTTGTCTTGTGGTTTCATATCATGGGTTAAAGTAGAATATTCTACCTTATAGAAGTTGCATTGACCCCTTTATGATTCATGTACTTCAAGGACCTTCAAAGGTCTTCGAAATTTAAAAAAAAAAATGGAGGAGGGAAGATGTAAAAACTCTTGTTAAACATTAATATTTTTATTTTCAGAGAAATATTTTTAAAAATATCTTCCCTCTGGAAGGCAGGAGTAAATTCAAACTCTTGGATCTTGAGTTTCTTTATGAATTAAGAAAGCTGATTTCATTGAGGAGTAATTGCAATTTGGATTAAGCAGTTATGATTGTGGCCTATTTTGGAAGATAAAACTTTCAAAAGATGGAATATCGTGGGTGAACTTTTGGGCAGGGTCATATGCTGAGCTATTTTCTAAACATTTGTAAAGTAACTTAAAGAAAAATAGAAATAAGCCAAGAGAGAGATTGTAATCTATAATCAATATCATATCATGGAGTTTCCAGCTGTCATTTCTAACAACTTTAGAAGTGACCATTCCTTCCTGTGAACTTCAGTTCAACTTTGCATACACCATGACATATGGCACTTTTACAAGTTTCATCTTCCCCACCGAATTCTAAATTCCTTAAAGGCAGTGACTGAACTTTACTTACCTCTGTAGCTCCTATACATACAAAAAGCACAGTTTGTTGTACCAGTAGGTGCTCAATCAACAATGAATGAATGGTAATTAAAAGAGATAATTGCTGCCTTTACTTTGGAGGAAACCATAGGACCATGATGAAGAAGCTCATGATAACAAATTGACACACGGAGGTAACATATGGCAAAGAGGTTTAGCTTAAATGTGTGACCCATATTCCAGGAAATATGGTGGCATGCATTCAGACTGTTCACTCTCTGAAATGGTGTGAAATAAACCGCAAAAGGTATGCTGTCCGAATTATCAGGCAATGCACTACACAAGGTATTGATAAAATGCAAGTTTGCAAAAAAGTGACCAGAAGTGGGCAAATTAAGCAACATTTGAGGGTCTGCTCCTCCCTTTCACAATCATGCTCCTCGTTTCTCATTTTCTCACTCCAGGAAGGGTATATACTCTCAACTTGGTAATTTTGGAACTTAATGAAGTCATTATTTAAAATAAATTGTTTTAAAAATCCTAATTTACACTTCAAATTGATCTGGATTCCATGTGGAAAACCAGTTGGAAGAGGCCAACAGTAGGTTCAACAAGATGATCTAAGAAGCTGCAGTTGGCAAAAGATGCTGATGATTTGAGCTGGGCTTGTGGCAGCGGCTACTGAAGAGATTTGGAGGGTGAGCTCATAGAGGTTGATGATGGATTGGATGTGGGCATGAGAAGGAAAGAGATGTCCAGATATCTTGGCCTGAGGAAACTAATGCATGGAAAGAATGTTTCTTCAGATCCAGAAGACCAGAGGGGAGAAGGTGAGGTGCCAGAGCAGAAATTCAGTTCCATGAATGTTAATTTTGAAATGCATGAAACTGGTCCCAGTGAAAACAGCAATGGAGAAGTTGTGATTCTGGAGTTCAGAAGAAAATTCTTGGCTGGAGATATATATTTAGAAGTCTTCAGCGTAGAAATAGTATTTTTAAAACAAAATGTATACCTTAGAATTAGCCAGATGGTAAAAACTGGAAAACTGAAAATACGTAACAAAGGATAAACAAGGTAATTACAAGTAACATAGCAAAATAAGAACAAAAGAAGAAGAAATGTTGGAAGACAAGGCACATCACTTCTAAACATAAGTGGAAATAGAAAAAATAAACAACTGTAAAAAAAACTTTATATGGGGTCAAAAAACTAAAAGCCTGAATTACAACAGATAAACCCACAATAAAATCACTCAGAAAAGATGAAGGTATTGGATGATCCCAGGTCAACCAGGCAGATTCAGACATATGAAAAGCAAGGACCCAGCATAAGACTCAGTGAGGTTGGCCTCAATGTAAGGGAGGAGACCACCCCTCATATTGTCTTATGCCCAATTTCTGCCTCCAAAGAAAGAAAAAGTAAAAACTAAAAGGCAGAAATGAAATCCACAGGCAGACAGCCCGGCGCCACACCCTGGGCCTGGTAGTTAAAGATCGACCCCTGACCTAATCGGTTATGTTATCTATAGATTACAGACATCCTATAGAAAAGCACTGTGAAAATCGCTATCCTGTTTTGTTCCTACCTAATTACGGGTGCATGCAGCCCCCAGTCACGTACCCCCTGCTTGCTCAATGGATCACGACCCTCTCACACGCACCCCCTTAGAGTTGTGAGCCCTTAAAAGGGACAGGAATTGCTCA